>NC_000012.12:104126794-104429824 GCF_000001405.40 Homo sapiens | reverse complement strand
GAGTTCGAGACCAGCCTGGCCAACGTGGTGAAACCCTGTCTCTCGTAAAAACACAAAAATTAGCCGGGCATGGTGGCACACGCCTGTAATCCCAGCTACTCTCCTGGGATTAAAAAAAGTCTTAAAAAAAACTTCTTAGGAGTTTTTATGAGTTTTAGGTGATAATTAAAAGAAGGTTGCAAAACACTGGCCCCATGTCACAGTGATATTCTTCTACATTTTATTTATTTAAGACTTTTTCTTCCTAAATGTAACCCTCCAGGGGGGATGTTAATGCCAGTTATGTTGGTTTCCTATTTATATATATATTGTGCATATATAGATATAGATATATAGATATAGATATCTGTGCTTTAAAGAGTTGGGTTTTTTTCACCTCCCAAGAACCAATTTTCACCCTCATGGCAGGGGCAATAACACCCTACAAGGCTGAAAATTCATGCATGCACAGGGGTAAGAAAAAACTTGAAAAAAAAATCCAGACACATAAACCATAAGGCAAAAGATTGACAAGTATGATTTCTCTATTAGTTTCCTCTTGCTGCCATACAAATTATCACAAATTGATTGACTCTCATTTACTATCTCACAGTTTTGCAGGTCAAACCCAGTGGGCTCAGCTGGGCACTTTTCTTAGGCTCTCACCAGGCTAATATCAAGGTGCCAGCTGGTATGGGCTCTTATCTGGAAGCTCTGGAAGAGAATCTGCTTCCGGGCTCCTTCCGGTTGTTGGCCAAATTCAGTTCCCGGCAACTGTGGGACTAAGGCCCCTGTTTCCTTGCTGGCTACCAGCCCAGGGGCCCTTCCCAGCTTCTAGAGGCCATAGCCAATGCTTGGTTCGTGGCCTCCTTCCTCAGTCTTTCAAGCCGGCAACATTCAGGCAAGCCCTTCTCATGATTCACACCTCTGTTTGCTCCTTCTCCATCTGTCCTCCTACAACTCTTGGATGCCAGCTGGAGACATTTCACTGCTTTTAAGGACTCAAGTGATGAGATTGGGCTTACCCAAATTATCCAGGATAATCTCCATTTTAAAGTCCTAACCTTATATAAATCAGCAAAGTTTCTTCTCTGCAGTACCTAGGTTAGTGTTTGATTAGATAATCAGAGAAACGAAATCTTGGGATGACATCTTTAGAATTCTGCAGACCAAAAGAAAAAAAAATAGAATTCTGCAGGCCAGAATTCCATTAAAATTAAGGATCTCTGATCCACAAAGGACACTGTGGACAAAGCTAATGGGTAGATTAAAGAAAAAGGGAAATATCTTCAATTTCTAAAACCAACAAGGGGTTAAATACCATACTACATATGGAACACTTGTGAACCAACAAGAAGAAAGCAGCCCCAGTAGAAAAATGGGTGATGAATATGAACAGGCAGTTTATAGAAGGGGTAACCCCAAATACTTACAGGTATATGGAGAGATGTTGCAAGTTATTCGTAATTAATGAAATGCCAATTAAAAAAATATGAGACTAGGTGCGGTGGCCCACACCTCTAATCCCAGTACTTTGGGAGGCATAGGCAGGAGGACTGTCTGAGTCCAGGAGCTGGAGACCTGCCTGGGCAACATATTGAGACCCCCATCTCTACAAAAATTTTAAAACTTAGCTGAATGTGGTGGTGCACACCTGTGGTCCCAGCTACTGGGGAGGCTGTGGTGGGAGGAACACTTGAGCCCTGGGGGTCAAGGCCGCAGTGAACCATATTCATACTACTGTACTCCAGAGTGTGACCCTGTCTCAAAAAAATAAATAAAAACATGACATATTACCTTTTTAAAATTTGACCAGCAAAAATTAGAAACCTCAATAATGTTAAGTGCTAGTGGCAAACAGAGATACAAGAACCCTTGGGTGGCAAATACAGATACAAGAACCCTCGCCATTGGAAAAGTAGACTGACATCCATTACCCAGAGAAATTAGCCATCACTTAGTCAAATCAAGTGTCTCCTCAGACCCAGCAATCCCACTGCTAATGTTATGACCCAAGGAAACTGTTACATAGCTCCACAGGAGACACATACAGCATGTTCATTGCTGTCAGGGGATTTTGTGATGGTGGTTGCGGGGTATAGATATGAAAAAACACAGTGAATACACACCATGGAGAAGTATGCAGTAATGAGAAGCAGTTAGAAAGCTGTTAACCACAGTAGCATCATGGAAAGACCTCAGAGACATGGTGCTCAGTGACAAAAGTAAAAGAAAGAAGATATGATAAAATTATTTGAATAAATTAGAAATGCTTACAACCACTGCAGACAAAGTCCCATATTAACCATATTAGAGTGATTGCCCGTAGGAAGAAATGGGGAAAGGGGAGAAGGGTAAGAGTTAATCAGAGATGAAGAGATTTTGCATACAGTGCCATGATCTGAGGATGATGATGAACTCAGCCTTCTGCACAGATGTCTAGTTCTTTAAAAAGGCAGTAGGCAGAGATGGGTTCAGGCACAGCTTCACTCAGGCCTCAGGCAATGCCACCAGACTCCGTCTCTCTGCTCTGTGTCATCTGGAATTGGTTCTACCCTCAGTTTGGCTTGGACAGAAGTGGAATTTGATTAACTACAATTTTCAAGGCAAATATTTGCTCTGCTTAATTGAGTAATCCTACTTACTAGGCCATACCTAGACTTGTGGTTGAAGATGCAACATTTATTAGTGGTCTTTCCTGCCTTAGTAATTTTAGCCAATTTGCATGTGACTTACTAAGGTGTCTGGCATGTCCTTTTGAATAGTTGTGGTCGTCTTCTCAAAACTAACAGTACAAACATTAAACTGTGGGTAAAAACATCTATGCTGATAAGAGATCTCCCTTGCACGTGGTTATGTTCTAATTAAGGACTTGAGATAAGCTCATTTACCTATTTTCCAACAAGTGAGGAGAGAGGTACGAGTGAATGTTCATTCCATAGGGACTCTAGCTTAGTCAAAATTAAAGCTTTCATGAAAGCTTTCCTCTTCCAGTGTGATTTTTATTAGTGATAATATTGGGGGAAGGCCTGCTTCAAGTCTCCCCCTCAGTGAGCTCCATGAAGTTCCCACCCCGATCCCCTTCAAAAGTAATTTATCTTCCTGGTGAGTTTAGAGCGGACCAGGGCGTCCCTGGCTCTGTCCTTCCCTTTATTTTCACTCTGTAGCCCCTGGCAGCATCATTGTCCTTGACTGTTGCATTAGTGTCCTAGGATTGCCAAAACAAGTTACCACAAACTGGATGGCCTAAAACTAAGAAATGCATTCTCTCACAGTCCTGGAGGCTGTAAGTCCGAAATCAAGGTTGTCAGCAGAGTTGATTCCTTCTGGAAGATTCTGGGAGAATCTATTCCATGCCTCTCCCCTGGCTTCTGGGGGCTCCTGGCAAGCTTTGGCCTTCCTTGGCTCATAGCTACATCCCTCCAATCTTCTCTCATCTTGGCATGGCTTCTTCTCCATGAATGTCTCTCTGCTATCTCTTAAAGACACTAGTCATTGAATCTGAGGCTCACCCTGATCCAGAATGGCCCCGTCTTAACTAATCACATCTACAAAGACCCTATTTCCAAATAAGGTCACATTCTGAGGCCCAGGTTGATGTGAATTTGGGGGGATACTATAATCCAAAACAATGGTCTAGACCTGCATTCACCCAGGCCTGGGTGGGTGAATTGGCCTAATGCAGAGTGAAGGCAGGCACGTATGGATTAGTAAGCAGAGTGGGCACATATGGATTAGTAAGCTGTTGGGTCAGACGTAGGCCACCCATCTGCTATCGCTTCATCAATAATAAAGGTCAGAAGGGAGTTCTGACAAATCTCTGCCTTCTGCAGGCAGCAAAACACCTTGTGCTCCAGTGAGAAGTGAGGAAGAACAGTAGCTTGCTTTGAGTGCCCTTTAAGACCCTGTGGTCCTCCAGGTGCCCCCCTGGCCATCCATCTGGGAGCAATCAACATTCTCCAGCTTCCCTGGGTAGTTCTGTGCTGTTCAATTATGCAGCTACCAACCCCGGCATGTGAGCAGAATTTCTAACCAAAACCCCTACCCTGCAACAGAGAGGCGTATCCAAGGAGACTGGCAGGTAAATGCGAACACGATAAATCAGGATCTTGATGCTGCATTCTTATTGCCTTTTTCCTCTGAAGGGACTTCTGTGCTGTCCTCTCAGCAGACTTGTTACAGATGTCATCAAACCTTGGGTGGCACCTGAATGAGAATGTCACCCCATGTAGTTCCAGAACTGTTAGGATACAATCCTCTTATTCTGGAAACCCAATTCCAGCTCCCTGCTGAAGATCTGGCTTGGTTGGGAGGGAGGGAGGAATCAATACTACCGCAGAAGGATCTCTCGACTCTTCCTTTCTGTGCAGCTTCAAAAAGACTATTTTAAAGATATTTGCATATGCCTTCATTTTCAGGTCACTGAAAAGATTCTACCTAACCAAGCATAAGAACTTAGTCCACTTATAAGCCCAAAAGACAAAGATGGTGGCAATATTTTTTTACAATGGTTACTGTCAGAAAATTGGAGTTGAGTGTCTGGAGTTGAGCAGAGGAAATTCACATTTGAACTAACAGTAAAAGAAATAATAAATATTCTTGGCCCTCAGCTCATATTGTAGGCATTGGATCATCCCTTCTCTGACTCTAACATCAAGTTTACAAGGTTTTTCCTTCTTTTAATTCCCCACCTGGCCGTGGTACTGAAACTTTTAGTCTGGTGCAGGGAGTGTCTTCACCACCATATGTCACTGCTTTGTCATTGATAGTTTCTTCTACAGAACTTGTGTAAATGAAGAAGCAATTGGGAACTTCCAGTGTGTGTTCTGACCCTGCAAGTGGGCCACTAGTGGTATCCTGAGCCCTGAAAACCTGTAACCTGACAATATTGCTAGTTCTGGTGGAATATGTTATTGTATACATGTTGCTTAAATTAAAGCCACCCTCACTGGTATCTCATCAAAACCAGTCAGCCTACTGTGCATTCTAGAGGATTTCTTCTACAGAAAAAATGCAAGTGCATTGTCTCAGGGATAGGACCCATCCTCAATACAATTAACAGTCTCATTGGGAAAAATTTCAAAATGCAGGTGAACACATCGACAAGCCCTTGAACTGCATGGCAGCGGGAGGAGGTTGGCTCTGAAGTCTAAGCAAAGATGTGCAACATTTAAATTACCTGAGAAAATCCTTTAAATGCTCATCAGGTACACAGTCTTCCTCCTGCATCTCTACAAAGGGCTAGCATGATTAGTTTTCCCTCCAATACTGGGGCAGATTTCTGTTTCTTTGGTTGTCCCCAAAGATGAAACAGCAGGCTTGTACTTGGAAGATATTTCATATAATGATGTATCTTTTAGGCACTTTAAGTGCAGAGGCAGGATGCTCACACCACACAAGTTGCATGGAAAGTAAGACTGGGGGAACAGTTGAATCTCTTCTCTCCCTCTGGGATGTAGACTCTGGCTTTTTACCTGTCCTCCATAAACATGTGGAACCACTGCTCATTTTACCCTGCACACACTGTGGTTTTCCACTTGCTAACTTGATCAAGGATGCCTTTCTCCACAGTCTCTCTCCTATTCAGCTCATGTGTCACCTCCTCCACGAAGCCTCTCGAATCAGCCTCCCTTGCAAAGCTGGGTTATATGACCCTCTGTATCCCACAGGATCCCGTTCGTCTCTCTATCATTATGCACTATTTCATTAGAGAGTTTCTGTTTCTGCCTCATTACACGGTGAGCTCCTGAGGACTGTAGCTGCGTCTCACTCAACTCAACATTGCCACATATATTGGCGTCTAGAAAGTGCTGGGTAAATGTTGAGTAAGTAAACAAATGGTTGGCTTTAAAGGATGGCTAGGGTTGAAATAGACTGATAGGGTATTCTGGGCAGGAACAAAACTATGTGCCTGGCACAGAGTAAATTTTCAAAAAAAGGAAACTGCTACTATTGTTTGTAGTGCTTTCTGGAGAAATGGAAAGACTGATAAGGCCCCAAAAGCACTTCTTGAGTGGAAAAATCAGATCCAGCATGGTTTTGTTTTTTTTTTTTTTTTTTAGAAAGATCTGCTAACTGTCATGATAGTGACATGGGGCCAGCTCCCTCAGTGAGGTTACTGAAGTCATTGAAGACTCACAGACTGGTGTATGTCAACAGAAGGTGGGCAGAACCAACTTGTAGGGACTCAGTTGCCTTTCCCTAAGCCAGTGTACAAACAGAAATGCTGATTGATTTTCCTATTCACCACAGGAATCATAGCTCCTTTTTGCAAAGTAGACCCATTCGTTTCTCCCAGGCAGGTCTTCAAAGGAGGCTCTAAATTTGAGAGACATTCGCTCAGTCATCAAATGATTGAAGTGGCAGGGATCTGTGGTTCTTGAGAAACATTCCTATTCTAAGGCCAGGTGCAGTGACTCATGCCTGTAAATCCCAGCACTTTGGGAGGCTGAGGTGAGAGGATTACTTGACCCCAGGAGTTCAAGACCAGCCTGGGCAACACGGTGAGACCCTCACCTCCACAAAAAAAAAATTAAACAATTAGCCATGTGTTTGTGGTGCACACTTACTATAATCCCAGCTACTTGGGAGGCTGAGGTGGGAGGATCGCTTGAGCCCAGAAGTTCAACCAGCCTGGGCAATGTAGTGAAACCTCATCTCTACAAATTAAAAAAGTAATAAGGTAGCTTGAGGTAGTCAGAAAGAACCTCTCCTCATCTGAGAGGGTCAACATTTTTTTGTGTGTTTTCTCTGTCTCTGCTTTCTGTGAATATCTATGCCCCTTACACCCCTTCTGGACTCTTCCTTTAGGCATATTAATGAGTTAGTCTTGTCTTAATTGTGCCTAGGAGCCATTTCCAGGTTAAAAGAAAAAAAGACCATGTCTTTCAGGAGTTTACCCTTGTAGGAAACACAGACTTGTAAAAATAATTTCAAAATAAGGGAAGTGCTGCAGGAAAGCTGTCTTTGGAACCAGAAAGAGGGGGAAAAGGGAAAAAGAGTAAAATCAAAAGAGCTGGGTGTGACTAATACTAACATAAACCAAAAATAAAATTCTAAGTCCACAACTGGCCAATGGACCCCACCCTCTTGGCCAAGGGCATTCCAAAGTTAACCTGAAAAGCTAGTTCAAGCCATGATGTGAAGTGAGGTTCAGACATGCCTCATTATACCCTCCTCCCATTGGAATTTAGGCACAGCTGACTAGCATTAACATAAAAAGAGAGACCTTAATACAGATAGACTCTTTTACGTCTGATCAGAAATATTCTCTTCTGTTGATTTTATCTGCATAATGGGAAACTTGGTCACCACAACCCCTTATCTTAACCCAGACATTCCCTTCCACTGATTCTAGGTCTTTAGATAATAACTCTTTCAACCAATTGCCAACTAGAAAATTCTTGAATCTGTCTATGACCTGGAAGCCCACTCCCCCCAGAGTTGCCCCCCTTTTCCAGACTGATCTTATGCGTATTGATTGCTTGATGTCTTACGTCTCTGTAAAATGCATAAAACCAAGCTGTAGACTGACCACCTTGGACACATGTTCTCAAGATCCCCTGGGACTGTGTGATGAGCCACTGGTCAGTCATATTTGGCTCAGAATAAATCTCTTCAAATATTTTACAGAGTTTGACTTTTTTCATCAACACTGACTAGGCGGACTTGGGGGCCTTGGAAACCTGAAGCCTAATTAGGCAGATAAGAGTTCAAAGGAGAAGACAGATTCCAGGACATATTTTTGGACAGAGTATGAACTGAGTGATAAACCAAATTGTGGATGGAAAGGAAATTGGAGAAAGTCAATGATAACCCTTGGGCTGCCCCTGATAAATTCTGCTGCCTCCCAGGTGTGGAAGAATTGGTGATGAAGGTAGAATTTCCAGAAGATATATTTGCCTAAGGCTTCTGGGTACTAGAAATGCCTGAATCTAAAGCAACTATCTCATTCACGCTTTTATCATGGCCCATGAAATTATTTTCCCTGGTGGCAATTGGGAGAGTAAACAAATATGTTGCCAGAAGCAAAGGTGTAACAACTATTGGATCAGAATCAGACAAAGCCGGGCTTGAGTCCTCACCTAATGGCTTAGAGGCCATCATTTCTCTGAGCCTTAGGGGACAATAACAATATCCTAAAGGCTGGTGAAGATAAAATTAATAATAGTTAACATTTGAGCACTTACCAGGCACATGCACCATCTCGAGTGGTTTACATGGACCAGCTCATTTAATCCTCACAACCCACTATGGTAAGTGCTGTTATGATCTCCCTTGCACTGATAAGGAAACTGAAGCACAGAGATGTTAAGTGAGTTCTCCAGGGTCACACAGCTGTGAATCTAACCTCTATCCTATAAACTGTAGATAACTTACAGAACCAAAAAGTGACTGAGGCAGCTGTCTTAATCATTTAGAGGTTTATTTAGCCAAGGTTGAGGACACACCAGGGAAAAACACACAAGTCACCAAGGTACGTGTGACCTATGCTTTTCCCAAAAGAAGCTTTGGGAACTACAGTGTTTACAGGGGAGAGAACAAGCAGGAGGGGAAAAAAGGGAGGGAGGGTAGACAGTGAGGCAGACGGTTACATTTTTATAAGGCTCTGGTTAGCCTCCATAAATCTACATTTTACATGCTAAAAGAGAATAGAGGAAAAAATCATTTATGCATTGTCTTGTGCTCAGTAAATCTATATTTTACCTAAGGTAAAGTAAACATGTGAAAGGTGAGAGGACAGGAAATGTGGCTATGACAGGGGTTGTGAAATTACAGCTATCTGTTTGAGAACAAAAGGAAGACAGCGTTGGTGACTCAGTTCCTAGGCTTAACTTTCCCTTTGGCATGGTGAGTTTGGGGTCCTGAGAGTCTATTTTTCTTTCACATTTACAAATGTTAGTTAATGGTAATTATTTATCAAGGCCTGTTACACTGCAGGAAGTTTTTTTATTATTATTTATTTATTTATGTATTTTATTTTTTGAGACAGTCTTGCTCTGTCACCCAGGCTGGAGTGCAATGGCGTGATCTCAGCTCACTACAACCTCCACTCCCCAGGTTCAAGCAATTCTCCTGCCTCAGCCTCCTGAGTAGCTGGGATTACAGGTGCATGCCACCATGCCCAGCTAATTTTTGTATTTTTAGTAGAGATGGGGTTTCACCATTTTGGCTGATCTCGAACTCCTGACCTTGTGATCCATCTACCTCGGCCTCCCAAAGTGCTGGGATTACAGGCCAGGAGGTTTATTTGTATTATTTCTAATTCTTAATACAATGCCAAGAGGTAGAAATCAAATCACTCCTTTTTACAGATGAGAGAACTGACTTCTAGAGAGCTAGGAGCTAGGTACAGAGCTGGGAGGCAACCAAAAAATTCAAGCCCAGCTCTGTCGCATCCCATACCTCTCCATTCCAAACAGGCCTTTCTGAGGAAAGATCCAGAAGCTGAACTGAAGACCTTAGATTCTGGATAAGAATTTACCTTCCATTGTTTAACGAGTATAGAGTTTCAGTTTTACAGGATGAAAAGAGTTATGGAGCTAGATGGTGGTGATATTTTTACAATACTATGAATGTATTTAATACCACTGAAATGCACATTTAAAAATGGTTAAGATGATAAATTTTATGTAACATGTATTTTAACACAATAAAAATGGAAAAAAATTACTTTCCATAATTCCCTCTACTACTCTGAGAGAAGAAATAATTTTGGCTCCTTCTAAAATCTGAAAGAAAAGAGAGAAAAAGCACATATAAGTAATGAGAGAAATAGTTTGGCATTTTCAATATCCCCAAACCATGATAATGATAATAGTTTTTAAGCAGCAAAACCCCTTCCAGGGGATAAAACAATCAGTGTCCCAATAAGGTAGATGGATGTAGCCAACTACTCAATTATTTGACCTTTGTCTTCTTGGACAAAGGTCCAGTGCTTCTTGTCCAGCATTGAGCTCCCTCTAACCCAGGGCCTGCTGGTCACTTAGGGCAGCAGGTATCACACTCCAGCATGCACAAGTCTCTTGGAGATGCTGATTAAACACAGATTTCTGGAAATCACGTATCTTTACCAAGACTTGTACGTGAACATTTATAGTAACTTTATTCATAATAGTCATAAACTGGAAACACCCACATGTCTAATAAATAGACCAACTGTGGTACATGCTAGAGTACTCCTGAGCGATAGAAAGAACAAACTTGGAATCTACACAACAGTATGGATAAATCACAACAACATTAGGCCATGCCAAAAAACCCAGATATGAAAAGATGCATCCTATGTGATATCACTTATGTGAAATTCTACAACAGGTGAACTAATCTATGGTGATAGCAGGCAGATCAGCGCGTATCTTGGGCTGGGGTGGGGAGGTTAGAAGGGAAACTGACTGCAAATGGATACAAGGGGATCGCGTGGGGTGAGGAAAAAGTTTTATGTTTTGATTACGGTAGTGATTACATGGTTGTATACATTTGTCAAAACTCACAGAACTGTAAGCTTAAAAAGGACACCTTTTATTGCATGTAAATTATACATGAATAAAATTGATTTTTAAAGCAAAAAAAAAACAGATCCTGGGCTGCATTTCCAAAGATCCTGATTCAATGGACCTGGGTGAGGCCCAGGAATATTTATTTATTTATTTATTTATTTTTGAGATGGAGTCTTGCACTGTTGCCTGGGCTGGAGTGCAGTGGTGCAATCTCGGCTCACTGCAACCCCTGCCTCCCAGGTTCGTGCGATTCTCCTGCCTCAGCCTCCCAAGTAGCTGGGACTACAAGCACCCGCCACCACGCCCGGCTAACTTTTTGTATTTTTAGTAGAGACGGGGTTTCACCGTGTTAGCCAGGATGGTCTCGATCTCCTGACCTCATGATCCACCTGCCTTGGCCTCCCAAAGTGCTGGGATTATAGGCATGAGCCACCGTGCCCAGCCCAGGAATCTTTATTTTTAATAAAGTACCTTATGTGATTCTAATGCAGGTAGTCAAAGGCCACACTTAGAGAATCATTACCCTGGAGGGTTTAAGGAAGACCAAATCCAGGGTCCCTAGAAACGGTTATATCTAATTGTTAACCTTTCCCTTCTTGTACCTGCAAACCTTTGCCTTGTCAGTCAATAAATATTTATTGAACTGTTGAGGACTATGAACAACACTTGGCTTTGTGGTAGAAAGACAACATACTATTTATTTCAGCAAACTAGGTGAAGAGGTAGGACTGCTTCATTAAAAGAGGAATTAGTAGTCCAATTATCTTCCTATTCCTTTCTGTCATTGTTGTTCTTAACCTCAAGGGCACAGAGTCCTTGGTTTATGACACCTTCCCATCATTGATCCATGAAAGGCTCTCTTTTACTTAAATAATTTATTTTAGTATTAAGAATTTAAATGTAAGGCGAGGTGCAGTGGCTCATGCCTGTAATCTCTGCACTTTGGGAGGCTAAGGTGGGTGGATCACCTGAGGTCAGGAGTTCTAGACCAGCCTGGCCAACATAATGAAACCCCATCTCTACTAAAAATACAAAAAATTAGCTAGGCACTGTGGCATGTGCCTGTAATCTCAGCTACTTAGGAGGCTGAGGCAAGAGAATCACTTGCTCCCGGGAGGCGGAGGTTGCAGTGAGCTGAGATCGTGCTACTGTGCACTCCAACTTGGGCAACAAGAGCAAAACTCCATCTCAAAAAAAAAAAAAAAGAATTTAAATGTAAAAAACAAAACTTGGCTAGGTGCGGTGGCTCACACCTGTAATCCTAGCACTTTGGGAGGCTGAGGCAGGCAGATCATCTGAGGTCAGGAGTTTGAGACCAGCCTGGCCAACATGATGAAACCCCATCTCTACTAAAAATACAAAAATCAGCCAGGTGTGGTGGCACACACCTGTAATCCCAGCTATTCTGGAGGCCGAGTCAGGAGAATAACTTGAACCCGGGGGTGGAGGTTGCAGTGAGCCAAGATCACGCCACTGCACTCCAGCCTGAGCAACAGAGTGGGACTCTGTCCCAAAAAAGCAAAACAAACAAAACTTGAAAACTTTTAAGAAAAAAATAGGTTAACATTTTAATTTCAGGGTAAGAAAAGATTTTTCTTAAGACACATAAAGCATCAACTATAAATGAAAAGTTGATAAATATGATTACATTAAAATTGAGCATCAATTAATTAAAGAACACCTTAAAATGAAAACACGATTTACAAACTAAGAGGAGAAATTTGCAACACATGTATCTGACAGGATTAGTATTAAGAATACATGAAGAACTCCTGTATATGTATGTTCAGTTTGTGTATCCAACTGTGTATTTGACATCTTCGTATGACATTCAAATTATAAAACTAAGCTATGAATACCAACCCACCCAAAACCTGTTCTCTCACCATCTTTCTCATTAGTTAACAGCAATCCCATCATTTCAGTTGGACAGGCAAAAAACCTTGGCATCATTCTTGAGTCTTTTCTTGCTCTCACACTTCACATTTATCAGCAAGACCCGTTGGCTCTGTCTTCAAAATATATTCAAGTCCTTCTCACCACCTCCACAGATACCACCCTGACTCAACTAACTATCATTCTTCCCCCAGATTATTGCAATAGATTCTCTGATGGCCTTCTGTGTTTGCCTTGTCCCTTCATAATCTGTTCTCAATGTAGCAGCCAAAATGGTTCTTTTAAAATGTAAGTCATATCTTACCTCTCCTCTGAACAAAGCTCTCTGCACCTTCCCAAGTCGCTCTACAGGAAACCCAGTCTTTCCACTGGTCAACAAGGTCTCCACGATCAGGCCCTCTCACCTAACTGACCTTACTTCTAACTATTCACTCTGCGTACCCTGCGCCAACCACACTGACCTTCTTGCTGTCTTAGACACTCTGGGCATGTTCCCACCTTGGGGTCTTTGCACTTGCTGTTCCCAAATATCTGCATGCCTCTCTCCCTTACTCCTTCAGGCCTTTGCTCCAGGGTCCACTTCTCAGTGCGTCTTCCCTGACCATTCAGATATCAAATTGCAAGCCCTTCATACATGGCTGCACTTCTCTCCCCATTTCCAACTTTATCTTAATAGAACTTCACTGCCACTTAGAATGCACATATTATGCTTTTTAAAAAATGTTTATTGACTCTCTCCCCTGAATAGAATATGAGTTACATGTGGGCAGCAAATTTTGTCTTCTTATTGTTGTGTTCCCAGTGCCTAGCATTCTCCAATTTGTTGGGTTGATGAATTAACTAATGAATACAATCTCCTACAACCCTCCTCTGTCTCTCCTCATTTTTGGATATTTTCTGTACCATCCCCTATGCTCCATTCGCTCTGCTACCCTGGCCTTCACATACGCTTTTCTCTCTTTCTTTTGGCTTAATAAACTCCTGTGCAATTGCTCAGACCCAGATCAAATACCACCTCCTCTCGGCAGCCTTCCCTCACTCCTCCAGGCAGTATCAGCCACTTTGTTCTCTGAAGTTTCCCAGCCCCGTGGTAGATCTACCATGCTGTGCCTCACCCAGGTGCACAGTGATCTCTCACTTGATTATGAGCCTCAAAGACAGTGGCTGTGTCTAATTCATATCTATATTCTCAGCACAATCCCTGGCTCTTCTCCCACCTGTCTGCCTTTATGACCCACACTAGTCCCGCTGGCTTCTTTCTACTTCTGAACTTGGCCGAACCATCCAACCTGAAGGCATTTGCATTAGCTCTACACAGAATGCTCTTCACACACACGCACACCCTTCACCTGCTCAATGCCATGCTTTTTTTTTTTTTTTTGAGATGGAGTCTCACACTGTAGCCCAGGCTGGAGTGCAGTGGCGTGATCTCGGCTTAATGCAACCTTCACCTCCCAGGTTCAAGCAATTCTTTTGCCTCAGCCTCCTGAGTACCTGGGATTACAGACGTGTGCCACCACACCCGGCTGATTTTTGTATTTTTAGTAGAGATGAGGTTTCACCACATTGGCCAGGCTGATCTCAAACTCATGACCTCAAAGTGATCTGCCCGCCTTGGCCTCCCGAAGTGCTGAGATTACAGACGTGAGCTACCGCACCCAGCCACCATGCCTGTTAGATTCAATCTTCAGGCCTCAGCTTAATGTCACCTCCTCAGGGAGTTCTTCCCTAATCTCCCAGGCTAGGTTAGATACCATCCCTCCCCGCATTTTATATTCTCAGGCTATCCTCCATTTTCCTCCTTAACACTTATCACAATTAGAATTATATAATCATTTGTGGAATTACATATTTGATGTCCATCTCTCCCACCAGTCTATGATCCAAGAGACCTTCATTCTCCTGTACTTTACTATCCCCCAGCGCCTAGCACAGTGACTGACACACAGTAGGTGGTTGAAAATCATGTGTTGAATGAATGAGTGAGTGGATGCATGGATAGATAAGCACTTTGTCCTTCACTTACATTTTGGATAAATAAAGTGTTTATCAGGATGATGTGGGCTGGGTTCCCGCTCACCTCTCCCCACTTCCTTTCCTATAACTTGATGAATACGTCAGAGTATTATTTTCTTTCACCCCAGTCTTGTGATTGCTACTTGATTTTATATAAAGGGATTACTGGTAAAAAGGATTAGTTTGGACTATGACCTATTCCTGGTAATACCCTACAGGGAACATTTTCTTGAGGATTAGAAAACAAAATTTCAGAGGCAAGATCCTGTTATGCATAGGATTGATATTAGGCAACCAGATATCCTCCAGCCCCATGATTAGACACAGGGCAGATAGGAATTAAGCCTCAGGCAACGTCCCTATGGAAGAAGGACAAGCCTTGTTGGATTCTTATACCCCAATCGTCCCAGCATGTGGTGTCTCAAAAACATTTCAGCCAATTCCCTAATTTTGAACACCACTAATTTTATGAACAAGAGCCCATTTCTTACATCTATTAGGTTGTTAGCCACAAGTTTTACCAATAAAAACCTACTTCTGCTATTCTCTGTGCTAATTAGTAAGACACCTGGTGTTGGTCAGTGATATGGAAAACAGAAGAGCTAGCAGCAGGTGTCCTGAGGTGTGACCCTTCTGCGTGAATGTTAATTAATCACCCCTGGGGTGTAGATTCCTAACTGGCTTAGTCAGTTGAGCTGCTATAACAGATTACCATTCACTGGGTGGTTTAAACAACAAACATTGATCTCTCACAGTTCTGGAAGCTGGGAAGCCCAAGATCAAGGTGCCGGCAGATCTGAACGCCTGGTGGGGACCAGCTTTCTGGCATGCAGATGGCTATCTTCTTCTTGTATCCTCACATGCCAGAAAGAGAGCAAGCTACCGCTCTGACCTCTTCTCATCAGGGCACCAATTCCATTCATGAGGGCTCCACTTTCATGACCTAATCACCTCCCAAAGGCCCCACCTCCTAATATCACACTGGGGATTAGGCTTCAACACAGGAATTTTACGGGGACATATATATTTAATTCACAGCACAAACACACACAGGTATATCACGCCATGCCACCTAGAACTACGTATCTTACAGTAGATTGCAGACCTTATAACGCTAAGGGGTTTTTTTTGTTGTTTTTTATTTATTTATTTATTTATTTTTTATTTTTTTATAACCTGAGGTCCACAGACTCCCAGGGAGTCCTTGCATATAATTCAGGGAATCTAGATTTTGGGTGGGGAAAAATTACTTCTTTATTTTCATTGACCTCAGTATTTGCAAAACCTGTGATTTTGTCATCAACGGAAGTCAGATATTTTCATATCCCGGTATAACTGCTGTGCATATCTTGAGATATCATTAATATTCATTGTCTCTTCTAGATGATTCATCCCACTGATGGATCTTTCATTAACTATATTACTGTATCATAGTAATTTCTATATTGCTATGTCATATATTAATATGTAATAAATCCATTTCATAATGGTTTGATAACTATATTGCAATAGAGTGGGTTTCCTTTACAATCCTATGTCTTTTATTTTAGGCATTTACAAACATTAATTTAAGAAGGGGTCCATAATACAAAAAAAGAATTTTGGACATGTCTGAGAACCTTTTGCCTCATAGGCTAGTCCTCCAACACATTGCTTCCCTTCTCAGCTTCTGGACTGAAAATTTGCAGTACAGTCTTTAAGATTCTGGCCAACCAGAAATATCTATTCCAGTGGCTTAGAATCATTCTGCCAAGATACTACTATCCGTTGGGTTCCCGGGAAAGTGGACTCTGAGATTGAGATTTGCATGCAGGACATTTATTGGGGACTACACAAAACCTGTCCTGTAAGGGGAGTCAAGGATACAGGATTGGAAAGAGGGAGAGGCTGGATGATGGCGCAATCACAGCAGAGGGCCTAGCCCATCCAAAGTGGCTGACCCCAGGGAAGGAGATGTCCTGGGGTGAGGCAAGGTCGTGTGGGGATGCAGCTATTAGCCATCAGCTACCAACAAGTCCAACAACTGGGACAATAAGTGATTTGGTCCTGGAGGGGCCTGGGCAGCCCAACATGACATCCAGGACACCTACCCCACACCGCGTCCTGCTATGAGTCACCCACCTGCACAAGCTCTCTCTACTGCACAACTGTTCTGCAAGGCCCACTTATCACCCCATTTTACATCTGAGAAACTGAAGTTCGGAGCCAGTAGGTGATGCCTCAGTGAAGCGCAGCTGGGAGGGGCTCACCTGGGCGACTCTGAGGTCTGCTGGGCTCCCGGGTCCCCTCTGCGTATGGGGGGGTCAGTGTCGCCAGCTGACCCTTCTCTTAAATCTGAGACTGCAGGTGATACAACTCAACCAGTTCTCCAAATGAGAATCAGTGAGCTGAAGAATTCTTCTGTTTTCACTCAAGTTTCCCCTCAGAACTTGCGTCTCCCTAACACCTCCTGTTTCTGGTCTGAAACCTCCCTATTTAAGTCCACAGCCCTGGTCTCTTCCCCACTCCACCACCAAATCGTGCCTCCCACCATCCTCCTCGCTCCCGGTGCCCCCACCCTTCGCATGCATTCCGTCCTTCCCTTTCCACGGCCACACCCACTTTCACCTCAGGAGCCTGAAGAGCTGTCTGGTGGCTACTGGCGCCCTGTTCCCAGCTGTATTAGCCTGTTCTCATGCTGCTGATAAAGACATACCCCAGACTGGGTAATTTATAAAGGAAAGAGGTTTAATTGACTCATAGTTTCACAGGGCTGGGAAGAACCCAGGAAACTTATAATCATGGCAGAAGGGGGAAGCAAATATATCCTTCTTCACATGGCGACAGCAAGGAGAAAGGCAGAGCGAAGGCGGGAAAAGCCCCTTATAAAACCATCAGATCTTGCGAGAACACACTCAGTGTCACGAGAACAGCATGGAGGTAACCGCCCCCATGGCTCAATTACCTCACACCCAATCCCTCCCACAACACGTGGGATTATAGGAACTACTATTCAAAATGAGATTTGGGTGGGGACACAGCCAAACCATATGACTGGCCTACTTTCTCCCTCTCCCTGTCCCCACCAGCCAGACGGACACGCCTCGGTAGCCCCAATCACATCTGGTCATAGCTCCCCATCACCTCCCAGATTAAGCATCGGGTCTTCATCACCGCCTTCCTCACTGCCTATCACCTCCCACACATGCTGTGCTCAGGCTGCAGCTGATCTGTGTGACTCACTCCATTCCCCACTTTTGCTCATGATATTCCTTTTGCTGGAAATTCTCAGGAGGAGGGTCTGTTGAGTGCCTGCCATGCCAGACACCACTGAAGAGAGAGCAATGGAACGGGGTTGTGTGTTACAGGGCTTTATTCTTTACTGGAAAAGGCAGGCAGTGAACAAGTCAATCAACGCCATCATCACAGATCCCAGCAATTGCTATGAAAGTGGTAAAACAGGTTCAGCTGACCTTCCTGATCATGCGCTGTGAGTGGATTACAGATGTGCAAAATGGGGAGCCCCTGGAAGTTTCCGCTACCCCCTCTGGCTTATCCATTCAGGCCAGCAAGCCACACAGAGTACTGTTTCTGCCTCTGCCATAATGTGAAAAAGGCTTGAAAAGCATGAGTGCTGGGGAAGTCCCATGTGAAATGGGCGCCGCCAGTGGCCTGGCTGCTGCCTTGGCGTTTGAGCTGAGATGGAAGAGAAGCCCCAGGTAAGAAGGTTCAGGGAAGAGCAATCCAGGCATGGAGGCCAGCAGGTGTGGCAGAGCTGCAGGTGCAGCGAAAGCAGAAAGGAGTCCCTGGGGCTGAGCAGAGGGGTCGGGGTGGGAGATGATGCAGGAGGAGGAAGGGCCAGATCCTCCCATTCATAGTGCAGCCTACAGACCCACCTCACCTGGAACTTGCTAGAAATGCAGAAATTTGGCACCACCAGAGGACTACTGAATCAGAATTTGCATTTTATTTTATTTTATTTCATTATTATTATTATTATTTTTAGACAGAGTCTTGCTCTATTGCCCAGGCTGGAATGCACTGGTGCCATCTCGGCTCACTGCAACCTCTGCTTCTGGGGTTCAAGCAATTCTCCTGCCTCAGCCTCCCAAGTAGCTGGGATTGCAGGCACCCGACACCAGGCCCTGCTAATTTTTTATATTTTTAGTAGAGACGGGGTTTCACCATGTTGGCCAGGCTGGTTTTGGACTCCTGACCTCAAGTGATCCTCCCGCCTCAGCCTCCCAGAGTGCTAGGATTACAAGCGTGAGCCACCACACCCAGAATTTGCATTTTAGTAAGATCCCAGGCAATACATATGCACATTACAACTGTGGCCAGGACAAGGCCACATAGGGCCTTATAGGCCATGAAAAGGAATTTTAAATGATCTCTCCCTCTTTTTGAGGTCAATGCCTAGTGCTTATTCCTCTAGGAAGCCTGTCTTGATCCTTATAAGCTGTTGAAATTTACAATCTTTTAGGTGACTAATATGTACTTGGCCCTAGTTACTGAATCAAACTATTTGAGGTCCAAGAGTATGTCTTAGTCATTTTTACTTTAGTTTTTTATTTTTTGTTTGTTTTGTTTTATTTGAGACAGGGTCTCACTCTGTGGCACAGGCTAGAGTATGGTGGCACGATCACAGCTCACTGTAGCCTTGACCTTGTGGGCTCAAGCAATCCTCCCACCTCAGCCTCCTAAGTAGCTGGGACTACAAGTGCATGCCTCCACAGCCAGCTAGTTTTTCTATTTTTTACAGAGACAGGGTCTCACTATGTTGCCCAGGCTGGTCTCAAACTACTGGGCTCAAACAATCCTCCTGCCTCAGCCTCCCAAATTGTTGGGATTACAGGCATGAGCCACTATGCCTGGCCTCTTAGTCATTTTTATAATCTCCAAATCCCCTTGTAACATCTTGCTCATAGTGGGTAAATTGCCAGGAAGAAAAAAACAAAAACAGAAAATAATACAGTCATGTACTGGGATATGTCAGGTAGAGTGATACCATATTCAAATAAGACTCTGAACTCTTTGCAGGTAAAGTGACAGAATCCAACTCTACTGGCTTAAGCAAAGAAAGGGAGAACTTATCTCCCATAATGGAAAAGTGTAGGAGAATAGCTTCAGGCATGGCTGGATCCAGGTGTTCAAACTATAATATGTAATCAGGAATCTGTTTCTCTCCAGTTCTCTTATTTGCTTTCCTCCATTCTGGCTTCATCTTTAGGACCAAGTCCACGTATTGACAAAAATGGCCTCCAGCAGTTCCAGACCTATAGTGAACCAGCCTAACAACCTGGAAAAAAGAACCCTCTTTCTCAATTTTTTTTTTTTTGAGATAATCTCACTCTGTCTCCCAGGCTGGAGTGCAGTGGCGTGATCTTGGCTCATCACAACCTCTGCCTCTCAGGTTCAAGTGATACTTGTGCCTCAGCCTCCTGAGTAGCTGGGATTATAGGCAGGCGCCACCACGCCAGGCTGATTTTTGTGTTTTTAGTAGAGATGGGGTTTCACCACTTTGGCCAGACTGGTCTCAAACTCCTGACCTCAGGTGATCGACCCGCCTCAGCCTCCCAAAGTGCTGGGAGTACAGGTGTGAGCCACTGTGCCCGGCCCTCTTTCTCAATATTGAGGACTTTGGTCCTAGGCCAAAGAGGGCTCAGGAGGTAGGATTTAGCCCCACCTGAACCACATGGCCTGGGAGTTGGGGCAGGGGAGATCCCTAAAAGAAAATCTGATGCTGTTAGCAGAAAAAGGAGGAAGGATGTCGAGCAGGGAGCAAAGCCATTCACTACAGCTGGCATCAGACAGATGCTGTGCCAACATTAAAAATCAGGATGTGGAATGACATCTGTTAACCTGGGGAAAAATTCATAGAGTCTTGCTAAGTGAAAAAAGTAAGCTGCAAAACACTACTGTGAAATGACACCATTCCGAGGTATGAAAATATTATAGTGTAAGTATGCCTAGAATTAATTCTTAAGGCAATATCCCAATGCACCCTGGTGAAGTGGAAAGTTTTCTTTTTTATATTTGTTTGCAATTTTAAAATTTCTATACTGAATATCTATTGCATTTACTATTATTTAAAACACATTTTAAAATTAAGGTGTGTGTGAGGATTGATTTTATGTGTCAACATGGCTGGGCTATGGTGCCCAAATATTTGGTCAATCATTCTGGATGTTTCTGTGAAGGTGGGTATTTTTTTTTATGAGATTAACATTAAAATTGGTGGACTTTGAGTAAAGCAGATTGCCACCTATAATGTGAGTGGCCCTCATCCAATCAGTTGAAGGCCTGAATAAAACAAAGACCAACCTTCGGAGCAAGAAGGAATTCTTCCAGCCGGCTGACCTTGGACTTGAACTGCAACTTTTCACGGAGTCTCCAGCCTGCTGGCCTATCCCATCAGATTTTGGACTTATCGAGCCTCCACAATTGTGAAAGCCAATTTCTTAAAGTCTCTCTCTACACACACACACACACACACACACACACACACACACACACACACTCCCTGTTGGTTCTGTCTCTCTGGAGAGAACACTCACACAATCCAGCTCCTGCCTTCTATCAACTCCGCGAAGAAGATAACAGCAGTCAGGAAGCTTGTGTCCCAGCCCGGGGCTGTCTCTTACCAGAAGGTTGGTCCCAGGCAACTCCATTCTTCCCTGAGCCTAGCTTCCTTATCTCTAACCCCGAGGGTGACTCACTATTCCAGCCTTGACTGACTGCCAAATGGCCCAGACAGGGCCAGTGATAGTCCCACAGTGCCCGTCCTTAGTATAATTTCTCAACACTGAGCTGCCAGTCACTTATTTCTGAAGATTAGGTGCTGCCATGAGTTTCTTTACACAAGAAGTCAGTGTGGAAAAAAAAAATAGAATAAAACAACAAAATCTCCCGAGCCGAGAGACTTTTCTAGTCACTGATGAATAGATAAAAAGAAACGTCTGTTTCATCTTCATGCTTAAAACACCTGCAATATCAATACACTTCCCGATCTCATCATTAGCACTGAGAAGACTGATCCATGCTTAAACCCAACAAGACTTAGCTCCCAGAGTAAAGGGCCTTTGCCTCTTGGCTCACCTCTCTGGCTTTGTACTTTCTTTGTGCACTGAAGATCAAATGTGGCATGAAGTGAGAAACTCACTTCAAACCCCCACTCCGAATCGTTGAACAGGTTCTAAAAGCACTGGAGCTGAAAGTCCCCTCTCATGATTCCAGCCCGTGTGCACTGGACATGCCCAGAAAGGAAGCCCTGCCATTGTCTGGGATGTGTCTCATTGACGTCATCAGCAGTCTTCCTTGAGTTTCCCAATGTCCCCAACACTTCCCCTGGTGGTCAACTATCCAGGTAGTTCTCTTGTGGCTTCAGGAATGCTCAAGGTGACCCCTAGGGCCTATTGAAATAGTCCATTAATGAAAATCATTCTGTCCAGCCTATCATTCTTATGCCTCTCAGATATGGCAGCCCCTTTAGAGAACAAAAGATTTCCATGCTTCCTTCACTATGTGGAAATGAAATTTACAGATAATTTTACCTTCCTGCACACACAATTTAAAAAAAATCAATAGAATGTCCTATCTATACTATGAAGAAGGAATAAAAGTAATTTAGGATAAAAACAGACGTAATGTAGAATAAAACAATATCCATGCTGTCAATCATTCCACAGTGTTTATGAGTGTCTACCTCCAGGCAAGGGTGTCAGTGCAGAACAGCAAAGAAAACTGTCAGGAAGGGGGATACAGCATTGAGGGCGTGGGCTCCTAGCTCAGGCAAGACCTTACTGGAAGTCCTAATGAAATAATTAGATGCTTGCATCTCCTGTGTTAATGAATTCAATGAATATTTACCAAGTGTTGACTGTGAGGCAGGCACTGTTCTAGGGGACGGAAAGTCAGGAGTGAACAAACCCTTTCCCCCCCGGGTTGCCATTCCAGGCGGGGGCATAAGTTTCAATGTAAGAGGAATGAGGAGGTCAGGAGCCAGTGTCTACAAGGAAATCAAATGAGCTGCAGGTATGCAAGGACATGAGAAGAAATGTGAGAATATCATATCCTGCAGGAAATGGAGGGAGGGAGAGTCATGGGTCACCCCCAGGTCTCAAGCCCTGCTGAAATTTAGAGCAAGAATGCTTCACTGGAGCAGAGCAAGAAAAGAAATATATCTGTGTCATCTTAGAAGATACCCCAGACTTCCCAGATCTTGAGACCTTCAGAAACACAGATTAAAAGCAACCCCCAGGCATCCTCCTGCCTCCCACCTCATAGAATTGATGTTGGTTTTTCCTTCTCCCTAGAATGCTCTTTGCCCAGGAATCCTCACAAACTCTCTCCTTCACTTCATTCAAATTTATGCTCATGACACCCTTTAGGGAGGACATTCATGTCCACTATATGCAAAAGAGCTCCCACCCTCACCCCATCCCAGCCTGCCCTCCTACTCCACTCCAGTTGTCACTCACCACTCCTCAACATTGTGTTATGTATTTACCAGTTCCTTTGGTGGTTGTCTTGTCTCTCCTACTCAATCTAAATTTCACTAGAGCAGGGGCCACCTGTTTCATTCATTGCTGTCACATCAGCAATTGGGACACTGCCTGGCACACAAGAGGCCCTCAATAAATATGTGTATGTTCTGGGTACTGTGGCTCACATCTGTAATCCCAACACTTTGGGAGGCTGAGGTGGGCAGATTGCTTGAGCTCAGGAGTTCAAGACCAGCCTGGGCAACATAGCAAAACCCTATCTCTACAAAAATATAAACATTAGCCTGGTGTGGTGGTGTGCACTTATAATCTCAGCTACTTGGGAAGCTGAGATGGGAGGATCACTTGAGCCCAGGAAGTGGAGGTTACAGTGAGCCAAGATCACTGCACTTCAGCCTGGGCAACAGAGCCAGACCCTGTCTCAAATAAATAAATAAATAAATAAATATACCATAGAATTAATATCCAGTGATGTGCTAGAGCTGGCTGACTCCAGCATGAGAGAGTCAATTGCATGCCTCTGGTCCCAAATGTGTATTTCATGATGTAGGGTTGGTATCTTAAAATCTGCCATGATGGGAGTATTTACACCACAGTAATTGGCCAATGCTACATGTCAGAGCTCCTTCTCCCACTGGAAAGCTGGTTGTTATACATTTATCAGTACATCATTGGACATAAATAAACATATGCTACTGGACTATATCACCTTTGTTAAGAGACGTGGTTCCCCTACAGCTCTGAAGACAAACCATTTCAACCCCAAGTTGCTGCTTCTGTCACAGGCCTAACAAACTGGTTGAATGGCAAGAAACCCAAACACCTTATATTTATTCTCTGCACACAACGTTACTGATATTAGTGTGGAAGTGCATTCTTCGTGACACTAGAGCCATCTCAGCTAAGAGGCAACCATTTTTTTTGCCCTAGTAATTAAAAAATGGCAATTGCTAGTTATTAAAATAGGAAAGTAGATAAATAGCGATGATAATTACTGCATTTTTCTCTTCAGAGAAAACAGCAATACTGTATGTAGTCATTTTCGATAAATATAGAAAATAAGTAATTATTGCTGAAGCTATTCATTATGAATCTCTATTCGCAATCTCACTTCTGCAAACACCATTCATTGTTTAAAATAATGGTTCTAAAGGGCAAGGCAAACTTCTCATTACCGGCTGGCAGGCACCCGTGGATGGAGAGGTGGCAGGCACACGGGGCAGCTTGGCTAGTTGGTCATCTCAGTGCTGATTGTGAAAATAAGTTTGAAAAGATAATCTTATCCAACATAGAAAAAAACAAAAAGAGTGGCCGGGCGCGGTGGCTCACGCCTGTAATCCCAGTACTTTGGGAGGCCGAGGTGGGCAGATCACGAGGTCAGGAGACCAAGACCATCCTGGATAACACGGTGAAACCCCGTCTCTACTAAAAATACAAAAAAATAGCCGGGCATGGTGGCAGGCGCCTGTAGTCCCAGCTACTTGGGAGGCTGAAGCAGGAGAATGGTGTGAACCCGGGAGGCAGAGTTTGCAGTGAGCCGAGATCGCGCCACTGCACTCCAGCCTGGGCGACAGAGCAAGACTCTGTCTCAAAAAAAAAAAAAGAAAAAAACAAAAAGAGCAAAAAAGACTAGCGCATCTGTCTGTGGGCCAGCCAAGGGCGGCTGCAGGTCAGGAGCTCTAATTAAGCAAGGTGCAGTGGGTGGAGGGGAACTTGGTGTCCACTCAGCCACAGTGCTGTTTTCATGTCTAACCTTGATTGAACCAAGCTTCTCAGAAAGCCCAACCCTAATGGAAAATAAATTCTGCTGAATTCGAATGGAGCCATTAACGTCTCCCTTCTCAGGTCTTGAAACATTTATTTGCTTTAAAATACACGCACTCATCTCAGTTCTATTAGGAGTCAGAGCCAGCTTTTGCCTGGGAGCAGATTTATCTCTGCCCACACCCTCCCACCCCCTTGCTGCTCTCCTCCCCAGGCAGGGCTGAGCCGCAGCGGAGAAGGGACAGGGGCAGAGGCCAGAGCATCCCAGGGGCTTCCCTCCTCATCAGCTCATGGGAGTTGCCTTAGTACCACCCTGCGGTGCTGAGTCCTGATGGGCCCCAAGCCCCTGTCCCTCCAGGAGCTTCCTTTATGATCTGAACAAGTCCTACTCTCAATGATTGGAGAAAAAGTTTTTTGTTTTTTTTTTAAATTTGAGACAAGGTCTCACTCTGTTGTCTAGGCTGGAGTCCAGTGGCCTGATCGTGACCTCCTTGGCTCAAGTCATCCTCCCACCTCAGCCTCCCAAGTGACTGGGACTACAGGCATAAGCCACCATGTCTGGCTAATTTTTTAATTTTTTATAGAGACAGGGTCTTGCTCTATTGCCCAGGCTGGTCTTGAACTCCTAGGCTCAAGCAATCCTCCCAGTTCAGCCTTCCAAGATGCTGGGATTACAGATATGAGCCACCTGCCTGGCCCTAGAGAAAGATTCATAATCCAGTGTCAGGAATTTGTTCCAAATGCTGGCTTCATCATTTGAGGAAGCCTGTCTTCCTCCATGGGTCTTAGTTTCTTCATCCATTTGGAAGGACAGGCTGGATCTGCAGTTCCCAGGGGGGTACTGTCCCTATGAGGTGTTTTGGAGATCTTCCAGAGCATCTCTGATTATCACAATGATTAGAGACACCATTGGCTTTCATGGGCATTGGCAGGCAATGCCTGGGACAGTCTTGCACAGCAAAGAACTGCTTCATGTCCCATGTGACTTTCAAAAACCCCACTGCACATTCCCATACCTGTGTGACTTTGTGAAGTCACTTTGCTTCTTCATACTTTTACTTTCCTCTTTTTTTTTTGAGATGGAGTTTCGCTCTCGTTGCCCAGGCTGGAGTGCAATGGCACGAACTCGGCTCACTGCTACCTCTGCCTCCTGAGTTCGAGCGATTTTCCTGCCTCAGCCTCCCAAGTAGCTGGGATTACAGGCATGTGCCACCACACCCGGCTAATTTTGTATTTTTAGTAGAGATGGGGTTTCTCCATGTTGGTTAGGCTGGTCTCGAACTCCCGACCTCAGGTAATCCGCCCGCCTCGGCCTCCCAAAGTGCTGGGATTACAGGTGTGACCCACCGTGCCCAGACTACTTTCCTCTTCTTTAGCTAAGAAGTATTGTTCTCAAGGCTCAGGCCAGGTTGGGCAGTGTAGGAGTCTATGAGAGGAATTCAGATAAGTATGTTCATTCATAACAAATATTTCTTGAGCACCAACCAAGCACTGGGTTCTGGGTTGGATGCTGGGGATACAGCACTCAGTCAGACACATGTAGTTCTTGTCTGCACAGGGCTCATAGCCCAGTGTACTCAAATCTGTGATTCTGGAAAGGATGTTATGCCCCTTTAATAATTAACACTCAGTCTCTATTTATGTGGCCCCATTAGGTGCTGGGCATGGAGCTACTACTAGAGATTCAGAGATGAAGGGCAGTAGGCAAGTAAACAGCAAACCAGAGGTGGTGGAATCCATCCTGTAATGCAGGTTGCATATTACAAGATGAGAGCTACTATTTGTCACATACTTACTATGCGCCGGACCAGGAGAGGGACTTTTGTTGTTGCTGTAGAGACAAGGTCTTACTCTATCATCCAGGCTGGAGTGCAGTGGCACAATCACAGATCACTGCAGCCTCCACCTTCCGGGCTCAAGCAGTCCTCCCACCTCAGCCTCCTGGGTAGCTGGGACTACAGGTGCACATCACCATGCCTGGCTAATTTTTTGTACTTTTTGTAGAGATGGGGTGTTGCCACGTTGCCAAGGCTTGTCTCAAACTCCTGGGCTCAATCGATCCACCTGCCTTGGCCCCCTAGGCCAGCTCACGAGAGGGACTTCACATACACGATGTCATTTGAGCCTCACAATAACCACATGGAGTAAGCCAGCCTGTGTGTCACTGTCACAATTTTTGCCATTTCCACCTGCTACCTTTTGTTATTTACTTGACATTTTTCTTTAACCAACTTGCATAATTAAACCAATCCTTGTCCTAAGTGATAATATCTCTGAAATCATAAGGCTGATGAGGTTTTTGTGTGTGTGTATTTAATACTTTGTTGTGGTCTGAATGTGTGTGACCCCTCAAATTCATGTGTCAAAACCCTAAACCTCAACGGGATGGTATTAGGAGGTAGGGCCTTTAGGAGTTGATTAGGTCAGGAGGGTGGAGCCCTCATGAATAGAATTGGTGTCCTTATAAAACGAACCCCAGACACACATACGTGATGGAATACTATACCATATTATACCATACTATACCAATACTATACCATACCATAAAAAAGAATGAGTTCATGTCCTTTGCAGAGACATGGATGAAGCTGGAAGCCATCCTTCTCAGCAAACTAACACAGCAACAGAAAACCAAATACCACATGTTCTCACTCATAAGTGGGAGTTGAAAAATGAGAACACATGGGCACAGGGAGGGGAACATCACACACCAGGTCCTGTTGGGGGAAGGGGGGCAAGCAGAGGGAGAGCATTAGGACACATACCTAATGCATGTAGGGCTTAAAACCTAGATGATGGGTTGATAGATGCAGCAAACCACCATGGCACATGTATTCCTATGCAACAAACCTGCACGCTCTGCACATGTATCCCAGAATGTAAAGTAAAATAAAAATAAATAAATAAATAAATAAACAAAATTTTTTCAAAAAAGAGACCCCAGAGAGCTCTCTAGCCATCTTTCCATCATGTGAGGATGCAACAGGAAGTTGACAGTCTACAATCTGGGAGAGGGCCCTCACCAGAACCCAACCCTGCTGGCACCCTGATTTTGGACTTCCAGCCTCCAGGACTGTGAGAAATAAATGTTGCTTAAGCCACCCAGTCTATGGTTCTTTGTTAATAAAGAAATACCTATAAAACAAATATGTAATACATCAAGAAAGCATACCTATAAAACAAATGTGTAAGAAGTGAACATTTTAAACTGTTTGGGTATACTGAAATCATCTTGTGTATCAGACACTGGGAAATGCTGGGTAGATGGGCCTGGGTAAGGAATGCTAGCTGCTATAAAAGCAACATGCCCAATGTTTATTTTTCAATCATGTCACGTCCAGTGTAGCTGATTAGGGGGTGGAGGTTCTCCACCAAGTCACTCAGGGACTCAGGTTCCTTCCATCTAAAAGCTCATCCTCCTGGAGCCTTAGAAGCTTCCCCCTGGATTCTCAGCTCCCAGCTGACAGGTGTAGGAAGAGAATTCATCACATGCTATTGGTCAGAGTCCATCAATATGACCCCTCCCTAACAGTGGGGACACTGGCATGTGTGGTTTGTCCATGGGCCCTGGAGGAAAGAAAAACAAGTTTTGCTGAAGATCTAGCATGGTCTCTGCCACACACAGATAAGAATTTCTACTTTGGAAACACTAAGGCAAGAATTTCCATTTTACAAGGGAGGAAATAGAGGCTTTAAAAAGCGAAGTGCTGCTGAGTGTGGTAACTCATGCCTGTAATCCCAGCACTTTGGGAGGCCGAGGCGAGAGGATCACCTGAGGTCAGGAGTTTGAGAACAGCCTGGCCAACATGGTGAAACCCCGTCTCTACTGAAAATACAAAAATTAGCCTGGCATGGTGGCGGGCGCCTGTAATCCCAGCTACTCAGGAGGCTGAGGCATGAGAATCACTTGAGCCCAGCAGGCCGAGGTTGCAGTGAGCCGAGATCATGCCACTGCACTCCAGCCTGGGTGACAGAGTGAGACTCTGTCTCAACAACAACAAAAACAACAACAACAAAAATTAAAAAAAAAAATTTAAAAAGGCTGGGCACAGTGGCTCATGCATGTAATCCCAGTACTTTGGGAGGCTGAGGTGGGCGGATCACCTGAGATTGGGAGTTTGAGACAAGCCTGACTAACATGGAGAAACCCTGTCTCGACTAAAAATACACAATTAGCCGGGTGTGGTGGCGCATGCCTGTAATCCCAGCTACTCGGGAGGCTGAGGCAGGAGAATTGCTTGAACCCGGGAGGCAGAGGTTGCGGTGAGCTGAGATCGCACCATTGCACTCCAGCCTAGAGGCAACAAGAGCAAAACTCCATCTCAAAAAAAAAAAAAAAAAAAAAAAAAGAAGTGCCTTTCCCCAGGTGACACAGGTATTAAGAAGTAAGGCTGGATCCAAGCCAAAGCCTATGTTTCAACCTCCCTCTCTCTGTGCCCCTCAAGGATTGCCATAGTGCTATCTCCTGTGAACTCACTCCTGACCTCCAGATCTGCACCTCAAACCTTCAGCAGATGTCCTCACCTGGTGTCCCTCCAGCACTGCTAAGCATGTCCTGAACCAAGGTCATCCTTTCTCCCCACTTCCCAAGGCCTGTTGCCTTCTCCTTCTGAATGTGCTGTTATAGAAAATGGATCCACTCATAAAGCCAGAAAACTGGAGCTTCTTCTAGAATGTCCCTGTCTCAGAGTGCATTTAGCTGCAAGTAACAGAAAACCCAACTCAAAATGACTTAAACCACTAGAAAATGTCCCACTTCCTATAAAAACAAGTCCCCACATGTGGGGGTTTCAGGATTGGCAAATGTGGTGGTTCAACCACACAATCTAAGGACCCAAGTCCCTCTGTCTTCCCACTTGACCGCCCTCAGCCCTTGGCTTGATCTCTTCCTGATCTCTTCATGGAACTCCACTGTAGTCCCAAGATGGCTGCCTGGTTCCAGGCAACACACACAGAAAGGAAAGTTTCTACTTAATAGTCTTTTGCCAGGATTGTGTCACATGCCCATTCCTAAACAAGTCGTGGGCAGGGGCTTCCCATGGAATGATCAGAATGGCTGAGATTAATAACGGTTGGATTTTGTGTGGAGACCTAGCAGCTGTTCTCCACAACAATCCTTTGGTTTTATAAAGGATGAGCACCTTTCCTGCCAAGAGACGATGAGCACCATACAATATCTGTACACTACCCTCTTCCTTACTCCAACTTCTAGCCAATCACCACAGCCTGCTGATTTCACCTCCTTCATTTCTCTTGGTTCCATATCTTACTTTTGATCTCCATTTAAGCTATCATCATTCAAAACCTCAGGAAGTTGGGCAAACTTTTAACAGTGAATTACTTCATTAACATATAAGTCCTTAAATGCTAAAAAGCACATTCTCTTAAATGGTTTGTCCTGTCCAGTTGCTCCAGCAAATAATCTTTTCGTCACAGACATACAAAGATAAATTTTATTCTGGTTTTTGTGCAAATTGAAAGCAAAGAATAGAGAAATTCTAAAAGTGAGACATCAGAATTCATGGGTTGGTACTGTATTTGATGTTTTCCATTTCCAGAAATAATTATGACTAAAATTATTATAACATCTGATTTTTTTTTTTTTTTTAGACAGGGTCTCACTCCCATCACCCACACTGGAGTGCGGCGGCGTGATCACGGCTCGCTGCAGCCTCAACTTCCTGGGCTCAAGTGATCCTCCCACTTTAGCCTCCCAAGTAGCTAGGACTACAGGCAAGCACCACCACGCACAGCTAATTTTTGTGTTTTTAATAGAGACGGGGTTTCTGTATGTTGCTCAGGCTGGTCTTGAACTCCTGGGCTCAAGCCATCCACCTGCCTCGGCCTCTTAAAGTGCTGGGATTACAGGTGTGAGCCATCATACCCGGCCTAGAATCTGATTTTTGAAGATGCCTTAAATAACTTTGTTTTAAGGTGGCTCATGGAGAGTATTTAGATTCTATATATTGGTAGCTAACTACCATTTGAAAAATTAGTGAGAAGTATTATCACAAAAATAGATACTTATGTGCATTGTACATATCCAAAACTTGCAATCAGCTGGGTGCAGAGGCTCACGCCTGTAATCCCAACACTTTGGGAGGCCGAGGCAGGCGGATCATCTGAGGTCAGGAGTTCGAGACCAGCCTGGCCAACATGGTGAAACCCCGTCTCTATAAAAATTAGCCAGGCATGATGGCAGGTGCCTGTAATCTCAGCTACTCAGGAGGCTAAGGTGGGAGAATCACCTGAACCCAGGAAGTGGAGGTTGCAGTGAGCCGAGATTGCGCCAGTTCACTCCAGCCTGGGTGGATCATCTGAGGTCAGGAGTTCGAGACCAGCCTGGCCAACATGGTGAAACCCCGTCTCTATAAAAATTAGCCAGGCATGATGGCAGGTGCCTGTAATCTCAGCTACTCAGGAGGCTAAGGTGGGAGAATCACCTGAACCCAGGAAGTGGAGGTTGCAGTGAGCCGAGATTGAGCCAATTCACTCCAGCCTGGGCAACAGGGCGAGACTCCATCACCAAAAAAAAAAAGAAACCCTGAAATCTCCCTGTAAAGAAACCCTCTACCTACACTCATCTTGTGATATCATAAATACTATTTTTATTCTTCCAGTTGCCAAAAACCTTGTGTATTAATTATATATTGTGGCATAACAAATTGTCCCAAAATTTAACAGTTTAAAAAGCACACATGTATTATCTCAGTTTTGTGGGTGAAAAATCTGGATATGGCTTAGCTGTCCCCTCTGCTTTGGTGTCTTTCTCAAAGAACAGTCACACTGTTGACTGGTGCCGTGCTCTCATCTCATGGCACAACTGGGAAGGATGCACTCCAAGCTCACGTGGTTCAAGATTCAGTTCATCAGGGGTAGTTGGACTGACATCTTCAGTTCCTGGCTGGCTGTTGGTCAGGGGCTGCCCTCAGTTCCTTGCCATGTGGGCCTCTCAACAAGGCAGATTGCTTCACTGAAGTGTTAAAGCCAAGAAAGCAATGGAGAGAATCTGCCAGCAAGACAGAAGTCACAATCTTGGTGATATATCCACAGAAATGAGATCCCATCAACTTTGCCGTAATCTATTCATGATTAAAAAAAAAAAAAAAAGGGCGGGCAGGGTGCGGTGGCTCACGCCTGTAATCCCGGCACTTTGGGAGGCCAAGGTGGGTGGATCATGAGGTCAGGAGTTCAAGACCAGCCTGGCCAAGATGGTGAAACCTGTCTCTACTAAAAATACAAAAAATTAGCCAGGCGTGGTGGCGCACGCCTGTAATCCCAGCTACTCGGGAGGCTGAGGCAGAAGAATTGCTTGAACTCAGAGGGTGGAGATTGCAGTGAGCCCAGATTACGCCACTGCACTCCAGCCTGGGCAACAGAGTGAGACTCTGTCTCAAAAAAAAAAAGTCACTAGGTCCATCACAGACTCAAGAAGAAAGTTATACAAGAGCATGAATACCAGGAGGTGGGGGTAACTGTGAGCTGTGTCATAAACTGCCTACCGCATTGGAGTCATCCTCAATTTCTCACCTTCTCTCATATCCTCTATCCAATACTTCAGGCAGTCCAGCAGGCTGCAACTTCAAAGCAATTGACTCAGCATCAGTTTGCTGATGGTTTGCTCAAATGTCACCTGTTCAGTGGCATTTAACCATCTTACTTAAAATTGCAACTCACCCACAGACACACATATTCCCACTCCTCTTCCCTCATTTTTCTTTATAGCAGCAATCACCATCAGACATTCCAGATATTTAATCGTCTTTTAAATTTGCTCTCTCTCCACCTTAGCATGTAAGCTCTGTGAGGGCAGTGGTTTTTACCTGTTTTGTTTGCTGCTGTATTCCCCAGGCCTAGTGCAGCACACACAAAACAAATATTGTGGAATGAATAAATGTTAAAATACATGGAAATATGTTCTCTTTTTTAAAAAAAAACCTAAGGGAACACCTTATTCAAAGAATGTCAAAGATTCCATCATCTATACACACATAAGTATAGACTCTGTTGGTTTCACTAGGCTCCTAAATGGAGACCATCACAGCTCTAGCCACCTACTACCCATTCCTAACCCCTCCTATACCAAAACCAGGTGAGATTGGCCAAAGGAACAGGCTCCATTTCAGCCTCAAAATTCTGGGGTGGTCTCTGACTTAGCCTTGAAAACCACACTCCATGGACCTCCTGGTCTAAAACTACAGGGGACACTCTGCCAAGGAAGCCCTTAACTCCAAAAGACCCTGCCTGCCAATGGGCAGACCATGGTCATGGGTAAACAGCAATGGGAGGCAGCCAAGGACAGAAGGAACCGGGTGTATTTTTCTGCTTAATGACCAATGGCCAAGAGGCTCAAGGGACTCTTTGTAACCTAGAGCGCCTCAAACTTTTCCACACCAGTATCGTTTGGGGCAGCAAAAATGATCACTGAACCCTGGGGGCTTGGAGGTCTAGACTGAAGCTGACCAGGAAGTTAGAAATGTATCTGCTCATCTTAGTTTTCACTTTAAGATTCACCTGGATTTCATATATTCCCCAGTAATGTAGCTGCATTGAATTTAATGCAACAATAATGCTTTAAATTACTTACACATTTTTTCAAAAAATTCTACCTTTTTTTTCAGTCAATGAATGCAATGCTAAAGTACCAAGAAATTCTGGAAAATTTGTACTGAATTGAAGTGAGTGCATACTGCAAGCAGATTCAGGGCAATTTCTTTTCATGATAGCTGGAAAATTCAGATGCTCATAAACATTTGGGTGCAGAAGGCAGATGGCAGACAGCAAGGAAGTCTCAGGGGAGAAAGTACTGTCAGGGAGGAAGTACCATGCACCTCTTTGAGGCTCCTATCCATGGACATTCTGTATTAGACCATTCTCACACTGCTAATAAAGACATATCCAAGACTGGCTTATTTATAAAGAAAAAGAGGTTTAATGGACTCAGTTCCACGTTCCTAGGGAGGCCTCACAATCATGGTGTAAGGTGAAGGAGGAGTAAAGGCACGTTTTATATGGTGGCAGGCAAGAGAGAGTGTGCAGGGGAATTCCCCTTTATAAAACCATCAGATCACGTGATATGTATTCACTATCACGAGAATAGCATGGGAAAGACCTGCCACCATGATTCAATTACCTCCCACTGGGTCCCTCCCACAACATATAGAGATTATGGGAGCTACAATTCAAGATAAGATGGATTTGGGTGGGGATACAGCCAAACCATATTAATTCCATAAACATCCTCTTAGACAGCAAGAAGCTGGTATCAGATGGTGGAATTTAGCAGTCTCTGATCCCAGTTGCTCTTTCTCTCTTTTTTTTTCTCTCTCTCTCTTCCCCTCCTTAGAAAACAGTTTTCAAAAGATATTTCCATGAACTAAGATGAAAGTTATTTCCATGAACAAAGATGACTGATTTTTTTTGTGTTCTATTTTATCACCAAGGCTGTAACTTTTGTCACCTGAAAATGAATTAAGCCTCCAAAGACTCAGTCTCCATAATCAATTATAGCCATTGATATCTCAAATTTCATTGTCATCCTATCAATCTTGTAAAATACAATAAAAGCAATAAAATAAAATAAAATTTGAACTAATTCAGCCTTTTTAAAAAATCTGCTAAATACAGTATTGAGGGCTAGGCTTTCCTATTAGGTCAAACACTAAATTCACAGGTTTACCCTTTGTCCTAATGTCTACTTAAAACTTGGCAAACAAAAATAACTCAGGCCTGAATTCAGTCCTCGACAACTGAGATTGCTTCTTCCCTTGACAAAGGCTGCAAACATCTGTGTAGAAGTCATCAAAGTCACTCCCCATTTCAATATAAGTTATGAGAAGAGATAAGTACCCAAACTACTTTTATTTCTACTCTTTTCAACACTCCATGGAACACAATGAGAAACACTCTGGTGTGAGAGGCCATACGTAAAGGAAGCAGCACCTTCTGGAATGTTCGGGGTGATAAATAGCGTTGATGCAAGTTTCTTCTGCTGCTTTTTTACCAATCACACAATTGGCCTCGTTTTCACAACATATTTGCACTTTTTTTTTTCTTAATCAGTGTTATGCTTGTTAAAATACAAATCTGGTCAACAATTCACCAGTTATTATCTGACACATTGCAAAGTAGCACCTCTCTCAGTGAGATGCTATCATACAGACCCTGGGGCTGACTGCCTGGGTTGGAATCCCATCTAGCTCTACCAATCTCTGGCTGTGTGGTTGTATCTTCTAAGTGCCTCAGTTTCCTTATCTATAAAATGGCTCTTGAATGAGTTAACATGAATGGAGCACTGACCCATGGCAGATCAGAAGTTCTATATGTGTGAACTGTTACTGTATTTCATTGTATGCAATATGTTGTTAATTATAACATGCACCATTATTTTATATATCACTGAGGAAGCAAACAGAAGACGCTACTAATTAAATTATGACATAATACTTTCTTAGATCTCTCAAAATTTTTAAGACTTATTGAGGGGGTGGAGCCAAGATGGCTGAATAGGAACAGCTCCAGTCTACAGCTCCCAGCGTGAGCGACACAGAAGACGGGTGATTTCTGCATTTCCAACTGAGGTACCGGTTCATCTCACTGGGGAGTGTCGGAAAGTGGGTGCAGGACAGTGGGTGCAGGGCACCCAGCATGAGACAAAGCAGGGTGAGGCATCCCCTCACCTGGGAAGTGCAAGGAGTCAGGGAATTCCCTTTCCTAGTCAAAGAAAGGGGTGACAGATGGCACCTGGAAAACTGGGTCACTCCCACCCTAATACTGCGCTTTTCCAATGGTCTTAGCAAATGGCACACCAGGAGATTATATCCCGTGCCTGGCTCGGAGGGTCCTGCACCCACGGAGCCTTGCTCCCTGCTAGCACAGCAGTCTGAGATCAAACTGCAAGGCGTCAGCGAGGCTGGGGCAGGGGCGCTCGCTATTGCCGAGGCTTGAGTAGGTAAACAAAGCAGCTGGGAAGCTCGAACTGGGTGGAGCCCACCGCAGCTCAAGGAGGCCTGCCTGCCTCTGCAGACTCCACCTCTGGGGGCAGGGCATAGCCAAACAAAAGGCAGCAGAAACCTCTGCAGACTTAAATGTCCCTGTCTGACAGCTTGGAAGACAGTAGTGGCTCTCCCAGGACGCAGCTGGAGATCTGAGAAAGGACGGACTGCCTCCTCAAGTGGGTCCCTGACCCCCGAGTAGCCTAACTGGGAGGCACCCCCGAGTAGGGGCAGACTGACACCTCACACGGCTGGGTACTCCTCTGAGACAAAACTTCCAGAGGAACGATCAGGCAGTAGCATTTGCTGTTCACCAATATCCGCTGTTCTGCAGCCTCTGCTGCTGATATCCAGGCTAACAAGGTCTGGAGTGGACCTCCAGCAAACTCCAACAGACCTGCAGCTGAGAGTCCTGACTGTTAGAAGGAAAACTAACAAACAGAAAGGACATCCACACCAAAACCCCATCTGTATGTCACCATCATCAAAGACCAAAGGTAGATTAAACCCCAAAGATGGGGAAAAAACAGAGCAGAAAAACTGGAAACTAAAAATCAGAGCACCTCTCCTCTTCCAAAGGAACACAGCTCCTCACCAGCAACAGAACAAAGCTGGACGGAGAATGACTTTGGCGAGTTGAGAGAAGAAGGCTTCAGACGATCAAACTACTCTGAGCTAAAGGAGGAAGTTCAAACCCACGGCAAAGAAGTTAAAAACCTTGAAAAAAAATTAGACAAATGGCTAACTAGAATAACCAATGCAGAGAAGTCCTTAAAGGACCTGAAGGAGCTGAAAACCATGGCACGAGAACTATGTGATGAATGCACAAGCCTCAGTAGCTGATTCGATCAACTGGAAGAAAGGGTATCAGTGATGGAAAATCGAATGAAATGAAGCAAGAAGAGAAGTTTAGAGGAAAACGAATAAAAAGAAATGAACAAAGCCTCCAAGAAATATGGGACTATGTGAAAAGACCAAATCTACATCTGATTGGTGTACCTGAAAGTGACGGGGAGAATGGAACCAAGTTGGAAAACAGTCTGCAGGATATTATCCAGGAGAACTTCCCCAATCTAGCAAGGCAGGCCAACATTCAAATTCAGGAAATACAGAGAATGCCACAAAGATACTCCTCGAGAAGAGCAACTCCAAGACACATAATTGTCAGATTCACCAAAGTTGAAATGAAGGAAAAAATGTTAAGGGAAGCCAGAGAGAAAGGTCAGGTTACCCACAAAGGGAAGCCCATCAGGCTAACAGCTGATCTCCTGGCAGAAACTCTACAAGCCAGAAGAGAGTGGAGGCCAATATTCAACATTCTTAAAGAAAAGAGTTTTCAACCCAGAATTTCATATCCAGCCAAACTAAGCTTCATAAGTGAAGGAGAAATAAAATCCTTTACAGACAAGCAAATGCTGAGAGATTTTGTCACCACCAGGCCTGCCCTAAAAGAGCTCCTGAAGGAAGCACTAAACATGGAAAGGAACAACTGGTACCAGCCACTGCAAAAACATGCCAAATTGTAAAGACCAGAGAGGCTAGGAAGAAACTGCATCAATTAACGAGCAAAATAACCAGCTAACATCATAATGACAGGATCAAATTCACACTTAACAATATTAACCGTAAATGTAAATGGGCTAAATGCTCCAATTAAAAGACACAGACTGGCAAACTGGATAAAGAGTCAAGACCCATCAGTGTGCTGTATTCAGGAAAACCATCTCAAGTGCAGAGACACACATAGGCTCAAAATAAAGGGATGGAGGAAGATCTACCAAGGAAATGGAAAACAAAAAAAGCAGGGGTTGCAATCCTAGTCTCTGATAAAACAGACTTTAAACCAACAAAGATCAAAAGAGACAAAGAAGGCCATTACATAATGGTAAAGGGATCAATTCAACAAGAAGAGCTATCTATCCTAAATATATATGCACCCAATACAGGAGCACCCAGATTCATAAAGCAAGTCCTTAGAGACCTACAAAGAGTCTTAGACCCCCACACAATAATAATGGGAGACTTTAACACTCCACTGTCAACATTAGACAGATCAATGAGACAGAAAGTTAACAAGGATACCCAGGAACTGAACTCAGCTCTGCACCAAGCAGACCTAATAGACATCTACAGAACTCTCCACCCCAAATCAACAGAATATACATTCTTTTCAGCACACACTACACCTATTCCAAAATTGACCACATATTTGGAAGTAAAGCACTCCTCAGCAAATGTAAAAGAATAGAAATTATAACAAACTGTCTCTCAGACCACAGTGCAATCAAACTAGAACACAGGATTAAGAAACTCACTCAAAACTGCTCAACTACATGGAAACTGAACAACCTGCTCCTGGATGACTACTGTGTACATAACAAAATGAAGGCAGAAATAAAGATGTTCTTTGAAACCAAAGAGAACAAAGACACAACATACCAGAATCTCTGGGACACATTAAAAGCAGTGTGTAGAGGGAAATTTATAGCACTAAATGCCCACAAGAGAAAGCAGGAAAGATCTAAAATTGACACCCTAACATCACAATTAAAAGAACTAGAGAAGCAAGAGCAAACACATTCAAAAGCTAGCAGAAGGCAAGAAATAACTAAGATCAGAGCAGAAATGGAAGAGCTAGAGACACAAAAAACCATTCAAAAAATCAATGGATCCAGGAGCTGGTTTTTTGAAAAGATCAACAAAATTGATGGACCGCTAGCAAGACTAATAAAGAAGAAAAGAGAGAAGAATCAAATAGACGCAATAAAAAATGATAAAGGGGATATCACCACCAATCCCACAGAAATACAAACTACCATCAGAGAATACTATAAACACCTCTACACAAATAAACCAGAAAATCTAGAAGAAATGGATAAATTCCTCGACACATACACCCTCCCAAGACTAAACCAGGAAGAAGTTGAATCTCTGAATAGACCAATAACAGGCTCTGAAATTGAGGCAATAATTAATAGCTTACCAACCAAAAAAAGTCCAGGACCAGATGGATTCACAGCCAAATTCTACCAGAGGTACAAGGAGGAGCTGGTACCATTCCTTCTGAAACTATTCCAATCAATAGAAAAAGAGGGAATCCTCCCTAACTCATTTTATGAGGCCAGCATCATCCTGATACCAAAGCCTGGCAGAGACACAACAAAAAAAAGAGAATTTTAGACCAATATCCCTGATGAACATCGATGCAAAAATCCTCAGTAAAATACTGGCAAACTGAATCCAGCAGCACATCAAAAAGCTTATCCACCATGATCAAGTGGGCTTCATCCCTGGGATGCAAGGCTGGTTCAACATACACAAATCAATAAACATAATCCAGCATATAAACAGAACCAACGACAAAAACCACATGATTATCTCAATAGATGCAGAAAAGGCCTTTGACAAAATTCAACAATGCTTCATGCTAAAAACTCTCAATAAATTGGCTATTGATGGGACATATCTCAAAATAATAGGAGCTATCTATGACAAACCCACAGCCAATATCATACCGAATGGGCAAAAACTGGAAGCATTCCCTTTGAAAACTGGCACAAGACAGGGATGCCCTCTCTCACCACTCCTATTCAACATAGTGTTGGAAGTTCTGGCCAGGGCAATCAGGCAGGAGAAGGAAATAAAGGGTATTCAATTAGGAAAAGAGGAAGTCAAATTGTCCCTGTTTGCAGATGACATGATTGTATATCTAGAAAACCCCATCGTCTCAGCCCAAAATCTCCTTAAGCTGATAGGAACTTCAGCAAAGTCTCAGGATACAAAATCAATGTGCAAAAATCACAGGCATTCTTATACACCAATAACAGACAAACAGAGAGCCAAATCATGAGTGAACTCCCATTCACAACTGCTTCAAACAGAATAAAATACCTAGGAATCCAACTTACAAGGGACGTGAAGGACCTCTTCAAGGAGAACTACAAACCACTGCTCAATGAAATAAAAGAGGATACAAACAAATGGAAGAACGTTCCATGCTCATGGGTAGGAAGAATCAATATCATGAAAATGGCCATACTGCCCAAGGTAATTTATAGATTCAGTGCCATCCCCATCAAGCTACCAATGACTTTCTTCACAGAATTGGAAAAAACTACTTTAAAGTTCATATGGAACCAAAAAAGAGCCCGCATTGCCAAGTCAATCCTAAGCCAAAAGAACAAAGCTGGAGGCATCATGCTACCTGACTTCAAACTATACTATAAGGCTACAGTAACCAAAACAGCATGGTGCTGGTACCAAAACAGATATATAGACCAATGGAACAGAATGGAGCCCTCAGAAATAATGCCGCATATCTACAACTATCTGATCTTTGACAAACCTGACAAAAACAAGAAATGGGGAAAGGATTCCCTATTTAATAAATGGTGCTGGGAAAACTGGCTAGCCATATGTAGAAAGCTAAAACTGGACCCCTTCCTTAACACCTTATACAAAAATTAATTCAAGATGGATTAAAGACTTAAATGTTAGACCTAAAACCATAAAAACCCTAGAAGAAAACCTAGGCAATACCATTCAGGACATAGGCTTGAGCAAGGACTTCATGTCTAAAACACCAAAAGCAATGGCAACAAAAGCCAAAATTGACAAATGGAATCTAATGAAACTAAAGAGCTTCTGCACAGCAAAAGAAACTACCATCAGTGTGAACAGGCAACCTACAGAATGGGAGAAAATTTTTGCAATCTACTCATCTGACAAAGGGCTAATAGCCAGAATCTACAATGAACTCCAAAAAATTTACAAGAAAAAAACAACCCCGTCAACAAGTGGGCGAAGGATATGAACAGACACTTCTCAAAAGAAGACATTTATGCAGCCAAAAGACACATGAAAAAATGCTCATCATCACTGGCCAGCAGAGAAATGCAAATCAAAACCACAGTGAGATACCATCTCACACCAGTTAGAATGGCGATCATTAAAAAGTCAGGAAACAACAGGTGCTGGAGAGGATGTGGAGAAATAGGAACACTTTTACACTGTTGGTGGGACTGTAAACTAGTTCAACCATTGTGGAGGTCAGTGTGGTGATTCCTCAGGGATCTAGAACTAGAAATACCACTTGACCCAGCCATCCCATTACTGGGTATATACCCAAAGGATTATAAAACATGCTGCTATAAAGACACATGCACACGTATGTTTATTACAGCACTATTTGCAATAGCAAAGACTTGGAACCAACCCAAATGTCCATCAATGATAGACTGGATTAAGAAAATGTGGCACATATACACCATGGAATACTATGGAGTCATAAAAAATGATGAGTTCATGTCCTTTGTAGGGACATGGATGAAGCTGGAAACCATCATTCTCAGCAAACTATCGCAAGGACAAAAAACCAAACACTGCATGTTCTCACTCATAGGTGGGAACTGAACAATGAGAACACATGGACACGGGAGGGGGAACATCACACACCGGGGCCTGTTGTGGGGTGGGGGTAGGGGGGAGGGACAGCATTAGGAGATATACCTAATGTAAATGACAAGTTAATGGGTGCAGCACACCAACATGGCACATGCATACATATGTAACAAACCTGCACATTGTGCACATGTACCCTAAAACTTAAAGTATAATAATTTTTAAAAAAGACTTATTGAAAGTAATTTTTTAGACTTATTTAGACATCTCATGTGTCACCCTTGGGCACTCAAAATAGGAAAACAAGTGAAAAAGGTTGGTTAAGTTATTCCCAAACTTTTTCAGAGAGTCTAAATCTTGTTTGTGATTTTCAGCTCAATCTTGTCATTGTGTGTATCTTTCAATACAAAATCACCCTTTGCCATCAAGAGCGTTGATGAGGAAGCAGTTCTTACAAAGATGCTATGGTGAGGTCTCAGAGGTTTCTCCCAGGCTGCTGACACTCACTCATTCTGCAAATTTTGTTCCCGGGTCTTTCTGGATCTCACCAGAAGGTGTCGGCAATGACAACCATGTTATGACCTTGTGTCAATGACTGTAAGACACTGATCTTAAGACCCATCCTAATTACACAGCTGCTAAAAATGTATGTGGGTTAGGGGGTGGGGGGCCGTAGAATTGCAGCTTAGAACCAATGAAATGTTACTATTATTACATTTTCATTACAGATAGAGCAAATAAAGCTTGCTAAAATGCTTGAATCATCAATGTCACCCCTTCATCAAATGGTAAGGTAAAGAACCACTAACCTGTATCAGGATCTCAACTAGTTCAAATGCAATTTCTGAACACTTTCAATTTGTCATTTCACAAAGGCATGATTTTCAGCGTGGTGCTTAATTTTGACCCAAATCAGGTTCATGCAATTCCACCAAGGTTTTTCTTGAGATGTTCAGGTCACTGTCCAAGTAGTTCTCAAAGGAAATGTCAATTTTTACTTATATATTTGATTATGCATCTGTAGGAATAAGAAACACACATGATGTTGATTCCCTTCAATCAACTTCTCTTTATCTGCGCTGGGCTGCCTTGCCTGTGATTCCTGGGCACACTCTGAAATAGAGTTGCACCTGAGCAGTGGTTCTCAAATCTGGCAGCAGTACAGTGCCCTGGAGAGCTTAGTGACAAAGAGCATAAGGAATGGTTGCTTCCACAGAACACCTTCTCCAAAAGTGGCTCTTTTTCAACAACTTTTGCAAGGTAATACATTGATTTTGTAGGGGTGTTAACATGTGATGAAAGAAGTGAACGCAGCTATGGGGAGGGTTTAGGTTACAATGCTGTCTGCCTCAATCACAAGTCCAACCCCAGCCAGATGAAATAATTTGGCAGTTTGCCAGCTACCCAGGAAGAGTCCAGCAGCGTGGTCAAGCAGCTCGCTGAGATCCTGAGGGAGCTTGTCCCTTTCCGTCCCTCCTCTCTGCCACACTCAGCGTTGGCTTCATCAGAAGGCTGGAACCCTCACGACTGTAGAGTGACTTCCAGGAAAATCGGAGTAATGTGCTCACTGAGGAGGCCCTAGGAAATGGCAACCAACTGATTCACCTGTTTAGAAATTACTGTGAGGGTTCTTTAGAAGAAATAAAATATAGAGACTACTGTAAAATAATTCAAAGGATGTTTTTAAATACTCATAATCCCAGCAGTCTTACAAAGACCTTACTTCCATTTGTTAATTATGACTTTCTCATTTTAATTCCTCACAGCATATCTATATAGTTTTGTGTATAATTTTTTCTCTTAGTATCTTTATGTAAACATTTCTTCATGTTTTATAGTCATTGCGTTATTTTAAATAACAGCATGGCATTGCTTTTTATTGAGATACCACAGCTTGCTTAACGAAACTCTATGATTTCTTCCAGTGATTCACTGTTGCAGGCCGTGCTGTGATGAAAATTTTTTGCATATGGCACTTTTATACACCTACTGCATAAATAATTTTCATTTTCTTTCTTGCCCTGTGGAAAAGAAAGGAACTTTCTCAGGACCTCCAGCAAACAGTTCCTCAGCTGCATGGGTCACATGTCTGTTCCTGAACCAATCATCAGAAGGGGGTGGGGAGTGTCCTAATACCCGCCAGTCCCACCCCAGAGCTGCCCAGAACAGTGCCTGGCCCTCAGCAGTGCTCAACAAATATGTGGCGAATGAATGAATGATTTCTTAAATGGACAGTCCAGCTTCAGTGAGCAACTACATCAAAGCAGCTGAGAGTCCTAAAGTTGCCACCTGGGCTTCTAACACACTCCTTGCTTTCACTGGCTGAAACTATGACTGATAGCATGGCAGAGAAGCCAGTGTCTCTGGGAAATCATTGAACTATATTGATTATGTAGAAATTTATTTATAAAGTCTCATTATAGGCTATCTTCCTCACTTCCCAGCTTCTCTTACTTTTCCAAGAAAGATTTCTAATTAGTCATAAGTCTATTAAGGAGTTAGAGGAGGAGGAGGAGGACGAGAAACTTTGATGGTCTCAGAGGAAGAAACAAACATGACAATGTGTAAGACTTTTTAAATGAATTTCTTTTCTTTTCTTTTCTTTCTTTCTGTTTTTGAGACAAGATCTTGCTTTGGAGTGCAGTGGCACGATAACAGCTCGCTGCAGCCTTGACCTCCTGGGAAGTTATCCTCCCACCTCAGCCTCCCAAGTAGCTGAGACTACAGGCACAGGCCACCACACCTGACTTTTTTTTTTTTTTTTTGTAGAGACAGGGTCTTGTTATGTTGCCCAGGTTGGCCTCAAACTTTTGGGATGAAGCAATCCTTCCACCTTGGCCTCCCAAAGTGCTGGGATTATGGGCGTGAACCCCCAAGCCTAGCCTTAAAATTAATTTCTATTGGCTTCATTTGTTAAAGTTGACAAGGTGAGATTGCTATTACTAGCATTTATCTTTACTGAATTTGATCAAATTTATTCTCTCCTTTGCACACTGGAAGTGCAAGTAACATTTCTTCCTTCTCCTGCTCCTCCTCCTGATAACAATGGTGATGATGATGGTGATGATGGTGGTGGTGATGGTGATGTTGGTGGTGATGATGGTGGTGGTGATGGTGGTGGTGATGGTGGTGGTGATGGGGGTGGTGACGGTGATGTTGATGGTGGTGGTGGTGGTGGTGATGGGAGTGGTGATGGGAGTGGTGATGATGGTGGTGATGACAATAACAAACATATATTAAGACTTACCATGGCTGGGCATGGTGGCTGATGCCTGTAATCCCAGCACTTTGGGAGGCCGAGGCGGGCAGATCACCTGAGGTCAGGAGTTCGAGACCAGCCTGGCTAACATGGTGAAACCCTGTCTCTACTAAAAATACAAAATTAGCCGGGCTTGGTGGCAGGCGCCTGTAATCCCAGCTACTCAGGATGCTAAGGCAGGAGAATCACTTGAACCTGGGAGGCAGGGGTTGCAGTGAGCCATTGCACTTCAGTCTGGGCAACAAGGGCAAAAACTCCACCTCAAAAAGACAAACAAACAACAACAACAACAACAACCAAACCACATGTCAGGCACTGTTTAAAATGCTTTATATGCATTAAATCATATAATCTCTCAACAGTTGTCTCAAGTAGGTACTATTATTTTCCTGATTTTACAGATGAGGAAACCAAAGCAGAGAGGCTATACAGTATTAGATACTGGGCAAAACATGGAAGCAGAGGGAACTACCCACCCACCTGGGCATGCCAAAGACCACTAGTTAGGTATGTTGTGTGGCTGATTCTTCTACCTATAACATAGTTTTGATTTGGACCTTAAAGATTGGGCAGTTCCATTAACTCATTGCATTGGATAGATTCAGATAGGCTATGCTACAGTGACAAGCATTCCCCAAATTTCCTAAGTTTGTTTCTTGGTTATATAAGCAGGTAGGTGCGGGTAACAATCCAGGGTGCCTGTTCTCCATGCAGTGACACACAATCCAGGCTGCTTCAGTCCATCTCGAGAGAAGGCCTCTACATTTATCATGGCAGGGAAGGACAGAGGCTGAAGTGTCACATGGAGGCTTCCACTGACTCAGCCTGGAAGTAACACACCTCACTTGTGCTCACTTTCATTGGCCAAAGCTAGTCATTAGTCATGTGCCCCCACCCAAAGAAGGAGAGGAGAGCTGGGTATTGATGAGCACCAGTAATGTTCACCATACTCACTCATTCAGTAAGTAAGTACCTTCCAGGCCAAACAGGCAATGTGCTAGACTCTGGGTGTTTTAATCCATTCAGGCTGCTATAACAAAATACCACAGACGAGGTGGCTTATACACAACAGAAATTTATTTCTCCCAGTTCTGGAGGCTGGATGTCCAAGATCAAGATGCCAACAGATTCAGTGTCTGGTAAGAGCCTACTTCCTGGCTCCTAGACGGTGCCTTCTCACTGTGTCCTCACGTGGTGGAAGGGGCAAAGGTCTCTCTGTGGCTGTTTTTATAAGGGCACCAATCCCATCATAACAGCCCAATCCTCATGACCTCGTCTAAACCTAATCACCTCCCAAAGGCCCCACCTCCTCATACCATCACCTTGGGGGTTAAGTTTTCAGCATATGAATTTTGAGGAAACACAAACATTCAAATCATAGCACTGGGGATATAAAGATAAAACCACATGAAGCCCTTTCCCAATCCTTATTTATTTTGAACTGAATCTGTTTTCGCAGAGTGCTACACTGAATAATGGCCCCCAAAGACATCCATATCCTAATCTTTGAAACCTGCGAATATGTTACTGCCCATGGTAAAAGAAAATTTGCAGACAGGTTATTAAGGATCTTGAGATGAGAAAACTATCCTGGATTATCTGTATGGGTCCAAGGTACAAATCCTTAAAAGGATGCAAGAGGATCAAATTAGTAGCAGAAGATGGGGTGACAGAAGAAAGAGGTTGGAGAGATGTAAGAAGGGGTCACAAGGCCAGCAACGTGGATGGCCTCTGGAAGCTGGGTAAAGCAAGGGAATGGATTTTCCCCTGAGGTCTCCGGAGAGAACACAGCTCTGCCAACATCTTGGTTATAGACTTCTGACCTCTAGAACTGTAAGAGAATAAATTTGTGCTGTTTTTAGCCATTCTATTAGTAGTAATGTGTTAGAGCAGCAATTGAAAACAAGTAAACCTATGCTAGGGCTGGGATGGGAGAGGTACAAAAATTAGTGACAATAGGAATGGCAGGGCATGGTGGCTCACGTCTGTAATCCCAGCACTTTGGGAGGCTGAGGTGGCGGGATCACCTGAGCTTAGGAGTTTAAGACCCAGCCTAGGCAACATGGTGAAACCCTGTCTCTACTAAAAACACCCCCCTCCAAAAAAAATTAGCCAGATGTGGCAGTGCACACCTATAATCCCAGCTACTTAGGAAGATGAGGTGAGAGGATCACTTGAGCCCCAGAGGCAGATGTTGCAGTGCACTGTGATCATGCCACTGCACTCCAGCCTGGGTAACAGAGTGAGACTATGTCTCAAAAACAATAATAATAATAATAATGGCCGGGCGTGATGGCTCACGCCTGTAATCCCAGCACTTTGGGAGGCCAAGGCGGGTGGATCACAAGGTCAGTAGTTTGAGACCAGCCTGGCCAATATGGTGAAACCCCATCTCTATTAAAAATATAAAAATTAGCTGGACATGGTGGTGTGCACCTGTAGTCCCAGCTACTCAGGAGGCTGAGGCAGAAGAATCACCTGAACCTGGGAGGCCGAGGTTGCAGTGAGCCAAGATCGTGCCACTGCACTCCAGCCTGGGTGACAGAATGCGATTCCATCTCAAAATAAATAAATAAATAAATGTGATAAAATAATAACTGCCAATGTCCATCAAGCACTTACTCGATGCTGGGGCTGGCATGGTGGCTCCCTGCCCGTAATCTCAGTGCTTTGGGAGGCCAAGGTGGGAGGATCACCTGAGCCCAAAAGTTGAAGGTTACAGTGAGCTATGATCGTATCACTGCACTCCAGCCTGGACAACAGAGCAAGATCCTGTCTCTAAAAAAATAAAAAATAAAACTTCACTACACTATGAGATGAGATGAGTGTCTTTATTATCTCCAGATGACAGTTGTGAACCTGAGGCTCACGAAGGTTAAGTAACATTAAGTAACATTCCTAAGAGGGCACCATAGCTGTGGGTGGTCAAGACAGGATTTGGACTCAGTCCAGAATCTAGCAAAGATGTGTACAAGTCTTGCCCAAGGCACACTGCTAGCGGCAGAGGCAGGACAAAACCTTGAGCCTCCCAACTGACTCCAGAGGACTCTTTCCCTAAAGTATACTTAACGTGGTGGGGTAGATCAAAGTATCTGCAGGGGGCAGGATCTGGAAGGGGTGTGGGCATTGAGCCAGCCTGGAAGGGACGTGGAGCCCAGGGTAGATTCTTTAAGATTCTTTACAGGCCTGGCCGGGGTGTTGACACTTCATAACCACACAGAGGCTCCGCGTGGGCATGCTTGTCTCAGCAGCCCACACGGAGGTAGGTGCTTCTGACATCTCGCAGGAGCCTCCAACCAGCACCACCTCTCAAGCCTTCCCTCCTTTGTCAGTAGGGAAGTCAGAGAAAGTATTACCAAGTCCACCAACCCAGAGCTCGTGGGGTCCTTGCAGCTTCTAGACTCTAAAGTGCATCTCACTTAAAGAACAAATGCCCCACAGACCAAATCTAGCTAAACAGAGGTTCTTCGGTCCACTGTTGGCCTCCAAGAGCAACTGTATGTTTTGAGCGCCACCTAGTGGTACCCAGGGCCCCCAGCGTTTTTGACTTCTCAAACCTGCCCTTAAGGACGGAGCTCCTACCTCCCGCCTCGGAGGTCTCTCCAGGTAGGCTAAGGTGACTTAGAGGACCGCCAGCCCCTTCTGGTTCCAGAGCTCTTCAGAGAGGTCCAAGGCCAACTGGTTCCTCGAAACTGTGGGTTTACATCGGGACTGCCCCATCCTGGGCTCTGCCTGTCAAGAATGCTGTCCTGGATTAGGGCACAGGAGAATGCGTTTTGTCATTGATCTGGAGGGAGGGAAGGCATGTGGAGGAATCAGCATCTCATTTCAATGTGAGAGAAACTAATGGAGGGAAGAGAATTTTTTAAAGCTAGTGAGAACACACATTCATTTGACAACTTAGTTAAAAAGGACCGATTCCTTGAAAAATACAAATGACTACAACTCACCCAATGTGAACTAGATAATTTGAGTATGCCTACAACTGTTAAGGAAATCGAATTTGCAATTTTAAAACTCCCAAAAAAGAAGTCTCCAGATCCAGATGGTTTCACTGAAGAATTCTACCAAATGTTTAAAGAGGAATTCACACCATCTCTCTACATTCTCTTTCAGAAAATAGAAGAGGAGGGAACACTTTCCAATTCATTTTATGAAGATAGTATTTCCCTGATATTAAAACCACAGATAGGAATGAGTACAGTGGCTCACATCTGTAATCCTAGCATTTTGGGAGGTCAAAGTGGGAGGATGACTTGAGCCCAGGGGTTCAAGACCAGCCTGGGCAACAAAGTGAGACACTGTCTCTATAAAAATTACAAAAATTAACCAGGCATGGTAGCATGTGCCTGTAGTCCCAGCTACTCGGGAAGCTGAGGCCAGAGGACTGCTTGAGCTTAAGAGGTTGAGGCTGCTGGCTGGGCACGGTGGCTCACACCTGTAATTCCAGCACTTTGGGAGGCCGAGGTGGGCGGATCACTTGAGGTCAGCAGTTCGAGACCAGCCTGGCCAAGATGCCGAAATCCTGTCTCTACTAAAAATACAAAAATTAGCCAGGCATGGCGGCACATGCCTGTAATCCCAGTTACTCAGGAGGCTGAGGCAGAAGCATCACTTGAACCTGGGAGGCAGAGGTTACACTGAGCCAAGATCGCGCCACTGAACTCCAGCCTGAGCAACAGAGAGAGACTCTGTCTCAAAAACAAACAAACAAATAAATAAAACCAAGGTAGTAAAAAAAACCTACAGATCAATATCCCTCATGAATATATACATGAAAATCCTTAACAAAATATTAGCAAATAGAATTCAGCAATATATCTCAAGGATTGTACAGGATGACCAACTGGAGTTTATTCCACAGATGAAAGGGTAGTTGAATATTTGAAAATCAATCAATGCAATCCACCATATTAACAGGTGAAAGAAGAGAAATAATATGATCATATAAATTAATGCAGAAAAAGCATTTGACAAAATTCAGCACCCATTTGTAAAAAAAAAAACTTACAAAACTATAGCTAACACACTTAATGCTTGAAAGACTAAATGCTTTCCCCCACAAAATTAGTGACAAGGCCAGGAGGTCCATTCTTTTTTTTTTTTTTTTTTTTTTTGAGACAGAGTCTCACTCTGTCACCCAGGCTGGAGTGCAGTGGCATGATCTCGGCTCACTGCAAGCTCCACCTCCCGGGTTCACACCGTTCTCCTGCCTCAGCCTCCCGAGTAGCTGGGACTACAGGCGCCCGCCACCACGCCCGGCTAATTTTTTTTTTTTTTTGTATTTTTAGTAGAGACGGGATTTCACCGTTTTAGCCAGGATGGTCTCGATTTCCTGACCTTGTGATCCACCTGCCTCTGCCTCCCAAAGTGCTGGGATTACAGGCGTGAGCCACCACGCCCAGCCAGGAGGTCCACCCTTATTCAGCATAGTGCCAGAAGTTATAGCTAGTGAAGTCAGGCTAGAAAAAAGAAAAAGGCATACAGTTTTGCTTATGTTTGCAAATCAAGAAGATTAAGGTCACTTATGAAGCATAACGGGCTTTGTCTGCTCAGGGATTCTTCACACTGGTCTTCATCTTAATTTATTTTAACACTACAGAGATGAGGAAATCACTTGAGAAATTTTGTAATGAACTAGCAAAGCCCAAGTTCCACTCCCCATGACTGGCTTCCTCTGGTCCAGGGTAGGGCCTGAGCATCTGAATTTTGTAACACTGCCCAGGTGATTCTAAGGTGCACATTTAGCAAATGTGAGAACCACTTTACTAAAGGGAGAGCTTCCAAAAAACACCCAAATACAGCGCATCTCCAGGTTTGGTTCCTGACCAGTTGGCAGCCTCAGTGTCACCTGGGAGCTTGTTAGAAATGCCCAGCCCCAGGCCGGGCGCGTTGGTTCACGCCTGTAACCCCAGCACTTTGGGAAGCTGAGGTGGGAGGATCACCTGATTTCAGGAGTTCAAGACCAGCCTGGTCAACTTGGTGAAGCCCTGTCTCTACTAAAAATACAAAAATTAGCTGGGCATGGTGGCATGTGCCTGTAATCCCAGCTGCTTGGGAGGCTGAGGTGAGAGAATCACTTGGACCCAGGAGGTGGAAATTGCAGTGAGCCGAGATCACATCACTGCACTCCAGCCTGGGTAAAAGAGTGAGACTATGTCTCAAAAAAAAAAGAAAGAAAGAAAGAAAGAAATGCCCAACCCCAGACCCCACCCCAGACCTACTGAATGAGAAACTCTGAGGATACGACCCAGAGATCTGCTTTTTCAGAAGCCCTCCTCTGATTCTGATGCCCACTCAAGGCTGAGAACCTCTGCCTCAGCAGACGAATTCTAGGAGAAACTGATTCACAAACTACAAACTAAATCTGGTTAAAAAGCATCGAGAACATTGTTCAGCCTCCGTGGTGATCAAAAGAAAGGCAATGTAAAAACAGCAGTGAAATCCCATGTGACACCTGTCAAATTAGTAAATTTCAAAATCAGGCAAAGAAATAATAGTACTTCATGATTCCCTTTTCACACAACTAGGTTAGTACAACCATCTAGTTTGCCAAGGACTGAGGTTCCCAGAATTTGAGGTTTTCTGTGCTAAAGCCAGAAAGTCTCTGCAAGCCAGGACCAGTTGGTCCTTCCATACAAGACTCATCAGATTGGTATCACTATGGTTTACTCTCTGTTGTCCCCATTGGACTGTAATCCATAGGGACAGGACCCTGTGTGTCTTGTATTATAGCCTTCTCAAAGGCATCAGAGTCTAGAGGGGAGGAGAATGAGTGCTGAGTTCGGTCTGTCTGGCTTCAAGTCCTAACTCCACAGATTATCAGCTGTAAGACCTTGAACAAGCTATTTCTACTTTCTGTACCTCAGTGTTCTCATCTGAAAAATGGGTATGATAAGAATGACACAGGACTGATCTCATGGGGATATTGTGAGAATTGAACATGAGTTACTGCATGTGACCCACTTAGAATAGTGCTGGGCATATAGAAAGTGCTCGATGATGTTAGCTACAATTATGAAAGGAGGGGAGCCCGCAAACCCCATTTGAGAGATTGGAAGTAATCGCATGGTGGTTACAGAAGCTGTAGGTGGCTGGATTTTCTGGATGGTGGATAGACAGCAGTCTCTGGCTACCTCCAAAGGGTCAAGAGGGAACTTTTCAGGGTGAGGAAGATGACACAGGGGGGCCGCAGGCTGCCCCTGGCCTTCCCCTTTCTGGGTCCCCTACTCATTTTCCCTTAGACAGACTCCCCAGTGCCTGGGGTCCTCAGGGATCCCGGCCTAAAACTACACTTTCCATTGAATTCTCACTTGAGGAGGCCCGGGGCTCTCACTGGAGAGGCCACCCCAGGAGGGTGGATGCTTCTGTTCATTGTTGAGGAACCAGGACTGAGCTTCTAGCACAGGGTAGGTACTTTGTAACTATTTGTTAAATGATTAATTTTAATGAGTCAATTTTGTTTTCTTTGTTTTTATTTTTGTTTTTGTTTTTTTTGATAGGGTCTCTCTCTGTCACTAAGGCTGGAGTGCAGTGGCACAATCTCCACTCACTGCAACCTCAACCTCCTGGTTTCAAACAATCCTCACACCTCAGCTTCCCAAGTAGCCAGGACTACAGATGTGTACTAACATGCCCAGCTAATTATTGTATTTTTTTTCTTTTTAGAGATGGGGGTCTCACTATGTTGCCCATGCTGGTCTTGAACTCCTTGGCTCAAGCAATCCTCACTCCTCAGCCTCCCACAGTCCTGGAATGACAGGCATGAACCACTGTGCCCGACCTACATACCTTTTTAATTATCGTCATCTATCAGTGCCCAGATCTGCCTCATCTCTGGTCCTGCCCTTGATCAAGACCCTCCCAGCTGTGTCCTTCCTGTTGGGTCATGAACCAGGAAGCAGAATGGCCATACACAAAATGGCTGCACCTGGGAATCCCCCAGGGGTCCTCTCCCCATTCGCCGCCTCGACTTGAGAGATAGCAAAGGGAAAGAGAACATACTGGATGCAATAGTCAGATGCCTAAATCGTCTTCTTTATCACCGTCATTAGGAACCTAACACAAGAGCCCTGTGTCCTGGCTCCTCAATGGCATTGCACATATTCTCTCGGCTCTGAGGCGCTAAATAGCCTGGTTGTTAGACTTAATGGGAGCGTCCGTCCAGAAGAGAGTGCTTGTGAAAGCAATGAAGGCTGAATTCACTCCACTCTTCCCCTCACCCTGCCCTCTGGAATGGATTATCCTTCCTGTGTGTCCCTCCGGGACATGCCACTACCAACGCTATAACAAACTTGCTCATCAGTTTCCCTTTCCTAGCCCGTGAGTTTTCGAAGGACAGGGACCCTGTTCATTCATCATTTGTTTAGGGAACCCCTACCTAGGAGGTGCCTGGTACTACCCTAAATAAGGCAAGCAGAGATGAATAAGACACAGCCGAGGAATTTATAACTAGCCACCTCCTGTCTTACTCATCTCTGCCTCCTTGGCATTTAACACAGTGTCTGGTAAATAAGACACATGTTTGTTAAATAAGTGGATGAATATCCCTAAATGACCCCAAATCAGGCTATGGAAGGGGCCGTAACTAAAATCCATTGTAGCACTGCTGTGGCAATCTAGGCCTCCTTCCCGCCCCTGCCCTCGCAGAGGGGCAGCGATGGGGACAGGCCAGCTTTGAGTCACATAAGGACTGAAGGTATCCTTTACAGGGCAGAGCAATAGCAGTGCAGCCAGCTACTGTTCTTAGCCCGGTCCTGCCTTTTGTGGAAGAGAGACCTGCAAAACCGAGACCTGTTTTCAGCAGTGGAAGCGGATTCACAGTGTCACAGTGTTCTTTGTTGTCATTTTATTTTTTTCCCTTTTAACAAAAATTGGGTCACATAGTACATGCTATTTGGTAACTTTGTGTCTTCCCCCACCCCCCAGCACTTACTAGCTATAATGAATACTTTTTCCAGATTACTAAACTTACACATTAAGCACCTTTTTTATTTTTTTCTGAGACAGGGTCTTGTTCTCCCATCCAGGCAGGGGCGCAGTGGTGCACTCACAGCTCACTGAATCCTTGCACTCCTAGGCTCAAGCAATCTTCCCACCTTGGCCTCCCAAAGCACTAGGATTATAGGCGTGAGCCACCACGTCAGCCTTAAGCACCCTTTTTAATGGTTACATAATGTTCCATCTAAGGAAGGTATATTACCCTTTACTTAACTATTTCCCTGCTTTGAGATTTTAGGGCGGTACCAGATTTCTGCTGTAATGAATATTCTTATCCTCAAATCCTTAGGAAAAATTCCTAGAAGAGGAATTGCTGAGTCAAAGAGCGGGTGCATGCTAACCACTGCTGATAGTTATTGCCTTACAGAAAGATTTTCTATGAGGAATGTATGAGCAGCCCCCCACCTGCCGTGAGCATTAGTGGACCATTTTATACAGATCCACAGCCCTTGTCTGAATCCCTTGGGACCTGATGTGTTTGAGAATTCAGGATTTCCTAGAGAAACACAGTGTGATTTCTGCATACCCTGTCAGATTCCCAGCAACGTCTAACAGATCCACAGTCTAACTCATTCATATTTCTTCAGGAAATCATGTGAACGTCCACAATAAGTGAGATAAATCAAGACCACAATGAGCCTTGTGGCAGCTCAGGGCAAGTTTTCCCATGAATAAACTTTCCATTTTCAGAGTTTTTGCAGGCGGGATTTCTGGAGGGGAACATGTGCACCAATGTCAAGTTGCTCTGCTGCTTTGCAAGGGAAATTGGCTTCGGGAAGACACGAGAAGGTAGCTCAGGAGAAAGATTAAGTCACCTGCTTGGGAGGAAAATTAGATCTGGGTTTAAATCCTAGCTTCACCTACGATAAGCTGGGTGACCCTGGGCCAGTGACTCACCCTTTCTGGGCCTCAGTTTTGTCATCTCTGAAGAGTACACCCATGCCAGAGCTGTGGAGATGACAAAGGATAAGGTGTATGTAACGCTTAGCACACACCTAAATGGCGTTGAATCGATGGCCTTCAACAACTTGCGCTAGTAAATGGCAGAGCTGGGAGGTGACAGCTTCTGCTTTTCCCGCAGTGCCAGGTGGGACCAGTTGAACACTAAGACCCTTCTCATCTGGCAGCCCCCAAAGCCAAAGCCCAGAATTCCCACTATAATTCACTCAAGCAGAAGGTCCAAAACTTTGGGTGGAAGGAAGGCCCAACAGGAACCTCAGTGGAATTTCTCTCAGTGGCCCCACATGGCTTCTGCCCACCTTGGTGGTGCTGGGGCACTCTGTCTCCCTGGCGCCCTACTTGGGTGGGGCCAAGCCCAGGCCAGCCCCACCCACATCTCCGCCGGGACCTATTTTGGTGTCCCAGTGTGTGGCTGTTGCAAATGAAAGCCTGAACAGTTTGATGCTACAGTTCCAGGAGCAGGCCAGCCCACCACCCCTCACACCCCTCCCTGGGCAGGACACCAGCAGGTCCCACAAAACATCAAGCTGCCTCATTAAGGACAGGGGCTGTCCAGCGGGAGGGGGTGTGAGAATGGGCAAAGGTGTGGTGTCCTCTGTCAGACCACAGGTGGGTGCTGTGGTGGGAGGGGAGTGTGAGGGCAGCAGGGGTGGCCGGAAGGGATACAGGTCTGCAGGGACAATGCGAGGCCTCTTTCCATCTCATCCGACTCCCACAGACCTGGGGGAGTACAAAAATCATCCCTGGGATGTTTACAAAACTTGGGAAAAAAAAAAAAAAAGAAGGAGGAGAAGGTACAGAGTGGGAAATAAAGGCCTGAAAAGGCCTCTGTGGAATCCCTGCTGTTTGCAAAGCTTCACCGACACAGATTCTAGCACCTCTGTTGCTAAAGGCTCTTTGCACTGAGAACTCTTTCTGACATGAGATTGCCTTTGCCAAGAATAATTTTGCCAGCTCTGAGTTGCTACCCACCAGGAGGTGGGGAGATGGAAATTTCCAGAAGCCCCCTATCCAATGGGGCCTTTCACAGCTCACTCAATGGACTCTGGAAAATAGCAAACCACCATCTCATCTGTTTAGAAAATACTGCAGGGGTTTCTTTAAAAGAGTTTAAAACATATTCTAGAATCCACTGTAAAACATTACCAAAGGTGTTTCTTAATTGCTGCTAATTTTACACAGCAATGACTTTATCTCTAAATGGGCCTTTCAATCTTCATCTATGTAGATATACACGTTTACATTCTTTAAATCACAGTATTATTAAATTTCATTTAGCAACATCCCGTAAACCTGTTCTCCTGGTTTGATAGTCCTCTTGTTAATTCTAATAATAGCATGCCATTTCATTGCATTCATATACCACAGATTTCTTAACCAGATTGTACAAAATAATTTTCTACCATTATAAACAATGCTGCAATGAACATCTTTGTGTATATGCTCTTTTCACATATGAGCTGCTTAAATTAATTTTCAGTCATTTGCTAAGCTTATGTTTATTGGGTACCTACTATGTATGTTAGGACCTAGGGGTAAGTGAACAGAACAGATGCAGTCTCTGCCCCACAGTCTAAATGTTCTATATTTTAATAATTTTTGGGTCTTCCTGTGTGAGGCTCAAATATATTTTTTAAAATCCTCTGAGTTTAAAATGGTAGCATTTGCAGCTGAGAAAGTATACACTGAGGGCTGCCAGCTTCAGGAGGAGATGGAACACAGAGTTTCCCGACATTGTTGGAGGTGGGGCTGGTGAACCACACCCCTCTCTTGCCTACTCATGGAGCCTGCCAGGGTCCCAGGGATGGACAGCAAAGTGGCAGCTCATTTTTACAAGAGGTAGGCTGGGGATGAGGCCGGGCGTGGTGGCTCATGCCTGTAATCCCAGCACTTTGGGAGGCCAAGGCGGGCAGATCATGAGGTCAGGAGATCGAGACCATCCTGGCTAACACGGTGAAACCTCATTTCTACTAAAAACTCAAAAAAATTAGCCGGGCATGGTGGCGGGCGCCTGTAGTCCCAGCTACTCGGGAGGCTGAGGCAGGAGAACGGTGTGAACCCGGGAGGCGGAGCTTGCAGTGAGCCGAGACAGCGCCACTGCACTCCAGCCTGGGCGACAGAGTGAGACCCTGTCTCAAAAACAAAAAAAAAAAGAGGTAGGCTGGGGAACGGGAAGCTGGGGACAATGTGCAAGGCTGCCAAGACTGCAGTGCACAAACGAATTTGCCCATCCTTCACAGGGGCTGCTGGGGGACCTCTGCAGACCTCCATCCACCCCCAACCCCAGGGCCTGACCCTCTTCACCCTTGGTGGGAGCTGGCTCCCACAGGGGAGGGATGAGCTGAGCACACTCACTCTTTCTCCTGAGCTCCTTAAATCGGGTAACTCTCTCCTCTCCTGACAGAGGCCGGGATGCTGCTCTCCTCTGGGGGCCCTTCTGCATGGACACATAGATGGAGACCTAAAGCTCATGGGCAAGGTTGGCCAGTCTCTGCTGCTTACAGCTCCCTTCCCCCACCTGACACGCACTCCTAACACTCATCTCCTCTCAAAGCCCAGCCTGGCCCTGCTGGGCTTCCAGGGCCTTGTCAGAGGTCCTTCCGGGCCAGGGAAGTCTTGGTACTGCCCGTGCAGCACCCAGGGGCTGGGAGACGGCTGGAAGTGGCTGGACGGGGAAGGGCAGGATTCTCTCCTCAGCCAGCATCTGCTTCCACCCTGGCGCTGCTGGGACTGCCATTCAGGAAGGTGGTGGATTCCGGGGCAGATGATCAGGAGGCAAATCCCGCTCCCCCAGCTGCAAGCTGATTTTCTGTCACATCATGGTGGCTTCAGCATGGCTGAATTAACTGATTGAATCCTTCCTCTGTGCCAGGCATGGCGCTGGCCTTTTGACATCTTTGCTCTATTGGATCCTCTGAGCAGCTCTAGGGTCCAGGAGCATTCATTGTTTCTCCTTCACACATGAGGGTAGATGACTTCTCCAGGATCACTATGCTAATGGGCAGTGACTGAGTTCAACCCAAAATGTGTCTGACTCCAGAGTTGTAGTTCCCAGCCTTTCTGCTTTGTCGTGTATACAGCACCTGGTAAGCCTTCCCCACCCCCTTCCCTAGTCTCTTTTGCCTTCTTTCCTGAAAATGCATGAATTGCTTTCAAAACCACTTCTTGCATTAACAAAGAGGAAATAAAGAGGTTCTCAAGATGTCTCTGAGACAAGGGGTCCCCAGCCTCTGGGCTGTGGACCGGTACTCATCCGCTCTGTGGCCTGTTAGGAACTGGGCCCCACAGCAGGAAGTGGGGCGAGTCACTGCGGGCAAGTGAGCGAAGCTTCATCTGTATTTACAGCCGCCCCTTATCCCTGGCATCATCGTCTGAGCCCCGCCTCCTGTCAGATCAGTGGTGGCATTAGATTCTCATGGGACCATGAACCTTATCGTGAACTGGGCATGCGAGGGATCTAAGTTGTGTACTGCTTATGAGAATCCAACTAATGTCTGATGATCTGAGGTGGAACAGTTTCATCCCAAAACCATCCTGACCCCCCTCACCCCCCGACCGTGGAAAAAATCGTCCTCCATGAAACCGGTCCCTGATGCCAAAAAGGACTGCTGTCTTAGACCACACAAGACGTTCATAGTCATCGTCAGGAAAAAAGTAGCATCCCTCAACGGCCAGACCTTCCATCTGCTGCTGGTTCACACGTAAGAATCACCAACACTAACACAGCACGTTCTAGAGGCCAGCCCCCGTCCTCGATACCTTACTTACCCAGAGTTAACTTATTTACTAATTAACTTTCCTTACTTCCCTGAGTTAACTTATTTTGTCCTGACAACCACACAAGGGAGGTGCTGCTATTGCCACCCCCATTTTCCAGCTGAGGATGCTGAGGCACAGAGAGGTTAAACAATATGCCTGAGGTTACACAGTAAGTGATTCATCCAGGATGTGAACCCAGGCTAGCTGGTGTTAGAAGCTGCGGGTGTAGCCACATTCCTCTAATTCCTTGTGACAAAGGAAAACAAAGAAGCCCATCCGTTTAGGGAACCAGGATGCTGTCGTGGTTGGCAGTGGTGGTATTTCCGTCAGTCCTTTTGGCATAAATACCTCTAGATTATGTCACAAAACAGCCCCTGGCAACTGTCCCTTATTTCCTAAAAAGGGGTGGCAAGGTGGCAGGTGGGGCTGGCTTACCGAAGCCTTATTCTCCTTCTCAACTAGTAGACTCGCCTTATTCTCAAACCCAAGTTCTTGACCCTTCTTAGCCCCTTTATTGACTCTCCCTGATTCTCAAGTGTCTCCCTGCATAAAACATGCCATTTCCATAATGTGGCCTTTCTTACTTCTGGAGACGTCTCTTCCTCGCAAATATTGACAGAGGCTTTCCCTGCCGCTGAAGTAACACTCGCCCCTACCCAGGCGGCATTCTCTGCTCCCCTGTATACCTTGAAGTGTACCTACAGGGTTGTTCACTGATTTTATTTGCAGGAAGAACTGACAGGCCCCTCGAACTTGGAGCAAACAATGAACAGAACGAGGATTGAAAGAGGTGAGATTTTTAAAGTAAATGCTTTAAAAAGCAAAATGTGTGGTGGCTCATGCCTGTAATCCCAGCACTTTGGGAGGCTGAAGCAGGAGGATCACCTGAGCCCAGGAGTTCAAGACCAGCCTGGGCAATGTGGTGAAACCCTCTCTCTACAAAAAAATACAAAAATTAGCCAGTGTGGTGGTGTGTGCCTGCAGCCCCAGCTACTTAGGAGGCCGAGGTGGGAGGATCACTTGAGCTGAGGAGGCTGAGTCTGCAGTGAGCCTAGATTGCACCACTGCATTTGAGCCTGGATGGCAGAGTGAGATCCTGTCTCAATAAATAAATAAACAAATAAATAAATAAATAAAGGAAATACTTAGACTGCTTAATGATGATTTACTTCAAATCCAAACCTTCCAAATAGGAAAAAAAAAAGAAAAGAAAAGAAAAAGAAAAAAGAAAAAGCAGGCTGCTTTAGGACGATTCACTTTGCTTTCCCTTTTGGCAGCTCTGATATTCTGCATGATGGCTAAATGATAATGAGTCCTTATGACAACTGCTGGGGAGAGACGGACCCTGGATGGGGTGTGGGGCACAGATATGAAACACACATCCATTTTGCCTACCTTCCTTCACTGCCTAGTGGAGTCTCTGCTTTATATGCTGAGATAGACACTCTTCATGTGCTCTATAGATTAGAAAAGCTAAAACTCGGCCAGGCGCAGTGGCTCACGCCTGTAATCCCAGCACTTTGGGAGGCCAAGGCAGGCGGATCACGAGGTCAGGAGATCAAGACCATCCTGGCTAACATGGTGAAACCCCGTCTCTACTAAAAACACAAAAAATTAGCTGGGTGAGGTGGCACACGCCTGTAGTCCCAGCTATTCGGGAGGCTGAGGCAGGGGAATGGCATGAACCCAGGAGGCGGAGCTTGCAGTGAGCTGAGATCACGCCACTGCACTCCAGCTTGGGCAACAGAGTGAGACTCTGTCTCAAAAAAAAAGAAAAGAAAAGCTAAAACTCACTTTGTCAGCTTCCCTTGCAGCTAGGGATGGCCCAGGACAGAGATCTGGCCAATGAGTTAAAAGCAAAAGTGTGTCAGGCAACACCAGGATGGCTGTGTAAAGGGTAGAGAGGCAGTCCTATCTTTCACCCCCTCTTCTTACTGCCTTACTAAATACAGACTTGATGGCTGGAACTACAGCAGCCATTTTGTGACCATGAGGGAAAGAATGAGAAAATTGCAAAGAAGCAGATCCAAAACCTCTGACATTACTGAGATGCTTCTCCAATGTCCACACCCAACTGGCTGCGACTCCTTATGTCAGAAAAATGAACATATATTTGTTTAAGCCCCTGTTAGTGGGTGTTTGTTACTTAAAGCCAGGAACGTGCCTACTTAGGTGTTATTATCTCCATTATTCAGATGAAGAAAGTGAGACCCAAGCCAATGAGTGTCTTGTTGAAGGTCCCATTGTTAACCAACAAAACGTAACTGAAGTTTTTCCATGCTTTGTCCTGGCCTCTCCCCATTATTTCTCAGCTGCCTCCACCAGCCCAGCAGAAATTCCATGCAGCAGAAGAATCTATTGACCATGAATGACTGGTACTTCATTCAAGCAGTTAAGGAGTTTCCCTGGGTCAGTGGTCCAAGTGTCTGTGTGCAGTTGGCTCCCTCAATGTTCATATGTTACTCAGTTGGGCCTTTGTCATTGAAAGCGAAGAGGACATTGTCTTGGCTGTCAGAAGCTTTGGGACTGTTCTTTAAGTCTGGCTTAAGTAATAATCAGTGACCTTTCCCTTCTCAGCTTAGAGGTATGGTTGAGATCAGTCATTGGCACCCCCAGGTCCTGACCACCATCTTACTATACAGTGGCAGGGAAAAGGACAACTGGACATTTACTGTGTCCAAAAGGGATGTAATGACCTTGCCCTCCTTCTGCCTGTGTAAATGCTTGTGTGGACTCATCCCTTACAGGCCGACCCAGCAAGACTTCTCCATTAACTCCCTTCTGCATGCTGGGCAGGGTGGTTTTCTGGATTCTTATCCCCAGTTCCCCAGTTCCCAACCTCCAGCCCTGGGCTATGGTGATTTTCCTGTTAAAATATTCTTAAGTCCTCTGTACCGTATGTTGCCTCACTCATCACAATTGTAATGAAATCATGATTTATGCACCATTGTTTGTTTAAGGTTTGTTTCTCCTATTAGGCTGGAAGCCCAGGTGGGGCTTGGAAGTAGAAGACCTTCAGTGATGGTCTTTGGATAAATAAATGCAGGGATAACTGGGTGGTTTCAGTGGCTCTTTCTTCTTCCTGCTAATCCCCCAATCTCCGCATCTCACTCCAGAAGCTGGCATGTTCTCCCGGCATCTGGCATTTTTTCCTCCTTTTCTGACTTAGCTTTTGTTTTGGACCTTGAGATATGCATAGAGGTAAATAATAATAATAACAATTAGCATTTTCAAGTTCTTAGTATGGCCAAGCACTGTGCTAAGTGCTTTGTAAGTATGATCTCATCTAATCTACATACCCACTCTCTAAAGCAGATGCTACTATTATTTTCATTTTATGGAGGATTCGGGGCACAGTGAAGCTCAGTCTTTTTTTTCAAGGTCACACAGCTAGTAAGTGGCAGATCCAGGATTCAACCTGGACTCCGGGCTGCATGCTCCCCTAAATGCTCTCACTGTCCAACAGACGTGGCCCTGATCATTTTGGATCGTCCAGCCAGGTTGAGGAGAAAGTTGTTACTCAAATAATCCCACTGTATTAGGCAGGGTTCCCCAGAGAAACAGGAGATAGATGATAGATGACAGGTAAATAGATAGATAGATGATGATAGATAGATAGACAGATAGGCAGATAGATGATAGATAGATAGATATATAGATGATAGATAGGAGATTTACTATGGGAATTGGCTCAGATGGTTATGGAAGCTGAGACGTCCCACCATCTTCCACCTGCCAGCTGGAGAGCCAGGAAAGCTGGTGGTGTAATTCAGGCCAAGTCTGAGAGCTTCAGAACCAGGGAAGCCCATGGCAAGTGGGCAGGGGAGGTCACTGGTGTAAGTCCAGAGCCTGAAGTTCTACGAATCAGGAGCTCCAATGTCCAAGGTAGGACAAGATGATGGATATCCCAGGCCCCAAAGAGAGAACAAATTCGCCCTTCCTCCACCTTTTTCTTCTATTCAGGCCCTCAACAGATGGGATGGTGCCTCCTGCATTGGTGAGGGTGGATCTTCACCCAGATTAATTCAAATGCTAATGTCTTGGTAAAGGAATTTAAGAGATGAAAAAAGAAAAAATGCTAATCTCCTCCAGAAACACCCTCACAGACACACCCAGGCATCATGTTTTATCAGCTACCTCGGCATCCCTGAGCCCAGTCAGGCTGACACCTAAAATTAACCATCACACCCACCATGATCAGCACTGTGAAGAAAAATTCTGAGGGACACTGGCTTTGATCACCAAATCCTCTGTGACATGGGGAGAGCCTGCTGAGCACCAGTGTTACTCCTTCGGTGCCCTCCTGGGGTGAAGCCACAGTGGATGCAGGGAATAGCTCTTCATGACTATGTCCCTGGCTTAGGTTCACAATCCCTGGAACGCATGCCTGTAGGGCTGGAAGATGCTGCAATGCTCCGCCTGGCCTCCCTTCCCGGACGCTGCTTTCGCCCAAGCCCTCATGCACTTGGATTCTCTGCAGGCCCTGCCCACTCGTCTTCATCCGGATTCCCAGGCTGCCTCTAGACAAGACGCAGACCAGCCAGGAGCCCTGTCCTCTGGAATGCACTTTAGAATCTTCCCACATAGTGCCGGGCATAGTGGCTCACGCCTGTAATCCCAGCACTTTGGGAGGCCGAGGCAGGCAGATCACCTGAGGTCAGGAGTTTGGGACCAGCCTGGCCAATATGGTGAAACTCCGTCTCTACTAAAAATACAAAAATTAGGCCGGGCGCGGTGGCTCATGCCTGTAATCCCAGCACTTTGGGAGGCCAAGGTGGGTGGATCACAAGGTCAGGAGTTTGAGACCAGCCTGGCCAACATAGTGAAACCCTGTCTCTACTAAAAATACAAAAAATTAGCTGGGCATGGTGGCGGGTGCCTGTAATCTCAGCTACTTGGGAGACTGAAGCAGGAGAATCATTTGAACCTGGGAGGCGGAGGTTGCTGTGAGCCGAGATTGCGCCACTGCACTCCAGCCTGGGCGAGAGGTGAGACACTGTCTCAAAAAAAAAAAAATATATATATACAAAAATTAGCCAGGCGTGGTGGTGGGCGCCTGTAATCCCAGCTACTTTGGAGGCTGAGGCATAAGAATCACTTGAACCGGGAGGTGGACATTGCAGTGAGCTGAGATCGTGCCACTGCATTCCAGCCAGGTCGACCGAGCAAGACTCCATCTCAAAAAAAAAAAAAAAAAAAAAAGCCAGGTGCGGTGGCTCATGCCTGTAATCCCAGCACTTTGGGAGGCCAAGGCGGGCAGATCACCTGAGGTCAGGAGTTCGAGACCAGCCTGACCAACATGGAGAAACCCCATCTCTACTAAAAATACAAAATTAGCCAGGCGTGGTGACGCATGCCTGTAATCCCAGCTACTCTGGAGGCTGAGGCAGGAGAATTGCTTGAACCTGGGAGGCAGAGGTTGTGGTGAGCCAAGATCACGCCATTGCACTCCAGCCTGGGTAACAGCAGCAAAACTCTGTCTCAACAAAAAAAAAAAAAAAAAAAAGAAAAAAAGAAGACTCTTCCCACATAGGGAGATGTAAAGGTGACTTAGATCTAAGCTGCCCTCAGGGTGGTCAGCTGTCCTAACCAGGAGCATACATTTCATCAAGGTCCACACCCTAGAGGGGTGGCTGCGTGCTTCAGCTGTCTTCCTCTCTGATCTACACTGGAGATTTTGCTGTTTAGCAAGAATAAATGTTAGAAGTGGGTTTTGTTGATAAACTAGTGCCTTTTTAATGACTAGAATGGAATCTAAAAATGGGCTCTCTTTAGTAAAATTTGTGATTTTCAGGTATGCGGATAAGCTAAAATATTCTAGAGCCAGTCCCCATCCCTGTGGGAACACGGTATAGATCTGGTGTTAAGGCTTGTGCCATATATCCGGTTCATGAAAGGGCCTGAGTCCAGCTGCCGGTTCAGAAGATGTGGGGACATTTGCCTCGGTGAGCCCTTTATCCAAGGTCCAGGTGGAGCACCTAATAGGGCAAAGAATTGGGCCTCCTCTGGGTTTATCAAACAGGTTGAATGACTGCTTTGGGCCTTCTTGCTGGTATGTGTCAATTGAGTAGTGACATTTTAACCAAGTAGCAAGGTAGGGGAGTAACTTACCTCACTACCTCTGACAGCTAGTAGCCTCTGTTAACCTACCAAAAATCACCTAATTATTGTACACTCAACCCAATACCATAGGTGTGGGTCCTTTTAGAATTCCATGGGGGGTTTTGTGTATAGCTTTAGAAACAGCTTTGACAGTCTAAGTTCTTAATACTTGACAGAGGCCGGGCGCAGTGGCTCATGCCTGTAATCCCAGCACTTTGGGAGGCCGAGGCGGGTGGATCATGAGGTCAGGAGTTCGAGACCAGCCTGACCAACATGGAGAAACCCCGTCTCTAGTAAAATTCAAAAATATGCCGGGCATGGTGGGGGACGCCTGTAATCTCAGCTACTCGGGAGGCTGAGGCAAGGAACTGCTTGAACCCGGGAGGTGGAGGTTGCAGTGAGCCGAGATCGCGCCACTACACTCCAGCCTGGGTGACAGTGACAGGTCGAGACTCCGTCTCAAAAAAAAAAAAAAAAACAACTTGACAGCAGCATTTCTCAGCCTCAGCACTGCTTCTCATTTGGACTGGACAAGTCTTTTTTTGTGTTTGTTTTTGTTTTTTAGACAAGGTCTCACTCTGTCACCCAGGCTGGAGTGCAGTGGCATGATTATGGCTCACTGCAGCCTCAACCTCCTGGGCTCAAGCAATCCTCTCATCTCACCCTCCCAAGTAGCTGGGACTATTGGTGTACATCACCATGCCCAGTTAATTTTTAATTTTTTTGTGGAGACGGGGTCTCAGTATGTTGCCTAGGCTCGTTGCAAACCCCTGGGCTCAAGCAATCCTCCTGCCTTGGCCGCCCAAAGTGGTGGGATCACGGGCATGAGCCACCGTGCTGGGCCTGGACTGGAAAAGTCTTTGTTGCTGGAGCTGTCCTGTGCCATGCAGGATGTTTAGCAGCATCCTGGCCTCCACGCATTAGATGCTGGGAGAAACACCCAATTCCTGTGCCCAGTTGTGACAACCAAACATGCCTCCAGACATCACTAAATGTCCCCTGCCAGGCAAAATTGCCCTGGTTGAGGATCACTGCTCTGGTACAGTAAGGTGAGAAATTCCAATACAGTTAATATGTCAATTAATCAAAGAAGGGATCCTTCAACCTCCCACTTGAACTGGGGCTGTGAACAAACATGTTGGCCAAAACACAGTCCCAGGTTTCCACTTTCTAGTGGAGAAACAACCTTAAAAATGATGGAGAAGCTGGGCGCGGTGGCTCACGCCTGTAATCCCAGCACTTTGGGAGGCCAAGGCGGGCGGATCACCTGAGGTCAGGAGTTCGAGACCAGCCTCAACATGGAGAAATCCTGTCTCTACTAAAAATACAAAAAATTAGCCGGGCGTGGTGGTGCATGCCTGTAATCCCAGCTACTCGGGAGGCTGAGGCAGGAGAATTGCTTGAACCTGGGAGGCGGAGGTTGCGGTGAGCCGAGATCGTGCCATTGCACTCCGACCTGGGCAACAAGAGTGAAACTCCATCTAAAAAAAAAAAAAAAAAAAAAAAGATGGAGAAATTAGATCTGGTGCACATTCTAATCTTTTTTTTTTTTTTTTTTAAGATGAAGTCTTGCTCTGTCACCCATGCTGGAGTGCAGTGGCGCAATCTCAGCTCACTGCAACCTCTGCCTCCTAGGTTCAAGCAATTCTCCCACCTCAGCCTCCGAAGTAGTTGGGATTACAGGCACACATCACCATGCCTGGCTAATTTTTGTATTTTTTTAGTAGAGATGGGGTTTCACCATGTTGGCCAGGCTGGTCTCGAACTTCTGACCTTGTGATCTGCCCACCTCAGCCTCCCAAAGTGCTGGAATTACAGGCGTGAGCCACTGCACCTGGCTGCACATTCTAATCTTTAAGTCATCTGAACACTTGGGCAAGAGCACAATCCAAACACCCTCAATGAAACAGGGGCCCTGGAACATGAGCCACTATTGCCATCTTGGCTGTCCCCGAGCAGTTAGCAATGCCAGAAAGTCCCACATCCCCATGGTCAGGAGTGGGTCTTTCCACCTGAGATTGCTTTGTACAAGTGTGATATTTGATCACTGTATAAATACTGGAGCCTTAGCATCCTTGAAGTCACTTAGCTTCCCTGAGCCTCTATGCCTCCCTTTGGACATTAAGGCTGGGAAGGCTTCTCCTTTTGTGCTGGACAGAATGGGTCCTTGTGGCATCTTTCCTCCAGCTCCAAGATCCATCCTCCTCCTCATCATGAATGCACAAGTGCATCTAGAAACAATATGCTGAGCGATACCACGAGCCAGGCATCCTTGGAGATGTCACTCCTTTCTGAATCCCATAGGGACTTTTAGGCATCATGGCCCTCTTTGGAGCTCTGATAGAGATCAGCCACCATCTCCCTGGAAAATATACTTGAGCACAGGATTTTGCATAAGGTTTCAGAGGCTTCACAGGGGACCCCTTTGGGAGTGAGCGAACCAGGTGAGGAATATTTGGCTGGAGGCCTCTAAGACTGCTTTCAGTTCCAACTTCTGTTCCTGGAGCAATGGTGGCCTCGTGGGGGAAACCCTGAGTCGGAGACCTGGGAGAGAGGGCAACTGAAGATGGAAACTGAGACGGCATGAATAGCACCATCGCAGGGTGGGAAAGAGTCCCTCACGAGCTGTCAGCTTTTCTGTTACCTCAACTGGATGCGAAAGCCCCTTTACCATCTCCCTCTGCTGACGAATGCTCCGCAGCAGAGAGAAGCCTCAGGTTTAGCAACTTCAGCTGGCAACAGCGTCTGGCCAGAATCTAATGCCAATGTTTTGTTTTCACATCTTTTCTTCCCCAAATTCTTTGTTTTGATTGAATTCCAAAAGCCAAAAAAAGTATAAATGGAAATACACAGGAATGTTCCTTAAAAGTGGGCCCCACCCCTGCCCCTAGCCGTGGGTTCTTCTCCCCACAGGTAATCACTATGCACCTCTTCTATGTCCTTCCAGAAATACCTTATGCGTATGCAAGCTACAGAAATAGGTGTTTTTGCATTTATTTTAAAAATTAGTCTGTATGGCAAATCAGACTGGTTTCCATTTATGGTTTCAATCTATGGGTGTCTTTTAAAATAAATGTGTTTCCATTTAAAAGAAGTAGGAATCGCTTTGATGTGCAGTGTTAGTAAATACAGTGATGACAAAATGTATGACCGAGGCACGTGATGACACAGACCAAGAGCTGCGAAGCCCACGGGCATCTGCTCCCAGTTCTGCTCTCCGCAGTGGGGGAGGTTGGAAGGTCTTCCGTTTAGATCCAGGCCCCCTGCTTAAGAGCAGCCCCTGACAATTTCCCTTCTTCACCTAGGAAGGACAGAAAGACCCAGTTGGAGGCAGAGACCCTGACCAAAAAGGCTCAGAAGCGTTTGGGGCCTCTCTGTCTCTATTGCTACATCCAAGGGAATGGCGGTTCAGGTCAGGTCATAACTGATGTGTATTTGCATCCAGAAAGAACGTATCACCTGGATGCCGTCCCTCCCCATGCTGCATGGGGGGCGTGGGTGCAGGTGTGTACAACACACATACGTGTGTGCCTGTGAGCCCAGGGTGTGAGCCTCAGTAAAGGAGAGGAGAAGCTGCAGAAACAAAGCAGTGACTCAAAACTCCCTGTCTCAGCACAGCACTGATCTCTCCAGCAGCAGCATTTAATAGTTATGCATAAAACATGAACACTTATGCATGAATGAATTTCATTATAAATACAATTAATGATATCGTTCTCAGATACAACACCTCATGAATCTAATGAACAAAGTTTACAGAGAGTCACATATCACTCTCTATAACTAAATTCAGATTTCAGGAGAGTGTGTGAGGCAGGACAGGCAAGCCCTGAAATTGGGGCTTAGCCCAGGAAGGTTCTTGGCTTCACTCAGGAAAGAATTCAAGAGCAAGCCAGTGGTAGAAGAAAACAGCTTTACTGAGGCAGCAATGTTACAGCTCCATGTCTGCTCCCACAGAGCAGGCTACCCCACAGGCAGTGTGCTCAGAGTAGAAGCTCAGAGGTCGTTCTGCAGTCATATTTATACCCACTTTTTATTACATGCAAATTAAGAGGCAGGTTATTCAGAAATTTCTAGAAAAGGAATGGTAACTTCCAGGTGTTGCCATGGCAATGGTAAACTGGCATGGCACTGGTGGGTGTGTCATATGGAGAGGTGCTTTTGCCCCTCCCCTGTTTCAGCCAGTCTCCAATCTGGTCTGGAGTTTGAGCCCTGCCTCTAGAATAGAGTCCCACCTCCTACCTCATAAGCAGACCGTCGAAATCAGCCCACATAACTCAGAAGCACGTACAATTCTTATCAACAGCTTTAGGAGCTGTGTTGAATTCCAAAATGATGAGACAACTTTACCATGGCACAGAACAATTCTGAGATTAATTTCAAAAGGGCAAAATAAAAACACACTCAGAAATGCATGCAACTGCCACAAATAGTCACTGTATATACCACTGATCGTCACTTACATAATAACAGGTTTGATTTTCCTAAAGCCACTGGATTCCTGCTCATTCATTGGTTGGAAGGATCATGTGACTCTCCTACCCAGTTGAACTTTGGAGAAACCTACCCGAGCATCTGGCAGAGAGATGTTCACTGGGAGATAAAAGCTCCAAGTTCCAGGCACTACCTTCAAATAAATGTGTGCCTTGCTTCTCAGCAAGCCTTGAGAAGGCTGAGGCCACACCACAGAAAAAATGTGAGTCTTATACATTTGGTAGACACCTATGTAGTTTTTAAAATAGACTTTCTTTTTTAGAGAAGTTTTAAGACCACAGCAATACTGAGCAGAAGGTACGGAGACTTCTATATACTCCCTGCCCACATACATGCACAGCCTCCCCCACTATCAACTTCACCTATCAAAGTGGTCTATTTGTTACAATTGACAAACCTACACTGATACATCACTATCACCCAAAGTCCAGAGTTTACATTAGGGGCCACTCCTGGTGCTGCACATTCTATGCGTTTGCGCAAATGTGTAATGACATGGATCCCCCATTGGAGTATCACACAGAGTAGTTTCGCTGCCCTAAAAAAATCTAGTTTTTATATACCAATTTTTTTCCACTGAGGTATACACTATAAGCTTTTTTCTCATATCATTAACTACTTTCTGAAAAACAAGATTTAAATGGCTATATTAGTTGGAGTACAGACTAAGCAGCTATGTCAGAGACCCAAAATTCAGTGTCTTCAAAGAGTAGTCTACGTAAGACGTTTGTTCTTTCCCACCCAGCAGATGGAGGTGGGGGTGGAGGATGCTACAGGGTGTGGGTCATCAGGGCCCTGGTTCCTTCCAACTTGTTGCTCAGCATCTGCTTGCTTCTTGACTCATCTGCTTGCTCATGGCTGGCCTCCAGCCCTCCAGTGGGTGTCAGGTCATTCACAGATGCAGGGGAAAGAGAAAGTGGAGAGCAAGTGTTTTTCTTACACGGAACATAACACTTTCACATCCATTCTATCCCAGAGCTTAACCACAGAGCAACTTAGTATCATGGAGGCTGGGAAATTCAGTACATAGCTAGGTGCCCAAGCACATTGCTAAAATCTATGTATGTGTAGAGGTTGGGGGGGGGGCGGGGGGAGGTTGTACTACCAAAAAGACAAAGGGAAGAAGGACAGAAGAACAATTAGATCTTTCCAATCATTTGGATAAACTGTCTCCCACAGTTGGATATTTCAATTATTTTTCATTTTTCACTAATATAAGCACTGTGAACACCCTTATACACCTAGCACCCCCTTTGTGCCAGCCACACTATTCTAAGCACTTCATGTGTGTGTTAACTTGATCCTCACAGCAACTCTGGGAGGTGAGCACAATTATTATCTCTATTTTATGCTAAGAAAACAGAGGTACTGGGGGCTAAGTTACCCTGCTGCAGGGGCTGGGCTTGTAACCACTGCTTGTAGGAAAGCCTGCCTGGGTCAGTGCTCTTTCTCTTCAACACCTCTTTATTTCCATTCACTTCCTATTTCCCTCTCCATAGACGGCCCCTCTCATGCGGTGCATGTGTGCTATTCTGCTCGTAAAACATGTACCATGGTTTCATGGGCATACATTTTTAGTACACAGAAGCGGTTATAGGGGGCTCGGTCTCTTTTTCTTTCCACTCGCCTCTACCCATGTCATGAGTACTCCCCAAGTACCGCTCCATCATCTTGCATCTGCCGCAGCCTACTCATCTATTCCCCAGTGAGGGTCATCAGGATGGAGTTCAATTTCCCCACACTGCACACGGTGCCATAACGGGTGTCTTCGTGCACGTTACCTTGGGGATACACAGAATTTCTCTGGGGTTGAGAGCCAAGAGCCGTATTGCTGGGTCATGGGCTACACAGTGCTTGAGGTCTAAACACTGAGCAGCAAACAGTCTCCTCTCCAACCAGCAGGGCCTGACGGTCCCCTCGCCTAGCTCATCATTTGGCATTAACCAGCTTTCTGATGTGTGCAAATCTGATGGCTGTAAAGCAATCTCTCATTATTTTAATTTGCCTTTCTTAATGACTCGCAAGTTTGTACAGCTCTCCTATCCTGGTTGACTTTTGGGTTTTATCTTTGGTGAATAAGCAGTTCAATGTCCTTTGCCCATTTTCTTTTGTGGTTCCTGTCTTCTTGTTGATTCGCCAGAGTTCCTTGAAGTCACCTGGGTCTAAATTCCTTATCAGTTTCAGACACAGAACAGTCCCTTCCCACATGGTCATCTCTCTATTAAACTTTTTCCATGATGGTCTTCGTGAATCAGAACTTCTGGGGCAACTGGCACATCAGTGCTTTGCCTTTTGGTTTGTGCTTGAGACCATGGTTTAAGAAACCCTCACCCACCTCTAGGTCACAGAGGTATTTTCCTATATGTACCATATAAATTTTACGGCTGTACCACATACATTTAGGTCTTCAATATGTTTCAAGTCTGTCTTTGTCATCCAGTGTTAGGTAGGGATCCAGTTTTATAGCTACACACATAGCAAACAAGTTTTCCCAGAATTATCTGCTAAACTGTTTGCCCATCCCCCTTGATTTGCAAGCCCTATAAAATTTTTTAGCTATGTGACCTTATTCACTCAAGCCCATAAACAAAGTGTGTTCCAGTAAAACTGAACACCAAAGTGGAAGCCTGCTGTTCACAGGGATGGACACTAGGAGGCACACCTTCTCTTTTGCTTTGGAGTCACCCCATGCCACAGAAGCCACACAGTGTGAGCCTGGGCAAGTGACTGACTCTGAACTTCCCTTTTTTCATCTAAAAAGTGGGTGTAGGGCCGGGCGCAGTGGCTCATGCCTATAATCCCAGCACTTTGGGAGGCTGAGGCGGGTGGATCACTTGAGGTCAGGAGTTCAAGACCAGCCTGACAAACATGGTGAAACTCCATCTCTACTAAAAATACAGAATTAGCCGGGCATGGTGGCACACGCCTGTGATCCCAGCTACTTGGGAGGCTGAGGCAGGAGAATTGTTTGAACCCAGGAGGCGGAGGTTGCAGTGAGCCGAGATTGTGCCATTGCTCTCCAGCCTGGGCAACAAGAGTGAAACTCCATCTCAAAAAAAAAAAAAAAAAAAAAAAAAGAAAGAAAAAAGAAAAGTGAGTGTAACACTAGTTCTAAAGTTCTTATAAGATTAGTGGAGTCACTGCGTGGAGGGCGTTTTGGATGTGCAGTTCTTTCTCTGCCTGCAGCTCTCCTCAGTATAACGCCTCTTCTCTTTTCATTTCTTCTCTGGGCCATTTTAAGGCCTTTATTCCTCTACGCACTTGTACTTCCAGAGCCCACATCATTCCAGATATAATGAAATGCATCACTTTCCCACTTTCAATGTACTTCATTTACAGACATACAGGAATCAGATCTAATTGCATTTGATTGGCATAAGGCAAGTATGTAGGCATTTAAAGATTTGTCCATTGTAATTTTCTTCTGTTGAGTTATTTTCCTTCATATTCTGGAGCATTTTCAAAATGGTTTCAAAGGCTTTTGTAAACACTGGGCCTTTTGCTCATGGCACTTAGTGGGGATGAAACAGCCTCGCCTTCTCTACCTTAGCAACACTAACAGATCTTGTGGATGTCATTCTTTTTTGTGTGTGGATATTGACTCAGAGTCCTCCACTCTCCTCCCTCCTGAGCCCCAGACCCACCTTCCTGTCTTCTCATTGGTGGACCCCACTGAGTGCCTGGCCAGGACTTCCAATTGAGAATGAGTAGTGGCCATGAGGATTAAATGTTGCTATGTGCATAGCACTTACAACATAACCCTAATATGCAGGAAGTAAGCATATGAGGAAAATGTGACTATTATTACACGATTTGGTCAGAATGGAGAGTGGAAAGGAAGGTTAAAGAGACAATTTAGGAGGCAATTGCAAATCAGAGCAAAAGATAAAGGAAGCCTTTAAAAAGGTGGTTGCCATGGAAAAGACGAGACCAAAGAGAATGAAACCTGTGGGACTTCACAGTGTTCTTTCATTCCAATGATGTACAAAGTACCAACAGTGTACTTGGAGCTGCTCTGAGAGCTGGGTTGATGGGAAAGCAAGGGAAAGTCTAGTCTTCCAAAGAAGAGTCCAAGGGGGCAAGAGGAGGTGGGAAGACAGCAGCCTCCACACAAAGCTTTGGTCTCCCCACCCCCAAGCTCGGGACAGGCAGTTCAACAACAGAAGCCTAAAAAGTGGCTTATCTGTTGGCCTGAAGCATACAATTACTGCTCCTATTTTACAGAAGAGGAAACTGAGGCCAAGTGAGGTTAAGCACAGATAACTTGGCAAAAACTGCGCTGCTGGGATTCAAACCTGTGTGGCTTGGGAATTTAATCTGCTCAGAGCCCAGCTGTTTATTGGTTCTGCAGGGCCAGGCTTAGGGTGAGGGAATAGGAAACTGAACTCTCAGTGCTGTTAAAGGACCGATCTTGCTCTGGGAGAGCGTGTGCCTCCTTGGATTTTGCGGCCGGAAGCCTCAATCTCATCCCAGCCCTGTCCCCGTGTGCCTTCTCTGCTTCCCACTGCCCCAGAACGGTGCCCAGCGTTGGCCTGCGTTTGAGCGCTTCTCTTTCTGTCTCCATGCCCCTCCAAGCCCCGAACCTGGACTACATCCATGCTTTCGCTTGCCAGGGGTCTGCCTGGAGCGTCCTTTCCTCGCCCCTGTGTTTCTAGATCTAAACCTCACCATCCCTCATCATGGACAGGGTCCCCAGGATCCCCAGGGAATCCTCAGGCAGCTCTGTTCCAGTGTGGGCCCCTCCTATAGCTGCAGGTTCCCAGCAGAGCTTATCTCTTTTCTATAAGCATTCATGCCCTGTGGTACACTTCATCATTCTTGAGACCTTAAACACCCTTCTGGGCTGATGCTGTGACATTTGTTTAACTGTATCCTGGACTTCATTCTGGAACTCCCGACTCATGTCCAACTGCCCACTCACCATCTCTACTCAGACGTCTCATAAGCATCTCAAACTCAGTGCCCAAAACCCAAGCATCTGATAATTCCCACCCATCTTCCTATAGTTTCCCCACCTCAGTGAAATGACACCTCCAACCTCAGTCCTTCCAATTCTTCAAGTCCAAAACTCTGGAGTCATCCTTAACTCCTCTCTCTCCCCCACCCCACATCCAATTTAACCATAAATTCTACTCTCAAATTAGGTCAGAATGTCCATCCACTGCTACTACCATGGCTTAGGCATCATCTTCTCTCCCTTAGATTACTACAGCGGCCTCCCTGCTGGGCTCCCACCTTCCACCCTTTCCTCACCCTCAGGCTGCCCTCAGCCCAGCCCCAGAGTGCTCCTGAGAACCTGTAAGTTAGAAGCACACCCCTCCTCTGCTCAGAGCCCTCCAGTGGCTCCCAATGGTGCCAGTGCAACAAGATCCCAACCACCTGCCCCTCTCTCCCTGTTCTGTCTCCAACCTTGACTCCTTTCCCCACTCAACTCCACCGTACTGGACATTCCTCCAACCTCCCAGACATGTGCTGCCTCAGGCCTTTGCACTTGCTGACCTCTGTGCCTGGAATGCGCTTTTCCCCAGATATCTGCTTGATAGAAGAAGCCAAATGTCACCTTCTCACTGAGGTCTTCCCTGACCACCTTAATTAAAATTCCACTGCCTATGCCCCACAGCCCTAACCCCGCCTCTGCTTAGATTTTTCTCCATGGCACTAACTTCTATATAGTTTACTTATTTGTGTTAGTTTTGCCTGTTTACCTCCACTATAACATAAGCCTTTCAGGATGAGGATGTCTGATGTTTGTTCACTGCTCAGCTCTACTGCCTAGAAAGGTGCCTGGTGCATAGTATTTGTTGAAGAAATGAAGGAATAACAATTCTTTTACACTCACCCACCTTACCTGACCACACTCACCCTAGATTGTGTTTCTTCATTTTGTGTCCGCTGTGCTCTGGACATAAAGGATAGTCCATAATTTTCTTCCTTGACTCTGCTGACTTAGCACACACTCACCCAGACTGTTTGCTTTTGCAATTATTAGGCAGGTTCTACCTCATTTTCCCGACATACAAGAGGGTATCACCATCATACACAAAAGGAAGCCAATGGCAAGGACTTCTGATGCCTCACTTGAGGTCTGTAGGATGTGTTTCCCGCATACCTACCACATGTGGACTGCAGGGCCAAGGACCTGTCGGCTTTTTTTTTTTTATAAGCAATGTATGCTTTCTTCACGCTCTTCAATTGCACTGCAATCAAAAGTGTGCTTACGTGGCTGGGTGTGTTTAAGAATGTAGGAGAATCTACAAAGATGATGATGGGCAGGATGGTGGCGTGGAAAAATAGATAACTGGAAGTTAAAACTGGCTTCTGTGTTTGGCTGTTTAACCTTGAACTTGATGTTGACTCGGTAGCTTTGCCTATTTAGCTCTCAGTTTCTGCATCTGCAAACAGACTTGGAGGAGCTGACCTCCCTTTCCAATCTCAAATACTATGAAATAGTGCTGGATAGATGAACAACTGTACTAAAGGACGTTCACTGGTAAGACCATGCTCACTTTGAGGGCCAAGGGACACAGAAGCATCCTAGTCTGCTCTGCTCAGCTCCTTGTGAGATCTTGTGGCACAAAAAAAGTGCCCAGAAGGCAATGTGTCAACGCATCAGTGAAGTGTATTAGCAGGAAGGGTACTGCAGGGAAACCCTGCTTCCTTGCTACGGAACCTCACATTTAAAAACTTAATGCATCCCTTTTCCTTTCCTAAATAAAATCTTGTAAAATGTTAAAAGTTGAGTGCTGTGATATAAAGGGGGTATAAGGCCTGGCCTACTTGTTCTGTAACCTCCCTCTCCAACTCCCACGTATTAATTATCTATTGCTGTGTCAGAAATTACCCCAAAATTTAGTGCATGTTTAACCCATTCCTCGACTTCAGACTGATGTTGGAACCATGGTAGGTGATGGTCAGGAAGGGCCTTCTGCTGTAGCATCTTTCTTTCTAGTCTGGTCTATTTCTGTATGTGAAAACTTGATGGACATATTCCTATTACCTAGTATTCTGCCAGTACTCCAAGCTGCACCCTCCACCCCCACCTCTTCTAAGCTGCTTGTTTTAAAAAGTTTATTAAAAATATAGATATTATCCCTTAATAGTTTAAGGTAGAACCAAATAAAAAATATATAGATAGATAGATAATACTGATAAACAAATGCCCAAGTCCTGAGCGACCTTTCAGTCATGGTTGCCCCTTCCTAATCCCATCTTCTATTGTTTGGCCCCACCCAAATCTCATCTTAATTGTAGCTCCCCTAATTCCCACGCGTTGCGGGAGGGACCTGGTGGGAGATAATTGAATCATGGGCAGCTTCCCTCATACCGTTCTCGTGGCAGTGAGTAAGTCTTACGAGGCCTGATGGTTTTATAAGGGTAGATCCCCTTCACTTGGTTCTCATTCTGTCTTGTCTGCTGCCACGTAAGACGTGCCTTTTGCCTTCTGCCATGATTGTGAAGCCTCCCCCGCCACGTGGAACTGTGAGTCCATTAAACCTTTTTTCTTTATAAATTACCCAGTCTCGGGTATGTCTTTATCGGCAGCATGAAAACAGACTAATACACCATCCACTGTTCTACCCCTTCATTGGTAACTACTAGCTTCTATTTTATGATCATCATTTTGAATTCTCTTGCTTTCCCTTAGGGTATTACAATTTTATCTCTAAACACTGTATTTCTTAGCTTTGCCTCTCTGTACACATAATGAAATCATATTGCACATACTCCTTTGACTTTTTCACTCAATACTGTTTCTTAGATCTATTTTGTTACATATATCCTGCTGTTAGTCTTCTGTTACATGGACACACCACAACTCATTTGCCCATTCTCATGGTGATGGATATTTGGGCTGCTTCCACGTTTGTTTTTGGGATTTATTTTGTTTTGCAATTAATAACAGTGTTATGAACACTCCTGTACAAGTCTTTAGGTACGTAGACAGTGCATTTGTGCTGGGTATTCACCTAAGCGTGTAACAGCTGGGTCATGAGCTATCCATGCGTTTAATTCTACTGGGTAACGGCCAGTATCATTTTTTGGTTTGGGGGGTTTTTGCTTACACCTAAATGATGAAAAACTCTATTTTGCATCATGGTATCTGAAAAATGAAACTGCACTGGGTGCAAATGATAGATGAGGAATGACCTATGTGTGTTAAGTACAAAACTCAATTATACAATTATAGAATTACTATTACTAGTAACAGATACTCCAAATTATTAATGTTTAAGTAGAAGTAAAACATGATTTACCATACTAAAAGGCTAGACGTGACATATGACAGAATTTTAAGCCAGAAGCTATAAATGTAGCATCTATGTGTATATTTTAAAAATCAAATATTGGGAAAAAAACAAATATTGAGGAAGAGCTCTGGCCTTAAACACATCTTACCTGAAATCCAACCAGAAAGCCAGTCCATGATCTTTTAGCAATTTAAATTCATTGTATTAAAAAAAATTATGAATGCTAAGTGAATCCAGGGACAAAAAGGGCACCTTTTTTATTAAAACTACAAAATAAACTGGCTTTGTTAAAACATGTAAAAAAATTTCAAATCATTTTCGAAATGTTTGATATGCTGATCTTCACTGTTTTCCGAAGTGATTGAATAATTTACATCCCCACCAGCAATAATAATAAGTGTTCCAGTTGCTCCATGTCTTTGACAACACTGGATACTGGCACTCTTAAATCTGCCATACAATGGGTGCATGAGGGCTCTCCACAGAAACAATGGATTTTATACATATGTGTGTACATAAAATATGGAAAGAGATTTTTAGGAGGGATTGGCTCATGTGATTATGGAGCCTGAAAAGTCCCACAGTCCCATCTGCAGGCTGGAGGCCCAGGAGAGTGAGTCATGGAGTTTCAGTCCAAACCTGAAGGCCTGAGACCAGGGAACCAAGGGTGCAAGTCCTAATCTGAGTCTAAAGTCCCAAGAACCAGAGCAGCAAGGTCTGAGGGCAGGAGAAGATGGATCTCCAAGCTCAAGGGCAAAGAGTAAATTCACCTTTCTGCCTTTTGTTTGATTTGGGCCTCAAGGATTAGACAATGCCTACCCACATTGGTGAGGGTGACCCTCTTTACTGTCTCCTGATTCGAATCAGTGTTAATCTCTTTCAGAAACACCCTCACAGAAACATCCAGGAATATTTTACCAGCTCTCTGGGCATCCCTTAGCCCAGTCAAGTTGACACATAAAATTAACCATCCAGGCTAGGACAGTGGCTCATGCCTGTAATCCTAGCACTTTGGGAAGCCAAGGCAGGGTGATCACTTGAGCCCAGGAGTTCAAGACCAGCCTGGGCAATAGAGCAAAAAACCCAATCTCCACAAAAACTTAAAAAATTAGCTGGGCATGGTGGTGCATGCCTGTAGTCCCAGCTACTTGGGAGGCTGAGGTAGGAGGATGGCTTGAGCCCAGAAGGTCAGAGGCTGCAGCGAGCTGTGTTCGCACCACTGCACTCCAGCCTGGGAAACAGAACAAGACCCTGTCTCAAAGAAAAAAAAAAAGTAGCCACTCACAGTGGGTATAAAATGGTATCTCACTTCAGCTTGATTTGCATTTCACTGCAATTTAATTTGCATTCCCCCTCACTAGTGAGGCTGACTTTTTTTCTGTTTAGGCCCTTTCTACTTTCATTAACATTTAAATCAATGGCTCCTGACATAACAGGAAGAAATTAAAAGGCTTCCTATATGGCCATCTCTGATAGTTATGGCTCTACCTGTCAATCCAATTACACCAATGTTCTAAGTGCTTCTGTAGTGCCAGACCTTGTGCTAGAAGCTGTGGGGCACACAGAGGTAAAGAACCCTCATTATCTAGTGGTGGTGACAGAAACACACACTACACTCCATGCAGAGTAATTCAAAGAGCTCTAGAGACAATACAGAGTACCCTGGGAGTAGAGGTAGAGAACCAGCTGGAAGTTACGCAGAGCAGGTGACCTTTGAGGGAGGCTAGTAGTTATATGGGGACATAGAGCAGGTGTAGCCAGAACAGGCAAGGGAAAGCGCAGGCTAGAGCTGCAGATAACAGGTTCAGGGTCTGGCAGGGGACTGTGGGTCTAGTTACAGGCCTTGGGAAAACCTCAAAGGCTTGAGACAGGGAAGTTCAGGCAATAAGAGCCTGGCTCTAGTGGGAAGTAAACTGGCGGTGGAAAGTCCAGTTAGGAAAGTGTTAGAACATCTCAAGACAAGGTATTTATTAAGCGTGTAGACAGCATTGCTTGACGGCATGTGAAAATGTGAAGTCCCAGGAATTGATGCAGCAGACCTAAAAGCTTCCATTTGTCAGAGATGAATGGGAGGCTGCACTGCGAGGTAACTAAGAGGTAGCGCCTTTGAGGTCACAGACCCAACTCTGGCCTCAAAAACGTGATGCATTAACTGGCTGTGTAATCCTAAGAAAGTGACTTACACTTCTGAGCCTGTTTCTCCATCTATAAATGGGTACAAAAGCACCTTCTCTAATAGGATTGTTGTAAGGATCACATCAGCCAGGGTGTGTCAAGCACAGTGCCTGCACGTGTTGCAGTAAACACTCATTTAGCTGTTGTTATTACTAGCACCCTGCAACTACTTACCACAAAAACAAGTACAAACTGGGAAGGTTTTTGGTAAAGATTACATAAAAGAGGAGTTTCTGCTTAAAAAGTGATACCTAAGAAGATTAAGTGCATGTGAATGCATAATCTGAACATGGTAATCAACATTTCTGGAAACATTTATTGACCATCTATGTGCCTGATACTGCCAGAAGATGGGAAATGGCAATGAACTGATTAGTTCTTCTATACTTAAATCAGCATAGCATCATTGGAGCCTACTCAGCAGCTAGCTTTTCAACACAATATCAGAGATCTACTCAATACTCTTGCAAAGACTCCCAAGACCATCATTCAGTAAGAAGGCACACGTGGATATTATTAATGCCTTTTAATTTTAATGTTTCACATTGTTTTGTTTTTTTTCAGAAGATTTGTAACAAAAATACATGGAACTTAGTATATGTTTCAATAAAATGGGTAAATACAGAATCTGAACAAGACAAGTCTATAAGATATAATCCTTCTTGTGGGGATAGAACATTCCACTCCACTAAGAAAAGAGAATCACAACATGATTAGGCCTGATTATCTCATACCGCCTACTGTTCTAATTTCAGAGACTGGTGGACTTGGAGAAAAAAACAAATTAAAAATAAATAAATAAAACTGAATATGGTCAACTGCCTCAATTGCTCTCTCCTTTTCCCTTTTCCCATTTCTTTACACAGCCAAATGAGATGAGGACGTGAGGCAGAGCCCTGTGGGGGACGGTCAGGGGCTCTGCTGCCTAAATGCCAGGCAGATGCATGGGTTCCCTGAGGTGGCCCAGAAATGTATTTTGACCACTCAGTGCTGCAACTGAGAAATACAGGTAGAGTAGCAGGAATGAAAAAGAAGCTTCAAGAACTGCTGGCAGGAGGCCTGATGTCCACAAGCACGTGTTCAAAACTCAACCTACACAGTTAGAAAAGACAGCTGAGATAGAATCCTCAGCCAGTACATTGACAAACACATAACTGAGGCATTAATACCTCTTTATAATAATGCAAGTTGAAATGCTAACAAAGCATAAACACTTCTGCAAAAATTCCACAAGGCACAGTTGTTCATTCAACAGAAAAAGTCAAAACCACTTGGTTTTTAAATGAAAATCCTTCACATCCACCTGTGTTCAAAATATTAATAATAACTTATGATATTAATAACTTCCTTTAAAAAGCAATTACCACAAAACAGCTAAATCATAAGCATGAAAAGACTTATTTTCCTACTAATGTAGTCTTAGAAAGAAATAGATACCCAATGTCATTATTTTTTTTAGCATAAAGCTAAAGCTACCAGAAAAACTTTTAAACAAGTTACGTGTTTTCCATTGCAAATGATCTCAGCTTGCTTAGACCAGCACACAATAAACTAAAGACAGAAAGATATGTACTGTTTCTCCCCCATTTCTGGTGTATGTCTGCCTCCATGACAAATAATGGTGAGAATCATACTATACTACCAAATGCCAGGCAATGGCTGGCCAAGTAGCCATTTCCCTTCCTAAACAGACCTTAAAATAATAATCATCCATCATGTAGCACACAGGGGCAAATTTGGCTAGAGTTGATCGCAGATGTACTTGTTTTGGGAATATATGAGAGAAGAAACTGCTGAGCAGGTCAGTAAAGAACAGTCCATTTCAGCTGCAGGACAGTTCTCTTTCCCGGGACAAGCCTACATAGCCTCCAAGGGAGCCAAACTATCCCTTCCATGCAACAAGACACCTTGCATGGATACTCTAGCCATGACTTGCTTTTGGACAAAAATCAACTGCTAACGTTTTTCATCTCTAATATCATTAACACCATGGAGAAAAAAGAAAAAAATTCAACCCTAGAAAACTTGACAACGAGAATAAGAAAATCCACAAGGAAAGGTCATGCTAAAACTGATTTGACAGTTGTTCCATCACCGCCTACCACATGGGCTTGAGACTGGTGACTTCATGGATGCATCCCTTCGATGCCCTGCCAAATGTCAGCTTCAAGTCTGTCAGTGACCCCAGTGTGATGCTGCCTGCCTTCTATTCACCAACTCCTATCCAAGAGATCCAAGGGGGCCTTGGGCGGTGGTAAGCACAGGACACGCAGGTGCCAAGAGCCCAAGAACCCTCTAGAAAACTTCGCCTTGGATTTGGGCACGGAAACGAGCCAGTGGTTTGCAGTCTTGGCAACAGCATCCACACTGGGGCTTAACCTCAGCAGCCAGCCTGGAGGATGCTTGCCCCAGAGCGCTTGGTCACAGACAATGTTGTGAATACCTGCAGGGGAAGAGAAAGCACAACATCTTCAGATGCCTGAGCAAATGAGGTAACAGGGAACAGTTCAGATAATGCCATATGCATTAAAACCATCTTAGGCGACTACCAAAATGAATAAAACAGAGAAGTAGTATGATCAAGGATATCTTCTATTTCTCCAGAGAATAAAAGGGGGAAGACATTTTAAAACCAAGATGAAAGAGAAAAAAAATTTAGGTTATATCTACTGAAGAATTTTGTTAGCATGAGGATGATTAAAACAGATCAGGTACCCACAGGTGCTTGTCAACCCTCTAAAAGAAATTCACCATAAAATATTTTGGATATAAAGAAGGGTATAAAGTGCCCAGTTAGCCCTGTGTGTGCCACCCCATTGGCCTTTTCCTCCTTTCCCTCCACCGAGTTGGTCTTATCATTCCTAGGCATTTCTTCCTGCATTTCTCTTGTTTTTTTAAGAAGCTTTACCTGCAAATGGCAAGATGATGTAGATTCTTTTGTTACCCTGCTTTTTTGTATCCCATATGGATACAAATAGCTAATTCTTCCATTTTTTTCACTGAATGGAGTTCGAGTCAATCACTATAGTATAGAACAACACATACAGTGTAGTATATATGGTGTATATTGTAGTATTCAATTATTCGACTAGTGAATATGAATCACACATTTGGGCTCCTTCTGCTGGCCATCCAAGCTGTTGCCAATATGCTCTTTGCAATACGATGCTGTGACATTCCAGCACATCTCCTTGCACACAGAGCTGGAGTACAACTGCTGAGTCAGAGGGCAGGTGAAACTTTGGCTTGACTAGATTTTCAAGGTACCTGAACCAACCTATACTCTCATTTGCAGTGACTAACAAGTTCTCCTTGTTTCATATCCTTGCAAACATTTGATGGTTGTGGACTTGACAGTTTTAGACAATCTTTACTTGCTACTGCTCAAGATTGCCTGTACGTAAAAACAAAAATACTTGTGAATAAGGGGGAAAACAGTTTTGTGTAAGGGAGGAACAATACTGAGAAAAGTCTTTAGTCTGTTTTAGCCTCAGAGGGTGACAAAGCCTTTACTTCTCAAAAAAATCCAGACCAAATACTAATGGCCAGTATCTTAAAAAGTTTTAAAATACAAATGCATTAGAAAATATGGATAATTCATATCCAAAAAAAAAAATCATTATAAGAAGAAAGAGGCTCATCATTGTTAGCAAAGATATGCTAAAATCCTTGAAATCGTTATTTTATTATTATTTTTATTTTTGAGACAGTCTCACTCTGTCACCCAGGCTGGAGTGCAGCGGCACAATCTTGGCTCACTGCAACCTCTGCCTCCTAGGTTCAAGCGATTCTCCTGCCTCAGCCTCCCGAGTAGGTGGGATTACAGGCACCTGCCACCATGCTCGGATAATTTTTGGATTTTTAGTAGAGACAGGGTTTCACCACGTTGACCAGGCTTGTCTCAAACTCCTGACCTCAGGTGACCCACCTGCCTCGGCCTCCCAAAGTGCTTAGATTACAGGCATGAGCCACTGTGCCTGGCCAATAGTTATCCTTTTTATACTCATTATAGAAAAAACATTGACACTGAATTTTGCAACATTTTAATTAGCACTCTTATATGCAATGCTGGTGACATTATAAACTAGTACAACTTTTTTGGAAAGGCAATAAAATTCCTTTGTTTAAAAAAAATGTAGGAGTACAGATGAGGACGGGGAAACAATACATGATAATAAAAATAACTGTGTTAGAAAGGGGTATTAAGGGCAATTCAAACATGCTTTCTTTTCCATTTTTATAATGAGGAAAAAAATAAAGAGCCAAAGAATACATTTAAACAAATTCCAGGCTTATCAATTTGCAAGCCTGGGTTCTATTTCTCAGAAACTGATTTAGAAATAGAACTTGTAGGAGATGTGGATACAAAACTAAATCCACCAAAATGAGCTCTTATCTGTTTTTTCTCATATTGATGTTGTTCTTATGTTAAAAAGATGGAGGAAGCCAAACTGCCATCGTTGATCAGTCTAAATAAAAAACTGGCCAGGCACCGTGGCTCACGCCTGCAATCCCAGCACTTTGGGAAGCCAAGGCGGGAGGATTGCTTGAGCCCAGGAGTTTGAGACCAGCCTGGGCAACATAATGCGACCCTGTCTCAAATATATATATATATATTAGCTGGAAACAGTGGCATGTACCTGTGGTCCCAGCTACTCAGGAGACTGAGGCAGGAACATCGCTTGAGCTTGAAAGGTCAAGGCTGCAGTGAACTGAGATCACACCACTGCACTCCAGCCTGGGTGACAGGAACCCTATCTCAAATAAATGAAAAAAACTGCTTGGGTCAATTGACAGATTTCATTCGTACACAACTGTTTTAGAATTTTTATAAAAACATGTATTTTTAAAAAATGAGCAGAAGGGGCAGCCTCCATGCCCTTCCATCCCAACACACAGGACTCGTACAAGGGTCAGGAGCTGCTGGAGGCTTTCCACCTCACATACTCTTATCTGTCCCCACCACTTCCAGCCGCAGAAGGCTCCCTCACTTTAGAGTGGGATTATATTGACTATTAAATTAAAAACAAACAAAAAACACAAAAACTTTTAATATTTGGCACTAAAATTCATTTAAGACATTACAAGGAAGTATTTTCAAATGTTTTCCTCTTGAACTATTGTTTTTCTCCTCTACAAGTGAACTTCATAACTATGTGTAATCCGTTTCCTACTCAATGACTGCGGCTCAGGTGTTCAGAATAAATGACCACCAACCCCATCTCACACTGAATACGGCAAATGCATTGCTAATGCCCCAGGCGCTGAGAATCCCTCTCACACAGGACAAACAAGAGTAGCCTCTCCTCTTACAGCAATTCTAGAATTCTAGTAATTCCCTTTGGAAATTACTTTGCTAAGGAATTTGTCAACTTTTGTAAGTAATTACTCCTCAGAGTCAAAGACTGCTCTCAATTGCCCAGGATTTTTACCAAAGTGAGTCACTGTGCCAGCCTACCACAGCTGGCTCTGGAGCTGCAGCTATTTTTGAGCACTCAGTTTAAAGTAGTACTCAGGACTGGTTTAAAAATTATTATTATTTCTAATTCATCCACTGGACTAACACTTGTGAAATTCACTGACAATGTACTGGGGAAATGAAATTTTAAAAGGCATGTAAAATTAAAACACCATTGTTTATTACTAGATCAGTCACTGTCAAATTATTGTTAAAATTTCTAAACTTTCTTCTTCGTTTCTAGCCTTCTATCATTATGGACTAATAACAAACATTCTGTGGACCACTTCTGAACCGCATTCCCCACAGAATATCACATTCCCCACAGAATATGTCTGGACGATAAAAACAGTGGGTCCAGTAGCAAATCCAAATACTATCCAAGTCAGAACCCAGCATTTGGCAGAGAAAAGAGTTCCTCCTATGAACCCCTAAAAGACTTCCTTGGGATAAATGCCCAGTTAAGTAGTGGGATTGCTGGATCATATGGTAGCTCTATTTGCAGATTTTTGAGGAACCTCCATACTGTTGACCACAGTGGCTGTGCTAGCTTACTCACAGAAGTAAAAAGTAGAACAGAGATTACTAGAGGCTGGTAAGGGTTGGGAGAAGGAGATAGGGAGAGATTTGTTAAAGGATATAAAACTACAGCTAGATAGGAGGAATATGTTCTATAGCACCTTAGGATAACTACAGTTAAACAATAATGCATACTTTCAAATAGCTAGAAGGATATGGAATGTTCTCAACACAAAGAAATGGTCAATGTTTGAGATGATTGATAGGCTAATTACCCTAATCTGATCACTATAAACTCTGTGTTTCAAAACATCACTATGCACCCCATAAATATGTACAATTATTGTGTCAATTAAAAATAATTTTTTAAAATGTCCATAACCAGGAGTTTAAAGCCTTTGGTTTTTCAAAATCCAGTATCAACGCAAGTAGTTCACAACCAGGGTTTAAAAAAAAAAAAAATCACTGGAGCTTTTTCACAATATGTATCTCTCTCCAACCCCCATTAAAAATACTGGCATGATGACCTTTCAGTCCAGCCACATCGTCTCCCCTCCCAAGCCACAGCCACATCTATAATATCCTGGGGAAAAAACAGCTAACAGGTGCAGCTATTCGGCATCTATTAAATGCCAGGAACTCTCCTACACACTTTACAGGTTGCATTTTAATCAACCCTACAGTTAGATATTCCCTTATTTTATTTTACTTTTTTTTTTATTTGAGATAGAGTCTCGCTCCAGGCTGGAGTGCAGTGTCGTGATCTCGGCTCACTGAAACCTCCACCTCCCAGATTCAAGCAATTCTCATGCCTCAGCCTCCTGAGTAGCTGGGACTACAGGTATGCACCACCACATCAGGCCATTTTCGTATTTTTAGTAGAGACAAGGTTTTGCCATGTTGGCCAGGCTGGTCTTGAACTCCTGACCTCAGATGATCTGCCCACCTTGGCCTCCTAAAGTGCTGGGATTACAGGCGTGAGCCACTGAGCCAGGCCATTTTGTTTTATTTTTTTTTTTTGAGACAGGGTCTCACTGTCGCCCAGGCTGGAGTGCAGTGGCGTGATCTTGGCTCAGTACAACCTCTGCCTCCTGGGTTCAAGTGATTCTTGTGCCTCGGTCTCCAACATAGCTGGGATTACAGGCATACGCCACAATGCACAGTTATTTTTTTGTTATTTTTGGTAGAGATTGGGTTTTGCTATGTGGCCAGGCTGGTCTCAAACTCCGGGCTTCAAGTGATCCACTCGCCTCAGGCTCCCAAAGTGCTGGGATTATAGGAGTGAGCCACCACGCCTGGCCTCTTACTTTATTTAATGTGGAAACTAAGCTTCTGAAAACCTGGGTGGTATGGCCAGGTCTCACTAAGAGGAATTGGCTGAGTGAGATTACAACCCAGGTCTGTGTGTCTCCACTACATTCGTGTTGCTACCAAGAATCATTTCCATTTTTAAATTCTATGCCAAATATGGTAGGACAGTCTGTGGAGATGAAGTATCAGCTGCACAATGTGGTGCTTTGGGGTCTGGGCTGCCTGGGTTTGAATCCCAGCTCGGCCATGACCAGGCTGGGTTACCATGGGCAAGTTACTCAACCTCTTTGTCCTTGGTTTCCTCGTCTGTCAAATAGATATACTACCGCATCCACCGCATGGGGTGCTCACAACGACTAAGTTAGTCAACAGGCAGGGACACAGTACCCAGCACACAGCAGGCCCTCACACACATCAGTGGTTTCGTCCTCGCTGTCACCTCGAGTCTGCTCTTGCTATTACTTCCTGCTGCAGGACACAAACCTGAGTGGTCTTCAGCTCTCCCTCTTCCCATTCCCAGCCAGCTGCCAAGTACTATCAACTCTGCCCTCAAATATAACCGTGTCACTCCATTTCCACTGCCACACCTCCGGCCACTATCATCTCCTCTCATGCACCTCACCAGCCACATAACTGGATCTGCCACTTCACTTGCTCGCTCAGTCCCGCTTCCACGGTGCAGCTGGAGGAATGTTTCTGAACAATGTACCTGATCATATTACTCCCTGCTTTAGACCTTTTGGCTGAATCACAATGCCCCAAAGGCAGTCAAAATACCCTTCCTTAGTTTACAAGACCATCACTTACCCACCTGTTTCTCCAGCATATATATACAAAAAAATAAAAAATAAATATATATTTTTAACTCTCTAAGCTCTTTAAGCTATGCCAATATTGAGGGTCTTCTTCAGTTCCTTGAATGAGCCATCCGCTTTCCCACCCAGGCCTTTTGTACAGTGTTCTCTCACTAGCTAACACTCACACATTGTTCTAGTCTTAGGTAAGAACTCCCTCCAGAATCATCCTGCCCCAACATCCTACGATATTGTGAAATGAGAAGAAATATGTATTTGGTCTTCCATCCTGTCCCTGGTTCCTGGCAAGGGAGCTTCTAAAACCCTTGGAATTTCCCGAGTGACACTAGTGAGATGAGCATCTTTTGCTATTCATAATGAGCCCCTTTCAACCACACCTGAGCTTATGCTAATGATGTGACTCTTGGTGGGGCCCTAGATAGCTTCAAGATGGCAGCTGGTTGCCAGAGGAACCAACCATGTCATCAGAGGTAGAATTTTTAGCCCCAGTTCTGGTCCCCTACATCTGGGGAGGGAGCAGGAGATTGGGTAATTACCAATGGCCAATGATTAATCAATCATGCCTACATAATGGGACCTCTATAAACACCCCTAAATAAGGGGTTTGGAGAACTTCCAGGTTGGTGAATATCAAGGTGCTGGGAAGATGCCACACCTAGAGAGGACATGGAAGCTCTGTTGTCCCCCGCCTCCCCACAACCACCTTGCCCTGTGTATCTCTTCCATTTGGCTGTTCCTGAGTTGCAACCTTTATAATAAACAAGTAAATATAAGTAAAGTTTATTCCTGAGTTCTGTGAGCCATGCTAGCAATTTATCATGGGAACCCCTTGACTTTATAGCTGGTAGGTCAGAAGTACAGGAGGCCTGGGCTTGACACTGGCCTCTGCAGTGGAGGCAGTCTTATGGGAATGAGCCCTTGCAGGATCTGATGCTAACTCCAGGCAGCTGGTATCAGAATTGAGTTACATTAGAGGTCACCCAGCTGGTGTCTAGAAAGCTGGAGAATTGGTTGTTCTAGACAATTGGTTGTTTCTAGACACCCAGCTGGTGTCTAGAAAGCTGGAGAATTGGTCGTGTGAGCAAAACCCCCACAAATCTGGGGTCAGAAGTGCTCTGTGAGTAAAAAAACAGATCACAAGAATCCCTGAGGCAAAGACCACAAATGTGGCACCCCAGTGCCTCCAGCACTTTATATCTACCCTGATCCTAGGACCCGTCAGGCAGAATTGTTAACTGGCACATCACCTAGCTGCCTCCTCTCCTCCTAAGCTTATCTCAAATCCCTGCTGTGTCCCCAGTGTCCAGCACGGCACTGTGTACACAGCTTGAGAAGTGTGTTCACAGAGTGCGATTTCACCCAATTTTTTTTATCTTCTTAATCAGCCAACAGCTTGGGGAAAACAAAGTATCAGAGTCCTATCAAAGCACCAGAACATTCAGCCTCTGAGCTTCAACATCATAAGAGGACCAACAGATGGAGATGCACAGCCTCAAATGTGCCAGGCATACCAAGGAGAACAGGCCTTTGGCTGACCTCCCCACAGCCATGGGCTTCAGGAGACGTCCTGTGTCCTCACTGCATCCTTCTGCTCAGCTGGCAGTCACCCTGCCAGATGCTGCCATGTACGCTGCTGCTGGATCACAGCACAATAGCCTCCTGAGGGGGTCAGAGGCCAGCACACAGCAGTCTTTCAACAAGCCCACTGAGAGCTGAATTCAGACAAAAAATTAGACACTCATATACAAAAGACAATAAAATCGTCTTTTCCTTCGTCCCTATCAAAAATGGCTATTGAAGCTTGTGAGTATCTTGAAATGGCATCTACATTTTTAAATATACTCACTATTGTGGGTTGAATTGTGTCCCCATAACCCTAAAAGGCATGATCAAGTCGTAACCCCCAGTATTTGTGAATTTGGAAATAGGGTATTTGCAGATGTAATCAAGTGAAAATGAGATCATGTTGGATTAGAGTGGGCCCTAATCCAATGACTGGAGTTTCTTTATAAGAAAGAGGAGGGAAATTTGGACACAGACACACAAGGGATGAGGCCATGTGAAGAGGGGGGCAGAGATTAAAGTGATACATCTGCAAGCCAAGGAACGCCAAGGATTGCCATTGCTACTAGAAGACAGAAGAAGAGGCAAGGGAGGATTCTTCCCTAGTGCCTTTGGAGGGAGCTTGGCCCTGCTGACATCTTGAGTTTGGACTTTTTTGCCTCCAGAACTGAGAGGGAGGAAATATCTGCTATTTTTAAGCCACCCAGTTTGTGGTACTTTGTTACAATAGCCCTGGGAAACTAATGTACTCAAGAAAGCAAAGTTAATTGGCTCCTTCCCAACACAGGCAGTTTGAGTCATTACACTGAATAAAAGATCTATTGCACATTAAAGGCATTAATCAAGACTTCAGTTTTTATATTTTTTTGAAGCTTAATTCTATTTCCGTCACAAAAACAGCAGCTTTCTATAAATGAAAGAAATAAATGATGCCCTAATCTCTCAACATGTTAATATTTTAGGCTTATATCCCAGCCAGGTGCCTATTAATAGAGGAGGATTCTCGATCACAGAGAAGACAAAGCAAAAGAAAGCTAAAATGTTTTTCCAGGTCTTAAAGCTGACATTCCACATACTCAGCAATGAGTTCAGTTGTACAAAAGCAACCATGAACAGACAGAACAACCAGTCATGGAGCTGCTGGATGAAATCTGGCAACAATGTGCATATGTGTGTGTGTGCGTGTTTGCAAGTGCAATGTACACCTTGGAAGCCACTGGCTACAACAGATAATCACTGCAATTTTCAACTCCATATATAAGCTGGTATAGTATGACGTGCCTCCTCCCACACCTTCCCAAGTTCTCCAATATAAACACATTTTTGGCTTACCATTCCTATGCAGTTAAGTATTACAATATTCAACTCTTGGATGATCACTGGTAGCGAAGAAACACTGACACCCAGAGGCCTAGATTGGTCAATTTCTAGTTCTACTGTCATTTGATCTTTTGAAAGCATCATTTTCAAATCTCATTCACTGATACCATAAGCTGAAGAGGCAGACAGTATCAATTAGCCTCAAGATAGCTGTGGAATAACTAAGATTGAAGCTCTTCCATTATTAACTGATTGCCATGAAAATAATTTAGAAGATATGATAAATAAAATATTTAAGGCACAGCTCTATAAATCACTCTCATAATTTTTACCACTTAACGACATGACGGAAGCCTCCAGTTCATACCATGAGCAATCAGTATTGAAAGACAAAAACTAATTTTTAGAGACAAAGCCCTCTTTTGAGGAATCATCATCAAACTCAGGGTCCTACATCTGCCATGTATAAGCTGGGTGGTGTGCTTCTATGTGGCACATTTTAAACATTTTAAACTGTATAAGTGTAGATGACCCACCTCTGCACAGACAGGGTGGATTCCAATTGTGCTGTCCAGCTGCTTTTTGGTCAGTCCACATTTGAGCGCAGCTGCAAAGCCTTGTGTAACTTCTCCAGCATTTGGACCCAGTACGTGAAAGCCCACAACACGTTCCTAAGGCAAAAAAAAATACAATAATGCAATTAAGCTGATTTTTCTCCCCTCCTCTTCCTACACAGCTTAGAGCATTTCTCCAGTCTGTTTCTTAAAAATCCAACTCAAAAATGACCAGAGACTGGCCGGGCGCAGTGGCTCACGCCTGTAATCCCAGCACTTTGGGAGGCCGAGGCAGGTGGATCACGAGGTCAGGAGGTCGAGACCATCCTGGTTAACACGGTGAAACCCCGTCTCTACTAAAAATACAAAAAATTAGCCGGGCGTGGTGGCGGGTGCCTGTAGTTCCAGCTACTTGAGAGGCTGAGGCAGGAGAATGGCGTGAACCCAGGAGGCAGAGCTTGCAGTGAGCCGAGATCGTGCCACTGCACTCCAGCCTAGACGACAGAGCGAGACTCCATCTCAAAAAAAGAAAATGACCAGAGACTTTTTTTTTTTTTTGAGATGGAGTATTGCTCTTCTTGCCCAGGCTGGAGTGCAATGGCGCGATCTCCACTCACCGCAACCTCCGCCTCCTGGATTCAAGCGATTCTCTTGCCTCAGCCTCCCGAGTAGCTGGGACTACAGGCAGGCGCTACCATGCCCGGCTAATTTTTTTGTATTTTTAGTAGAGACGGGGTTTCGCCATGTTGGCCAGGCTGGTCTCGAATGCCTGATCTCAGGTGATCCACGCACCTCGGCCTCCCAAAGTGCTGGGATTACAGGTGTGAGCCACCGCACCTGGAAAAATGGCCAGAGACTTTAATGACTGCTGCTAACAGCTACTTAGGCTAAAGACTCCCCAACATGAACCAAAACATAGAGTATGATGTTCACTTCAAACAGGAACAAAGAGACAAGGGACAGCTACAAGTGTTTACTCAATTTTATGAGAAAAAATACAAAAGGCAAAGATGCCTACAAGTCTTTAATCACCAAAATGTTCTGGAAAATATTATCAAAGGGCAGGGTGTCCTCACGTCCTGTATTTGATCATCTCAGCTCCACAGAGGCTATCTGTAATAGCTGGGACCCTTAAGAGTAGTCATTCAAATTAAAATTTTGACTGGGCATCATAGCTCAAGCCTGTAATCCCAGCACTTTGGGAGGCTGAGGCAGGAGAATCACCTGAGGCCAGGCATTCAAGACCAGCCTGGCAACATAGGGAGACTCTGTCCCTACAGGAAAAAAAAAAAAAAAAAAAAATTAGCTGGGCACAGTGGCTCACATCTGTAGTCCCAGCTACTTGGGAGGCTGAGGTGGGAGGAATGCTTGAGCCCAGGAGGTCGAGGCTGCAGTGAGCTATGATCACACCACTGCACTCTATCCTGGGTGATAAAGTAAGACCCTGTCTCTAAAAAATAAAATACAAATAAAATTTTAAAAGTAATTTTAAATAAGGTTTTGAGGATAAATAGTGCAAGACCATTAAAGTCTGAAAACATTTTTGTTTTGTTTTGTTTTTAATAGACATGGGGTTTTGCCATGTTGTCTAGGCTGGTCCCGAACTTGTGAGCTTAAGCAGTTCACCCACCTCGGCCTCCCAAAGTGCTGGGATTACAGGCGTGAGCCACTGTGCCCAGCAAAGTCTGAAAACATTTTTGAAAGCAAAAGAAAAATGTCTGGCACTCTAAAATACCTGTGTAGAAATTATTTTGGATAAATTTGAAATCTCAAACTCTGGCTACCTCTGCCAAAAGCAGAGAAATCTGATGCACTCTACTGTTGAGCTGATAGATTTTCAGCGCAGACTCTGACTAGACTATCTAGTGCAATCTCGTCATAACAGATGAGGCAACTCAGGCTGTGGGGTGCAGAGCTTGTCTAAGGTTCCATCACTCCCTGGAAACAATCAGGAGGTTGTTCTGTTGACAAAAGGACTGTAATATATTGCATATGGTACTCTTACACATATTCGCCCTGACGATTCCGGGTTTATGGTATGAATAAAGCGTATCCATAGGAGGAACTACTAAAAAGCACTTAAAATAGATTTCCATGTAATAATGTGGAAAGGGTCTCAAAAAACAAGAGATTATTAAAAAGTTGCAGAGCTCTACATAATGAGGATGCCACCTGCAATTAAACCACGAACACTGTATAATGTGTATGCATTCATAAATAGGTGGCAAACATAAGAACGTAAGCATGAGACCCTTCGACTTCAAAGTTTTACCTTTTGAAGTGAAGGAAGACAGAAGACTGCATAGGCATAAGATAATAGTTAATAGCATGGTATCTACATTGTGTGAGAATAAATGTACAGATCTGCCCTTCCCTAGGTAAATGATTTGAGCACAGTTACTTAACTTCCATGTGCTTCAGTTTCCTCATCTATAAAAAGGGGGAAACAATAGCATATATACCTCACAGGACTGTGTAAGGATTAAATAAGTTAATACCTGTAGAGCTCTATAGTGCCTGGTACACAGTAAGTGCTCAATAAATATAAGCTGTTATAAACTGCATATATGATGGTTTATCTCTTATAAGAAAAAAGCCCTGAAACAAATACAGCAAAAATGTTAACATTCCTTGACTTTGGATGGTGAGTACCTTCTTCATCTTTATTATAAATATTTTATGTAAAAAAAAATAAAATAGCAGAGAACAAAAGCCAGCAGATAATAAACATTGTAAGTACAATTTAGAATCAAGGACATTTAGACACTGAAGTCAAGTGACTGATTCAAAATGAATAAAGCACGCCCCAGGGATAGTGAAGTTCTACAAGCTTTTACCTCAGATTACTCATGACAAAAGAGCAGTAACAGATATTCATCTTCTCTATTACTATCTTTATCTATGAAAATAACCGAAAACACTGTCACCCTACTTATGACCTCAACTACTGACAGGTTTATTGGTAGGAAAATTATTTTCCACATTATTCTAGCAATGCCATTTGAACAAATGTAACATTGAAAAAAGAGCAAAATACATATGGTTAAAATGGATTTGCTTGGTAGGAAGGAAACCTTCAAGGTTTCACTGACTGCTATGAGCAATTGAAGTCTCTCTCAGTGAGACAGGGGCAGTTAATATACTGCCAGTGAGAATGGCTGACATTTTCTCCTTTTGTCTGCAGTAAAAGTGATATCTAATGTATACTCATATAAATAAACTTTTGAGAAAATTTGCCTAAAAAGAAAAAGACAACTATATATACAATTGTTATTTATGTTAGCTGTGTAGCTCATTATGGGTTATCCTAGTATATTCATTTGAATCTTTTTTGCAGAGGATTCAAGAAAATGTTTTCTAAAACCCTTGGTTTTACCAAAAAACCAACCTGTAACTGTCCTACTGCCTAAAGCAGTAGTTTCCAAATAGGATACATGGCTTAATTATATTCAAATTTCAAGATTAAAACATTATCAGTTTACTAGGCTTTTAACATACAGATTCTTTAACATCATTTATATTTTTACTGAGGTCGTTTCTTTAAAAAGTGTTAGCTAAGTTAAAAAGATCAGTTTTCTTAAGAGTCAATATTAAAGAGAGTGTGTGTATATGAATATACCAGTGTCCCACAGTCAAAAAACTTTAAAAAATATGAATTATCCAATCCCTCATTTCATATATATGGAAAAAAACCCTGTGAGGTATAGAGTTTGCTCACAGGCTTTCACAGGTTTCTGCTAAAAAAGTACTGTAATAGGCCGGGCGCGGTGGCTCACACCTGTAATCCCAGCACTTTGGGAGACCAAGGCAGACGGATCACCTGAGGTCAGGAGTTCGAGACCAGCCTGGCCAACATGGTGAAACCCCGTCTCTACTAAAAATACAGAATAGCTGGGCATGGTGGTGGGTGCCTGTAATCCCAGCTACTTGGGAGGCTGAGGCAGGAAAATCACTTGAACCTGGGAGGCGAAGGTTGCAGTGAACCAAGATCACGCCACTGCACTCCAGCCTGGGCAACAGAGCAAGACTCCGTCTCAAAAAAAAAAAAAAAAAAAGGACTGTAATATATTGCATATTGTACTCTTATTCACCTGGACAGTTGGGGGTTTATGGTATGAATAAAGTATATCTGTGGGAGGACTACTAAAAAGCACTTAAAATACATTAGATTTACACGTAATAACACCAGACTAGCATTACATGTAGCATCAGGCAATGAAATCTTAGAACTCAATTAAGAGCTCTTTCTTAGTAGTGCCAGCTGCTGAGGATCAAACGTGCATTGCTCCTGTTCTTTTTTGTTATTCATTATATTTAGATAGTCGATGACTTTATTGTTCCTCTTCTATAAACACAAACATAGACAGTTCTCAAGTTGTGCCTTTGGTTCCTTCACTCAGTAAGTTTTGGCTGCCTGTTGACTAAGTGTAGGGCCCTGTGCCAGTGAAGATGAGGGGGCAGCAGGCAGTGCAGCCAAGGTCCTTGCCAGCTGCTGATATCTATCAGCTGAGACAACTGGCACGCGAAATACTGAAGGAATGCCATCTGCACCATGTGACCAACTAAGCTATATATTAAAAACTAAAGCCGGGTATGGTGGCTCACGCCTGTACATTCCAGCACCTTGGGAGGCCGAGACAGGCAGATTACGAGGTCAGGTGTTCAAGACCAGCCTGGCCAACATGGTGAAACCCCCGTCTACAAAAATTAGCCAGTGTGGTGGCGCAAGTCTGTAATCCCAGTTAGTTGGGAGGCTGAGGCAGGAGAATCACTTGAACCCGGGAGGCGGAGGTTGCAGTGAGCAGAGATAGCGCCACTGCACTCCAGCCTGGGCAACAGAGCAAGACTCCATCTAAAAAAAAAACAACAACAAAAAACAACAACTAAATAAAATTACTGGAAAGGATTGAGAATTAAACTTACATTGTCTTTAGTATTACAGATTATTTTTGCATAACATTTGTTGTTATCTCTTGACGGAATCGTCCATTCCAATGGCCAAAAGTAACTATGGTAAACCTAAGAAGATACAAAAGCAAAATTTAGACCCATTATTTTAAACATTAAGTCTGTCAAACATATATGGTGAAAGACAGTAGAGACTCTTTAATAAGTAGACTTTCATTAAATAATAAAATTCATGGAATAAATAGGAATCTGGTCAAAAGGTAAATGACTTTCAACTCCTTGCTGTCAGGCACTTTTGCTATAAGCTCATCCCTTAATTATGTATATCTCTACCTCAAAATAGTACACCCTAACTAATAACAAAAAAGAGCAAGGGAATGACAGAAATAAGCCATTTAATTACCTGCTGTCATACATTGAAAACACACACACACCCAAACTCAATACTATCTTGTTATCCACTGTGAATGACAACTTGGGCAAGAAACAAATAAGGTGCCAGGATCAATTAAGGTAATTATCTAGTTCTCTTGCTAAATGCTTCCAAAAGACATTTCCTCCTTTGGCATTATTCACTAAAAGCAATGAAGGAAGGAGATAGGGAAGGAAAGAAGGAAGGAGATAGGGAAGGAAAGGAGGAAGGAAGGGTGGAACGACAGCATCCTTACTAATTTAATTGCTGGTTGACTAAATGGATTTTTTTTTTCCTCCAGCTGCTAGCCTCAGTTCAAAACATGATTCGCTACCTTTTACGAGCAAACTGATTATGAAGACATAACAAGTGTTCTTCGATGTTGTGATAAATAATATAATTTTAAAAATAAACATGGGTTACAAAATTTAATGTACAGTATCATAGTATCACAATTATATAGGAAAAAAATTAAAGGAATCACCCCAAATTGCTAACAATTGCTGTTACAGCTCTAACTCCATAAGTAATTGTTTCCTCTTTCCCTTACATTTTTCAAAGTTTCTTCAACTCAAACACGTTATACTTCTATAATAACAAAGCAAATTTTAAAAAACTTAAATATTGTCTATCAAGAAATATGAAATATATATTAAAAATTTCAAATTTTAATTATATATGTATGTCATGTATATACACACTCACACAGGAAATCTATCTTCAAAAAATAAACTGAGAAACAATGAATTATGAAGATGTCAATTCTATTTATAATAATGAAAAACTGTAAACAACCTAATCAAAGAATGGCTTAACAAATTACAGTATAGCACCCCTTAAAAGAAGAATTACACATTTTTTTTAAATGGAGATTTTAGAGAATTAAAGACAGGAAATGTTCATGACATAACATTAATATTAAGCTTGGACCTAAAACTGTAACTTCATCAAACTTTGAAAAACATTAAGACATACATACTCACACAAAATCACACACACATATATATATACATAAAATATAAAAACGCATCAAAATATTTAGAGAAAAAGAAACTGGAAGGAAATACACAAAAATATTAATAGCAGTTATCTCTTCATGAATTAAAATTTCCTTTTTGATATTTTCCTAATTTTGAAACTTCCTATAATAAAGATATACTATTCTTTTTTTTTTTTTTTTTTTTTTGAGACGGAGTTTCTCTCTTGTTGCCCAGGCTGGAGTGCAATGGCGCAATCTTGGCTCACTGCAACCTCCGCCTCCCGGGTTCAAGCGATTCTCCTGCCTCAGCTTCCCAAGTAGCTGGGATTACAGGCATGCACCACCACTCCTGGCTAATTTCATATTTTTAGTAGAGATGGGGTTTCTCCACGTTGGTCAGGCTGGTCTCAAACTCCTGGCCTCAGGTGATCCACCCACCTCGGCCTCCCAAAGTGCTGAGATTACAGGCATGAGCCACCATGCCAGCCAGATATACTATTCTTATAATCAGAAAAAAAGGTTAATAATGTGTTACTAATAGACCAACATATTACATGCTACTACCAGTGCATGTAATAAAGAAAAAGATTATTAAGAGATTTAAAATAGGCTTTTTATTTTTAAAAATTGACTTATTCACAAATTTGGTCTTTCAAAAGGTTTTATTGGAAATTTTCCCTAAAATGATTTAAAACAGCAGTCCTTTTGGGTGGCATTATTTGTGTATACAGAAACAGTGTATTTCATGTGCATTTTCTTTGACTCCATGATAAAATGTGAGCAGAAAAGTTAGTACAAATTAGAGAGTAATGCTAGAAACAAGTAGTACTAATGGTAGGAGCAGTGAAAAATTTTTATTTTTTCTTTTCATTTTCCTATAATTAACCCAGAGAAATCAATAAATGTGATTTTAAAAAGTAAAAGGAAATACGATTGGGTCAACTGACAGAATTAGAAAATGAAAATTAAATCAGATAAAAATATTACACCAATACCAAATTTCCTGAAAGTGGTAACTACACTACGGCTATATAAGAAAATGCCCTCGTTCATAGAAATACACAATAAAGTATTTAGGGGTAAAGGAGAATTCAACTTACTCTCAAATGATTCACAGAAACACACACACACACACACAGAATGAGAGACTACTAAAAGTGTATAAAATAAATTGGCACAATGTTAGTAATATATGAATCTGGATAACGGGTATATGAAAATGCTTTGTACTATTTTTTAAGTCTTCTATATATTTTAAATTCTGAAGAAAAAAAAGTAGTGATATAACATAGGAGAAAAGAGGAAAAGAACTTACCTCAATATTTTCTTCCCCAAACTTCTCCACAGCTTTCTCCTCAGAAAGGCCACAAGCACCATATTCCAAAGGAGTAAATACAGTGGTTGGAACATTTTCATAGTCACACTGTTTAAAAATGGAGGTAAGGAGTTATAATAGGCAAAGTTATAACTTAAAAAAAAAGGTATTCAAAAAAGTCAAAATTGACAAAGGATATAAGAGTAATAAATTTCTACCAAAGTATGTGAAGTCTCAATCCGAGATATTAATTAATTAATCTACTACATTGAGAACCATTAACTTATTTGAAAAGTTTAGTGGATAGAAGTGTGAAGTCTGGTAAGACTATGAGAAAAAGATTCATGCAGCTTCTCCATCCATCAACCAACTGATGTTATCAACAATGACACACTTTTTTCCCCTTAATAAAGCAGCCAAAAATAATACTGGTGTACCCAAATCTGATAGTTTTGGATTATCAGTGATAAAAAATTAAAAGATTTCTTTAAAACATCAATTAGGTAATATTAACAGCCATAAAACATTTTATCCTTTTGGCCCAATAATCCCACCTTTAGAAATCTATAATAAGATTATAGATATTATAATTTAACATATAGATATATAGTACGATATATTACTATATTTTACTATAATATACAATACTAACATAGTAATAGTTTGATATACAGAAAAGGCTACATGTATTAACTGAACATTGCTGTAGTACTCAATAGTGGCAATGTTGGAATGGCTTAAAAATCCCAATTAGGGCCGGGCGCAGTGGCTCACACCTGTAATCCGAGCACTTTGGGAGGCTGAGGCTAGTGGATCACCTGAGGTCAGGAGTTCGAGACCAGCCTGGCTAACATGGTGAAACCCCATCTCTACTAAAAAATACAAAAATTAGCTGGGCGTGGTGGCAGGCGCCTGTAATCTCAGCTACTCGGGAGGCTGAGGCAGGAGAATCGCTTGAACCCGGGAGGCAGAGGTTGCAGTGAGCCAAGATCACGCCATTGCACTCCAGCCTGGGGGACAAGAGTGAGTCTTCGTCTCAAAAAAAAGTAAAAAAAAATCCCAATTAGGAAATGGTTCTATAGTTCACACCCTTAATGTAAAACTGCACTATGCAGCCATTAAAATGGTAAAGAAGACCATGGGGAAAAAAAGGTTAACTCTTAGGACTATTTTTCAAAGCATACTGTATGATGTTAACAGGTATAGATGACAAGGGGATTCCATAGTCAAATGAACTTGTAAAGAACTGGATTAAGCAAATAAATGAGTTCCTCTATCAGATTTCTCAGAACTTTTAATATGCTGTGAATTGTGAAAAAATATATTATGTAAATGCCAAGGGTTTATAATGCCATCTGGTAAAAGCCTAGCAGTTATACTTATACACAGAGGCGATCCAAAGTAACATTCTGCATTTAAAATAAGAGAAGTACAATTCTCACTCTCTAAAACAGGGAGATAAAATCTTTAAAATATGCTCCCCTCTAGAAACAATAAATATAATCCATTTTCTCTAAAAAAAAATACATAGAACCTTGGAATTCTAATTTAAAAGTAAAGGCAGACAACCACTTATACCACAGTGGTGTATCAGGGACCACATTTACCCTCCTGCTTTAAACAACTAGGAAACCAGACAGGGATGAAGCAACACATTTTAAGACATCGACCAAGAGGCAGTGCAAGCCTGTGATCCCTGCGGGAAGGGAAACAAATGAGATGAGTCCTGTGACTGCTCCAGCTTACTGCTCAGAGACAGTTTCTAAGCCTCAGTGCAGAGAGGGAGAGCTCAAACAGAGCCCAGGGTCTTTCCTGGAAGCCAAGGTGGTTTCAAGTTGCAAGGCAGAAAACCAGAAAGGATGGAATTGCACGCATAAAGAGAGTTCTTGAGGTCTGTAGAGGTCTTCCTAGATTACGGCTGAGACAGAGAAGAGTATGTCCAACAGAAACAAAAAGATCCATGAATTTATTTTATTTATTTATTTTTTTTTTTGGAGACAGGGTCTTACTCTGATGCCCAGGCTGGACTGCAGTGTGTGATCACAGCTCACTGCAGCCTTCACCTCCCAAGTTCGGGTGATTCTTCCACCTCAGCGCTCTGTGTAGCTGGGACTAGAGGCACGCACCACCTCACCGATCTCATTTTTTGTATATTTTGTAGAGATAGGGTTTCACCATGTTGCCCAGGCTGGTTTCGAATTCCTGGGCAAGTGATCCTCCTGCCTCAGCCTCCCAATGTGCTGGGTTACAGGTGTGAGCCACTGTGCCCAGCTGTACCCCTTACTTTAAAGTACAACTCCATTCAATGTTTTAGCCTTTTTTTTTTAAGGAAACCACTGAGACATGAATTTAAGAATAAATTAAGTGCATCCAATCTCAAGCTATATTGAGGTACCAGATACTCAACAACTGCAACAATGCATACAAGATGTAATTCAAAGAGGTAGTCTTGTTAAATTTATTCTAAATAGTAATACGAACCAACTGCTATTCCCTCAATAATCAGTCAATCTGGCATTCAAAATCTTTTTTAACCCTCAATCCATTAATTCAAAATATGAGATTTTATTATGCTACATCCCAAATAACCCCAGGTCACAAATTTTGCTAGCATCACTTTTTGAGATTCCCATTACTGTAACCAACTGAAACCAATGTAAGGAAAATGGGTAATGCCAAAATTCTTTACAACTAATGTTTCTGGAAACCTTTTTAAAAAACAGCTGTCTTTATTCTTTTCTGGCCATCTAGTCCCATGAAACATACTGAAGAGTTTTAACATCCTATACTGACTTTTAAAAAATCATTTTAAAATTCAATATAACATTTAACATATTCAACATCCTAAAACAGATATTTTCCTTTTTTTTTTTTTTTTTTTTTGAGGCAGAGTCTCACTCTGTCACCCAGGCTGGAGTGCAGTGGTGCAATCTCGGCTCACGGCAAGCTCCGCCTCCCGGGTTCAGGCCATTCTCCTGCCTCAGCCTCCAGAGTAGGTGGGACTACAGGCGCCCGCCACCACCACGGCCGGCTAATTTTTTGTATTTTTAGTAGACACAGGGTTTCACCATGTTAGCCAGAATGGTCTCAATCTCCTGACCTCGTGATCTGCCTGCATCAGCCTCCCAAAGTGCTGGGATTACAGGCATGAGCCAACGCACCTGGCCTCTAAGACAGATATTTTCTAAGGACTGGGTAATAAGGCCTGAATAGTGGTTTAAGCTACTTTGTACACTGACACCATTACCTAAATCCTCAAGTCCTTTTATAGCCTAGATAAGTGCCATAAAAAGACTCAGAACATTTTATTTATACTGGTAATGATGAAATTGACATAAAATACAACTGTTTAGAGTATATGGATATAAAGTACACTATTCAACAACAGTGCTGAAAACTTGATTAATCAAGCTCTTTTTATTCATAATGTGAATCCAAGATGTCAATTTTCTTTTTTTTTTTTTTAATTTTTTTTTTTAGATGGAGTCTCGCTCTGTAGCCATGGCAGGAGTAGAGTGGCACAATCTTGGCTCACTGCAACCTCTGCCTCCCAGTTCCCCGTTCAAGCAATTCTCCTGCCTCAGCCTCCTGAGTAGCTGGGATTACAGGCATGCGCCACCATGCCCAGCTAATTTTTGTATTTTTAGTAGAGATGGGGTTTCGCCATGTTGGCCAGGCTGGTCTTGAACTCCTGACCTGGTGATCTGCCTGCCTCAGCCTCCCAAAGTATTGGGATTACAGGCATGAGCCACTGTGCCCGGCGGAGTGTCGATCTTCATAATAAAGTCACAATGTACAGCAGCCTTAATAATATCTTGTCTGGAATACAACTAATAAAGGACATCTAGGATGCCATCACCAAAATAACTAAATTATTCAAGATCTGCGAAACTTCCCAACTGCCCCCTAAATAAGGAACTGGGAGTATTACTGACAACAGTATCTAATGGGCAACAAGCACAACACTCACCTTGACAGTGGAACCTGCATAGAGCCTCTGAGCCAGCAATCTTCCTGCCTGGATTGCAACTGGGGTGAGCTCCACCTTATCCTCCAATATATCGCCAATGGCATAGATGTAAGGCACATTGGTCTGTTCTTCATCTGTGACAGGTATTTTTCCAGTCCTGCAATTTTATTCAGTTAAAAATCATCATTAATTACCATTATTAATTAAGGAGAACAAAATCTTCCGTTTTTTCAGGGAAGCCCAAAATTGTGACTCTAGCTGAGGGCAATGTTCTAATGTGTTAAAAATAAAACAAAACAGCTCAAAGGAACAAAAATCTTATCAGATAATGACAATTCTGTCCACGGTTCTGAAAATCAAAGAAATAAGAAAACTCTAAGAAATCTGAGAATGGAAGAACTCCAACACAGTGGTTAAGAGTGAGGATTCTAAATTATAACTCCCCTCAAAATGGATAAAAGAAAACAAACAGGAAACACTAATGTGAATGGCACTGGAAGAAAAGTTTCATTTCTTCATAGTTGAAGAGCTCAACTATGGTAAAAATTAGGTTTAAAAAATCTAAAATTCGGCCAGGCACAGTGGCTCACACCTGTAATCCCAACACTTTGGGAGGCTGATGTGGGTAGATCACTAGAGGCCAAAAGATGGAGACCAGCCTGGCCAGCATGATTATAGGTGTGATGGCAGGCGCCTGTAATCCAGCTACCAGGGAGGCTGAGGCACAAGAATCACTTGAACACAGGAAGCAGAGGTGGCAGTGACATGAGATTGCACTACTGCACTCCAGCCTGGGTGACAGAGCGAGACTCTGTCTCAAAAAAACAAACATACCAACAAAAAACTAAAATTCTATAATTGACCAATGCTGTAAATAACTGAAATAGTATTAAATATGACATAATGGGCCAGGCACAGTGGCTCACACATGTAATCCCAGCACTTTGGGAGGCCAAGGCAGGTGGATCACCTGAGGTCAGGAGTTCGACACCAGCCTGACCAACATGGCGAAACCCCATCTCTACTAAAAATACAAAAATTAGCCAGGTGTGGTGGTGCATGCCTGTAATCCCAGCTACATGGGAGGCTGAGGCAGGAGAATGGCTTGATCCCAGGGGACGGAGGTTGCAGTGAGCCGAGATCGTGCCATTGTACTCCAGCCTGGGAGACAAGAGAGAAACTCCATCTCAAAAAAAAAAAAAAAAAAAAAATCCCACAAATATGACATAATAAAGATTTTTTTCTTACTTTTCATTTATCTTCACCCCTACGGTTTCTAAGCCAATTTTTCTTGTGCAAGCATCTCTTCCTATTGCCAGCATCACCTGAAAAATTATTAATATATTAGTGACTAATAACAAAAAGGCTTTGCATTTATTACCTAATCATATTTTTCTCTGCTTATTAAGCTAATCTGATTTCATTTTTCAAACTTGGAAATAAATATTTCAGTAAGAAAGTAATGCAAGAGTTTAAATAAATTAAAATCTTCAGAAAAAAATCCTTTGAACATATATGATATAGTAGAAATTATTTTCCACTTCTGATTAGGAAAAAGAGAATTCATAATGCCTTAATAAACCTATCCAAGTTTAAAGACAATGACATCATAGTCTGTAACTAAATTATTTTTTAAGTGGTTGCGTGGGGAGATGAAAGGAAAGAACACGGGACAGAAATTCTGGCTCATTTAAAAATTCTGTTGCCTTTGTATAGCCATTTGACTAATAATACTTTAAGTTACAGTGGAAAAAATCTGAAGCCATCCGTTTACCAAAACAACTTTTTTTTTTTTTTTTTGAGATGGAGTCTCGCTCTGTCACCCAGGCTGGAGTGCAGTGGCACAATCTCGGCTCACTGCAACCTAGGTCTCCTGGGTTCAAGCGATTCTCCTGCCTCAACGTCCCGAATAGCTGGGACTACAGGCGCACGCCACCACGCCCGGCTAATTTTTGTATTTTTAGTAGAGTCGGGGTTTCACCACGTTGGCCAGGATGGTCCCGATCCCTTGACCTCGTGATCTGCCCGCCTTGGCCTCCCAAAGTGCTGGGATTACAGGCGTGAGCTAACACACCTGGCCACCAAAACAAATTTTAATATCATAAGTTATTGAGATGTCTAAGAATTGGCATAGAACCAGTACATTTGGAAATCACTAAGAGCCATTTTAAGTTCCTATAAGATACCCAATAAGCATGTTATTTGCTTTCTGATAAAGTATTAACCTGGGCCCATTCCTTACCGTATTATATTCTCCTTCAATGATTTCCTCACTATTGGTGGACTGAGCTACTACTCTGAGTCGGCCTGGTGTCCCTGCTTCAATTTGTTCAACCTGTAAGAGTGATAAAGTTTTACTGTGAAATAAAGACATTTATCAAGTTGGATTCTCTACCTTCCCCTTCCATCTGGTTAACCCAAAGTTAAAATATAAAATCGTGCTTGAAAAGTCTTTTATGTCCCATCTCCCTCACTTAACATTATTAGGATGATAAATGATTATTTCCTTCTTTTTCGCTGCTCAATGTTGTCTGCTAGAGGGGCTTTCTTTGAAAGAGTTCTCAAACAATAAAATTCAGAGAAAAATGGGGGGGAAAAGCAAGCTACAGAAAGCACACTACCATCCCTAAAATCAAACCAATGACTTACTGCTTTTCCCAGGTTTCTATCTTGTGATTCACCCAGAATCATTAATCCCATGGAGGGCAACTGTTGCCCAAATTCAGAGATTCTCTTTTGACTACAGATGCTCAGCTTTCATTGACAACAAAGGATAGATTACATTACAGCAGGTCCATAGTGATATGGGTAACAGTTACAAAGTCTTAAAAATCGGAGTGGGCAAGGAGATGTGGGTGTTTATCAGAACCAGGGGGTGTTTTCAGTTGTTAAGGATGCAGAAAGAAATGAGCAAGCCCTGATACTTGAGTGATGGCAGAGGAGAATAAATATACCAACCTACTACAAATAGATGTCAACAACAACCTACAGACTAGGTATAATGACTTAGAAACCCACCTGGGGTCGGGTGCGGTGGCTCACGCCTGTAATCCCAGCACTTTGGGAGGCCGAGGCGGGAGGATCATGAGGTCAGGAGATCGAGACCAGCCTGACCAACATAGTGAAACCCCGTCTCTACTAAAAATACAAAAATTAGCCGGGCGTGGTGGCGGGCGCCTGTAGTCCCAGCTACTTGGGAGGCTGAGGCAGAAGAATGGCGTGAACCCGGGAGGCGGAGCTTGCAGTGAGCCAAGATCACGCCACTGCACTCCAACCTAGGTGACAGAGCAAGACTCCATCTCAAAAAAAAAAAAAAAACGAAACCCACCTGGGAAACTATCCAGGGTTATTTTATTTGACATCAATAAATAATAAAAATTTCCTTCCTGAATTCCCTTTCCTTCTTATATAGTTAAATGAGCCTCTCTGAACATACTGGAGAAGTCTTTCTTGTTTAATTTTAATCAAAATGTTCTAATCCTTGGAAAAGAGCTTAATTGGTCCATTGCTTAAGATTTGTTTGGAAATGATAAGGGCCTCATCCCACCTCCACCCTTATTCACTTTTGTACTTCAATCAGGCCTTTTTGGTATCTAGAACAATATTTCTCCCCACAGAGCCTTTGTACACATACTACATTCTCTGTCCAAAATGTACCCTCTCCCCACTCTCCACAGAAGGTTCCTTCCATTCGGTCACTTTATAATACAGCAAGAGTTTAATACCCAGCTGTGGGAATCAGATACTCTGGTAACCCTATTTTACTAGGAATAGTCCACCAGGTTTTCAAAAGGGTCCACAACTCCCCAAATGTTAAAAAATTGTATATAGGTCCCCGTCCGGGAGGGAGGTGGGGGGGGGTCAGCCCCCCCGCCCGGCCAGCCGCCCCGTCCGGGAGGTGAGGGGCGCCTCTGCCCGGCCGCCCCTACTGGGAAGTGAGGAGCCCCTCTGCCCGGCCAGCCGCCCCGTCCGGGAGGGAGGTGGGGGTGTCAGCCCCCCGCCCGGCCAGCCGCCCCGTCCGGGAGGGAGGTGGGGGGGTCAGCCCCCCTGCCCGGCCAGCCGCCCCGTCTGGGAGGGAGGTGGGGGTGTCAGCCCCCCGCCCGGCCAGCCGCCCCGTCCGGGAGGGAGGTGGGGGTGTCAGCCCCCCGCCCGGCCAGCCGCCCCGTCCGGGAGGTGAGGGGCGCCTCTGCCCGGCCGCCCCTACTGGGAAGTGAGGAGCCCCTCTGCCCGGCCAGCCGCCCCGTCCGGGAGGGAGGTGGGGGGTCAGCCCCCCGCCCGGCCAGCCGCCCCGGCCGCCCCTACTGGGAAGTGAGGAGCCCCTCTGCCCGGCCACCACCCCTTCTGGGAGGTGTGCCCAACAGCTCATTGAGAACGGGCCAGGATGACAATGGCGGCTTTGTGGAATAGAAAGGCGGGAAAGGTGGGGAAAAGATTGAGAAATCGGATGGTTGCCGTGTCTGTGTAGAAAGAAGTAGACATGGGAGACTTTTCATTTTGTTCTGCACTAAGAAAAATTCCTCTGCCTTGGGATCCTGTTGATCTGTGACCTTACCCCCAACCCTGTGCTCTCTGAAACATGTGCTGTGTCCACTCAGGGTTAAATGGATTAAGGGCAGTGCAAGATGTGCTTTGTTAAACAGATGCTTGAAGGCAGCATGCTCGTTAAGAGTCATCACCACTCCCTAATCTCAAGTAATCAGGGACACAAACACCGCGGAAGGCCGCAGGGTCCTCTGCCTAGGAAAACCAGAGACCTTTGTTCACTTGTTTATCTGCTGACCTTCCCTCCACTATTGTCCCATGACCCTGCCAAATCCCCCTCTGTGAGAAACACCCAAGAATTATCAATAAAAAAATAAATTAAAAAAAAAAAATTGTATATAGGAAGATGTTACTTTCTATCAGTACAGCATATACATACAACTGTTGTTTATGAATCATAGCTCTAATGCAAATATAGCATATATACCTCTACTCTAAAAAACAGCTACAGGCCAGGCGCAGTGGCTCAGGCCTGTAATCTCAGCACTTTGGGACACTGCACTGGGAGGACCACTTGAGGTCAGGAGTTCAAGACCAGCCTGGCCAACATGGTGAAAGCCCTCTCTACTGAAAATATAAAAATTAGCCGGGTGTGGTGGCACGCACCTGTGGCCCCAGTTACTCAGGAGGCTGAGGCACCAGAATCGCTTGAACTTGGGAGGCAGAGGTTGCAGTCAGCTGAGATTGGGCTACTGCACTCCAGCCTGGGTGACAAAGCAAAACTCCGTCTCAAAAAAAAAAAAAAAAAAAAAAAAGGTAAAAATAAAAAACAGCTACAGTAATCAAGCACTGACAGCTTCCAGGAAATTTGTGCCTTAATCTTCATAACAATATTATGAGATGATTCACTTTAAACTTACTCTCTACCAGGTACTTTTCTAATTACTTTATAAGTGTTGGCTAATGCAATCCTCACAAGAATTGTTAGATGCTATTTTCAACCTCATTTTACAGAAGAAACGGGTTCAGAGAGGTAACTCTTCCAAAGTCATAGAGCAAGAAACTGGCAGAATATTATCTGAATTCAGGTCATTCTGATCCCAAAGTTCATATTCTTATCTATCAGCATTAGGAGATCCATAGTCACATACACAACTCAAGTCAACCCACTGAGAGATGAAAAAAAAAAAAAAGACAACTATAATTCCTTAACTTTAACAAAATAGTCCCACCATTTTCCCTGCACTAGAGAAAATTATCTATTAGTCTGAGACACACACTAAGTGTTCAATTTTGTCACTCATATATGAAAACATTTGTGATAATGGTAACAAATCCCAGGTGTGACTTGGCATAGTATTAGCTCCTTTCAAAAGATTAAAAGAGCGAAAAAGGTTAGCACACATAAATAAATGAGATAATCACTTTCAGGGATGCCAGAAGTATGTAGTGTTTATGTAGTGTTTATGTTATCATATACCAAGGGGAAATGTCCTGTGGGGAGCCAGGGAGTGCAGGTGGGGCCTAGTGTTGAACTCTTATTTAAATCTCTGGTACATATGAAGAAACAAAGTATTAAGAGACCAAAGATGACAAAGGAATGCATAAAGGAAAGCATTAAACAGAAGAGAAGAAAACCAAAATTTAGAAAGTTGACAAAGGAAGAGATTATTAATCTACAAATAAGAACAAAGCTATATAGGTGTTTAGATGGTAGGGAGGTACAAGTTTATATACCAGTATACAACAGTAGGGGAATCAGCATTCCTGATGGTTTATAATGCTGAAAGGATGCTTCTACCACCAACTCAACTCTCTTTTTGCCTTTTACTGTGAATGTAGAATCAAGAAACCTACAGGCAAACCCACTTACTTTAATTGGTACGAACTGTCTTATAAACTTGATGCCATGTTCTTCCATGTGTTCACCAATTTTGTTGGCCATGTCCTGGTCAAATCCTCTAAGAAGAATGGACCTAACCATAACAGTGACGTCTAAACCAATACCAGCAAGAAATCCAGCGCACTCCAAAGCGACATAGGATGCTCCAACAACCAGGGTCTTACCCGGGCAGTAAGGCAAGGAGAAAAGATCATCACTGGGGGAAAAAAAAAAAAAAGGAAGAAAGAAGAAAAAGAAAGTTCCTATATAAATAATTACTAAATCCAAGTACACATTTTTACTTTGACAAGAACATACTTTCAAGATGATAAACATTCTACTAGCTACACACATAATACATGAGAAGTTTTTATAATTCTTAGATACCCTTTCTTGCCACTCAGTTGCTTTGGGAGTAGCTCAAGCTACCCATAGCTAAACACAGCAAACTGTGTAACTTCTGATATTAGTCAGTTAGTCCAATTCATCTTCACACTAAATGATTTTGAACTGTTTGGAACAAATTATAGATTTGCAAACCCTAACCTCCATCCTCATGCCACCACTCAGCTCTGAGGTGGAAAAACCTGTGTTGCTTGTCCTCAGCTGAAACACCAATTATTATCAAGAATGTGGACTAGGATGCAGAAAAAAAAAAAAACTTTCAATATCTTATAATATAAAAGCCAACTATAAGGAGTAGAACCTGACAAAAGTCTTCTAGTTGAGCTAGGGACACAGAGATCATAAAAGCATGTTAGAGAATGAGTTTTTAAAAAATATTGGAAGGGAGCCTGCTATTGTCTGAATGTTTATGTATCCCCAAAATGCACACATTAACATCCTAAACCCCAAGGCAATGATATTAGGGGTTGGGCTTTTGGGAGGTGATTAGGCCATGAGGGCAGAGCACTCATGAATGGGGCTACTGTCCTCATAAAAAAGGCCCCAGAGACCTGCCTCTCCCTCTCCCACCATGTGAGAAAGGATAAAAGCATATACCAAAAAGAGCCTGAAGGAGTAGAGTAATTTATAACACAATCAGAAACTCCTGAGCAAAAAGCATCCAAGAAGACACATTTACCAACACTCTGTCTTAATGACTTCATAATTGAAAGCTCCTGAACAATGTCAGCAGTGTTACCATTTGACGGGCAAAAATAAACCACACAGCAAAACATCTCCTTGCTTGACTTGTTTCAGGAGGTCCTTCTACACTGACACTGCAACCATTCAAACAGCATTGAGTAGGGTCTAGATTCTGATAAATCTAAATGGCCTGACAGCCTCTAATTCTTTTAGCAGCCACTCTGCAAGTGTTAAAGGGTAATACATGATCCTCATTTTACAAAATCTAAATGTATATATGTATCATACCTATTTTACAAAATGTTTGTGAATATCCATTTGGTTTTATTACATACTTTCATACTCATACATGCATAAATAAATTTCGAATACAAATGTAAATCTATACTAGTATGTTAGTGATACTCTGTGTAGCAAGATGACCAATGTTTGAAGTTTTCAATATTTAAAATGTTCTCCTTTAAAATCATTTTTCCTTTTTCTCTTTCTCCCAAACCCCTGCCCCCAGAGAGGGCACAATGTGGCAAAGAAATCTGTCTGAAGCCCAAGAAATTGACGCAGTGGGTTTGAAGAAAAATGCGAAAGCAATATCCACAATGGGTTTTTCTTTTCCACCCTGCTTTTTTCCTTTACCTGCTGATGCAGTATTCTTTGTCACCAGGGATGCCCAAGTAACGTGGTCTTTCACCAGTGGCAATGAGAAATCTCTCTGCTGAATAAATTTTTTCTTTGCCTTTATTATTTGTTGCCTACAAAGGAACCAATATGAAAACCTTATTAAGTAATCATTCCTCAGAATTGTAAACTTCATAGTTAACAAAGGCCATTCACTACATTGTCTCATTTCATCCTCATAATGAGGACAATAATATAGTAAAAAGGATAAATTAAGACTGAGTAGTTAACAGACTTACTCAAAGTCACAATGTTAGTAAGTGCTGGAGCCAAGCCTCAAAACCAGGCGGTCTGGTCCAGCATACTTACACTTTACCATACCTCCACACAAGGCCCCATAGGATGATATGATAGCAAAATCACCAAACTGGATAGTCTGGGTCACAGTGGCTATTACTTTTATTATAATACTTTAACATTTTCTAACCAAAGCTTTTAAAAAGAGAAAAAAGAAAAAAAAAAAGCTAGTCAGGATGTCACACAATTACCTTAATCCTGTGAGGACCAATAAATTGCCCATAAGCATTCTCATAGACGACTTTTTTCTCCCGCAGAGCTACTCGGTAGCCCCAATTCAAAGAGCCAATGTGATTCTGTACAGCTTCTATCATTCTGTCCCAATCATGCTTAACTGTATAAGAAAATAAAACAAAATCTTGTTTGGCTTTTCAACTGCTGGCAAAGATCATTTCTCAATAACCACTCAAGTGAAATACAGGGAGCAGAGCTCTAAAAGGCAATCTGAAAGGGCAAATCCTCCATTTTGAGCACATATGCCACTTTTTCATCTTCAAGTATTCTCTTATAAGACTAATACAATTAAATAATACAAGACAGATCCCCTGACAATTTTAAACTAAAATAACAATACACAAACTTTTTCCTTCTTTATCTAGAAACGAACTTGAATTTTACTGATTTCTGGGATATATTAAGGCTTAGGATTCTGTGTTTGTAAGAAAATCCAAGAGATTCTGATGTAGCCGAGTATGGAGTTACTACACTAGTAACAGTGTTTATGTCAGGGGCTGGCAAACTGCACCATGGGCCAATCCAGCCCATCAGCTTTTTGTAAATAAAGCTTTATTAAAATACAGCCATGCTTATTTATTTCGATATTTTCTAGTGCTACTTTCACACTACATAAGCAGAGTTAAGTAGCTACTAGAGACCCTATGCCCCAAGAATCCTAAAATATTTACCATATGGCCTTTTACGGAAAAAATTCACTGACTATTCATTTAGACAGGATTTTAAGAGTCTTATCACATTTCCTCCAAACTCCCATATCTTATCAAAGAGAAAACTTTTTTATTCTTTTTGATTCTGTCATAATTAAATTAATCCTTTAAGTCAGGACACTAAAGTAATATTAAATTTCAAAGGATAAAAATCAACCCTTTGGTTGCCCAGACTGCCCAGACTGGAATGCAGTGGCTCAATCTGGGCTCACTGCAACCTCCGTACCCCTCAACCCAGGGTTCAAGCTATTCTCGTGCCTCAGCCTCAAGAGTAGCTGGGACTACAAGTGTGGGCCATCATGCCCAGCTAATTGTTTATATTTTTAGTAGAGACGCAGTTTTGCCATGTTGGCCAGGCTGGTCTCAAACTCCCGACCTCAAGTGCTCTGCCGACTTCAGCCTCCCAAAGTGCTGGGATTACAGGCATGAGTCATTGCACCCAGCCTCAATAATCTCTTCTTTAGAGACAGGGTCTCACTCTGTTGCCCAGGCTGGAGTGCAGTGGTGCAATCAATCACAGCTCACTGCAGCCTTGAACTCCTGGGCTCAAATTATCCCCCTGCTTCAGCCTCCTGAGAAGCTGGGACTATAGGAGAGGGCTTCCAGGCCCGACTAATTATTCTTTGTAGAGACAGGCTCTTGCTTTGTTGTCCAAGGTAGTCTCGAACTTCTGGTCTCAAACTGATCCTTTCCCCTTGGCCTCCTAAACTGTTGGGATTACAGGCATGATCCTGGCTGGCTATACAGTAAGTTTTGAAAATAGGCTTATAACACTTACTGGCCAGCCTCTGGAAGTGGGAATGACAGCACAAAAAATTGATTTATAGCCTCTAAGAGAACAGATAGATCATGGATATTGAATTCATATGATCATAATGTTAGAATTAGAGCAAACCTTAAGAAATTGGTTCAACTGAAAAAAAAAAAAAAAAAAAAAGTAACTGCAGATGCCACTGCGGTTATGGTTCTAGAGGACCAGGTAGCTTGTGGGTAGGGAAGGCTGCAGGAAGCTTGGACTAACCTCCCTGCCTGGCCTCTGTCTACCACCACTACAAAAGGCTCAGGACTTGCTGTTTCTCTGCTAGGAGTGGAATAGAATAGTATATAGCTCACCCACATGTGCTAATCATCTAAGCTGCAGTAATTATCAATGTTTTACAAAATTTCCTCCTATATCCCTCTCTCTCTTAAGGGTCTGAGCAAACAATGTGACCCCAACATTATAAAACTTTAAAAGTTAGTGATTTTCTAAGATTCCAGACTTGGAAAAGGTACTATTATTTTAAGTAGGAAGTAAAAGCATCAACAAGAGAAGCATAACTAGTTTGAGTGAGAGCAAAATTTTTCCAAGTATACATTTATGCCTTATCTTTACATTTAATAAACAATTAAAACCCCAAAAAAGCCACAAAATGTTTATCCTGGCTACTGGCTGGAATATTTTCCCTCAAATGCTCCATAATGCATAGGTCTCAAACCTCAAATCACATAGGGGTTGGAGTTTCACTCTTCACAACAGAGTGACATATGTCATAAATTAGCCAGGAAGCTATGCCAGATCTCATTTTATTCTTCTACTAAATAATGCAATCTACTTTCTAAAATTAACAATTCCACCAGGCACGGTGGCTCACACCTGTAATCCCAGCACTTTGGGAGGCTGAGGCAGGTGGATCATGAGGTCAGGAGATCGAGACCATCCTGGCTAACATGGTAAAACCCCACCTCTACTAAAAATGCAAAAAATTAGCCAGGCGTGGTGGCAGGCGCCCGTAATCCCAGCTACTCGGGAGGCTGAGGCAGGAGAATGGTGTGAACCCGGGAGGCGGAGCTTGCAGTGAGCTGAGATCGTGCCACTGCACTCCAGCCTGGGCGACAGAGTGAGACTCCGTCTCAAATAAATAAATAAATAAAAATAAAATTAACAATTCCAATCTCTTAAACTCATCTAGGGTTTCTAGGGTACTCTAAATAGTTTTAATCCAACAAAGCCTAACCACCCCCTCCTGAACAAACAACCCCCACCCCCCACAAACATCAGCTCATGAAACAGACTTCTTTGGAGGGAGAAAAATGCAACATGAAAGAAAGCAAATGCAATTAGTACTTCCTTACAAATTATAAACATTGTATGATTTCTCACAAATACTACATGACAATATATTCAAAAGAACTCTAATTTTATATTACAGAAATACCATAGTCCAAATGCAGTATCTGTTGTTACCATAACAACTATGTAAATACTTGACAAAGGATAACTCCAGTGATTATATCCATCAAAAATGTAAACAATAAAAACAACTAGGCTATTTGCTATCTTCATGAAAATGGACGACGCATCACAAAAATTGCAGCTCAAACCCCCAAAAGCACAAACAGAAGAGTAGCTTTTCCCTCTCATACCTGTCTCCTCGACTTTCCATCCATAATTTCGAGAGTCTTGCAGGGCTTGTCCTAACAAAGCTGCTTGATGCATCAGTTTTTTAGGTATGCAACCCACATTCACACATGTTCCTCCGAGACCTACAACAACATTGAGAAATCAGTTTATAACCTGCTTTCCAAGCCTTACAAACATTCAAAGAACAAAGTCAACAATTATTACAACTCTAAGAAATATTGTATTATATTTGCTTAATGTGGTCAGTAATAAAGTTTATTCCTAACTCTTACAACATCCATAAGTTCAGAGACCCTTACATACCAAACACGGTAACATCATCCTAAAACAAAACAAAAAGAGGGGCAGATTTCCACAATTTCCGTATACTTCAAAGATACAAAATTAACTGACTGCTGATAAAGATGCCAGAAATTGAAATCTTACTATGTACACAACCCTATACAGACGACCCGACTTACGATTTTTCTCTTTATGTTGATACCCATACACCCATACTGTGTTTCACTTTCAGTTCAGTATTCAGTAAATTATATGAGATATTCAACACTTTATTATAAAATAGGCTTTGTGTTAGATGATTTTGCCCAACTGTAGGTTAATGTAAGTTTTCGGAGCATGTTTAAGGTAGACCAGGCTAAGCTATGATGTTCGGGAGGTTAGGTGTATTAAATGCATTTTTGACTTGTTTTCAACTTACAAAGGATTTTATCAGGATGTAGTCCCCCATTGTAATTCAAGCAGCATCTGCACTTGCCATTGAATCTATGCAGAGGTAACTGATAAAGGGGTTGCTATGCTGGGGATGATTAGAGTGCAGTGGGTCTTAAACTGCATATAAAATTTGGTGTATATTGGCTGGGCGTGGTGGCTCACGCCTGTAATCCCAGCACTTTGGGAGGCCGAGGCGGGTGGATCATTTGAGGTCAGGAGTTCGAGACCAGCCTGGCCAAAACGGTGAAACCCTGTCTCTACTAAAAGCACAGAAAATTAGCTGGGCATGGTGGTACGTGTCTGTAATCCCAGCTACTAAGGAGGCTGAGGCAGGAGAACTGCTTGTACCCAGGAGGTGGAGGTTGCAGTGAGCCGAGATAGCGCCACTGCACTCCAGCCCGGGCGACAGAGCGAGACTCCATCTCAAAAAAAAAAAAAAAAAAAAAGAAAAAAATTTTGGTGTATATGTGCATTTTTTTAAGGAGGTGGCCTACAGCATTCACTTGGTTTTTTAAAGGATGCATGACTTCCCTTGCTCCCTAAAAATAGGTTTAGTATCCCTAAGCTTAAAGAATATGGTGACAGCTTGTTTCCATTAGAACAAAACACAGGCAGGTGACCAAAATGACATAAGAGTGAAAGATGGCAACAGACTTCACAGCTCAAAGTAAGTCCTCTGAGTAGAATACTACCAGTTGTCACTCTGGAGTATATGCTCCACAGGTCAGAAGGGATATACCTAGTACCAAGAGCAGTGTCTGACACAGATTGACACATTAAATATCTGCTGAATGGATGAATCAGAAATTGTGACATCGCCTTATCTGGACTTCCTGCTTCTTGGTTCCTTCTAATGCAAGCAGCCAAGTAATCTTTAAAAAATCTTATATTATCACATGGCTCCCCTGCCTTAGAGTCTTCAAAGGCTCATTTATATGCTCTGATTAGTCCAATTTAGTCCAAATTATATGCTTTGATTAGTCCAAATTCCTCATCTTGGCCTACAAAGCCCTCAATAGTGACACCTGCCTTCCTCTCTGGTCTCATCTCACACTACCACCTCCAGCTCCCATTATCCATGCCACAACCATGAAGGACTTTTACCTACCTCAGGGCCTTTGTATGTGCTATCCTCAAAGAAAGAGAAGCTGCCTGGAAGGTTCTGCCTCACCTTTTGACAGCTGGCTCATTCTCATTCTTTGGCCTCTTCTAAATGTCACCTCTTCAGATGTCTTCCTTGATAATCTTCTCGAAGTTAAATTCTCCTTTATCCACTTCCTCTCTATGCCACTATATTAATTTTTTCAATACCGCTTACCACAACTCCTAAAGTTCTTAGGTATCTTTTGTCTCCCCACTTAGAATATAAGCTTCACAAGGGCATGAACTTTGAATATGCCGAGTTCACTGCTATATCGTCATTGCCTTGGTTCATAATAAATGTTCAGTAAATATTATGAACATATAATTCATCAAGACTCAGAAGCAGCAAGGGCTATACAGTAGGGTATCTGATTCCAACTCTTGTTGAATGTAGGAGGTAGATTTAAAACAAATCCACATATGAAAAGTTTAAATTTTCAGTTATTAAGCCCCTATATATGCTAGATTACTCAAATATTTACCTTTAAATCATAGCTTGTAGACAGGGTTCTTACTTCTTGACTCTGTGCCAAAGAACCTAAATTTTTAGCATTTAACCTGATCCATTTTAACTTGGCTCAAATAAAAGATATATATGTTTTGGGGCTGTTTTTTCTTTAACTTAGTTTTTGATTTTTTTAATTAGGCTTTAGGAACCAGTTAGATTATTGCCAGGGGAAAACTACTTCGGCAACATCACTTCTAGAGTATCTTAAAAGCTTACCCCATCTAGTTCCAAGAGGGGTGGGAGTGACAAAGTCCAGGACCATCACCTTCTTGCCATATTGGGCTGCCTCCTGGAAAATAAAATTATTAAAGTGAGTTGGAAAGGTTAACATGACAGATTGGAAATGGGCTGTTAAAAATCCATGATTTTTTTTTAAGCTATAGAGCTTAAAGCATAACGAATAATTAATACCTGGGTACTTCACACACCATGATGATTAGTTAAACTCCAGGATAAAAATTAACAGATATTCAGATAGTTCTGAGAGTAGATTTTAAAATTATGCAGAATAGAGTAGTAAAATTGTTAGAATCAGCTGGAAACCTTAGACTTCTCTCACATAATTCCACTCAAACAATAACAGATTCAGCAATAACCTGAAAAAAGAAAGTGGCCATTTCCAAGCAAGTTGCCAAGTAGCTGAAAAAGCAGGTTTACTGATAGTCTACAGCCCTTAATGCAACCTGTATCCTATAAGGTGATATTTTAAAAATCATTTTAAAGTTTAATCTAATTTGGTTTCTAAGGCAGAATACTGAAGAAGTTTTTCTTCTGTATTACAAGATTTCCTAAAATTTTCACATGAGGCGCTCATGAAAAAGTTGACAACATCTATGATATTTCCAAATATATTTTTAGGGAGGGAAACAAGAGTTAGAAGTTTGTTTTGCAGAATATCTTTTATCATTCTCAGAGAATAAGCTTTGAATATTGGCAACTAGACCTCCAAAGGTTATTTGAAAGGACTGAGTCTACACGTCTTTCAAACACACCACCACTGGAGTAAAATACATCAGGTATTATTCCTCAATTACTTTCAGTAAAGCATTGCTTCATGCTACATACTGGTCTGCAGTATTTGGGCAGCTTCTACCCATTACTGATTCAGCACAAGCTATACCTTAGGGAATTATAACCACTTCATCTTTTAAAGGAACCTGTTGGGTAAGGATGACAGGCCCAAGGGGTCCTCACATGGGAAATTTATCTTGATTCAGAACCAGGAGCCTCACTCCTAACCTTCTTTATTTATACATCCTCTTCCCAATCACCCTCAGACCACAGAGTTAGTGGTTATTAGATAACCTCACATATACAAAAAGCAAATCATTTTTAATAAATGGGTTTAAGAAACCCAATTGCTCCCCATCTTTTTTTATATTGGAGAGAAGGGGTTATGAACAGGGAAATCATTCAAGTGAAAAAGACAAATATTAACTAAGAAATATTAACTAAGAAATATATTTGCTTAATTTCAGACCATTTCCACACAATACCCATATATATGTGTGTATATATACATATATATACACATATATATATATATTTTTTAAAGACAGAGTTTTGCTCCTGTTGACCAGGCTGGAGTGCAATGGTGCGATCTCAGCTCACTGCAAACTCGGCCTCCAAGGTTCAAGCCATTCTCCTGCCTCAGCCTCCCAAGTAACTGGGATTACAGGTGCCCACCACCACGCCTGGCTAATTTTTGTATTTTTAGTAGAGATGGAGTTTCACCACATTGGCCAGGCTGGTCTTGAACTCCTGACCTCAGGTGATCCGCCCACCTCGGACTCCCAAAGTGCTGGGATTACAGGCGTGAGTCACCACACCAGGCACAACACCCTTATTATCTCTGAAAAATCAATTAAACTTAAAGTGAACGGAAACGTGTTCCAAAATACTGGGCCCTATACTTTAATATAAGGAATGTATATTTTAATCTGGAAAAATGATTTATAAAGTGGTCCCTTACGATGTCCATGTCCTGCCCAAGTTAATGTGCAAAATGTCACAGGAGTGGATCAAATAAATTCCACAGAGAGAGGAGAGAACCCTGTCAGGGATGTTAATATTCTAATCACCACCCAGACAACAGACAACAGACAACACAAGGAGCCTTGCCTTAGCAGCTGCCAGACCTCCTGAGCCACCTCCAATGATGATAAGGTCATAGTCATAGGACTTGGGAAGATCTTCAGGGCCGTTCATTTTTAGTAGCTTTTGAAGTCTGCCCTCCTGATAAGCCTAAAGAAAAATAACAGAAGAGAAAATAATTTAACTTAAAATCAGCAATGTCCAAAAAGCTTTGTAAGAAAATCTTTTCTTAAAGAAAAACAAAAGGAATTTTCAAAGGGAAGATGCTGTTTAATTACAGCATACAGATGGAAATATTCAACCTTCCTTAAAGTTGTGAACTGCTTGCTTTATCTTAGTTTATTAACCCCAAAGACGGTCACTGCTAACTACTTTGAAGTGTTCGTATAGTACCTCTACATAAGTAAACCAACTTAGGTCTAAATCAGGTTTAATCATTAGCCTTTTTTTCCTAGAATTTTTAAACTAGGTTTTAAAGATAGGGGCTTGGTAAATATGGGCATAGCTTAATCTCAATATAACAATTTTAAAAGACCAGCCAAATATTTATTTAAGACATTTCTATACTGTTTGGCTGGGGCATAACATCTAAAAATTCAGAACAAAACTGTCAATTGATACTGACCTGCATGAAAAGTTAAACGTGAAAGTTGCTGCTTTTGTAGGATATTTTAAATAGGCACAACTCTGCAAAGCTCATTCCTTTAATTTGCATATGCATGAAGTCTCCCATATTTAATATTTACTTTCCATATACTTAGCAAGTAACAGACTTTTATAATTTAGGTGTTAGACTTAATTTTTAAAAAATCATTTCATTCCACTAATATAATTCTGATACACATTAATTATATTTCATATTCGTTTCATACAATATTTTGGTGATATATTTAATATTATCGCTTACTAAAATAAAAATCTATGTTAACAAGAGATAATGACTGAGAAAGTTGTTAACAAGCACAATAAAATGTTTTCAAAAAATCAAGTAGGCCAGGCACAGTGGCTCACGCCTGTAATCCCAGCACTTCGGGAGGCCAAGGCGGGAGGATCACTTGAAGTCAGGAGTTTGAGATCAGCCTGGCCAACGGGGTGAACCCTGTCTCTACTAAAAATACAAAAATTAGCCAGGTGTAGTGGCGGGTGCCTGTAATCTCAGCTACTCCGGAGGCTGAGGCAGGAGAAGCGCTTGAACCCGGGAGGCAGACGTTGCAGTGAGCCAAGATTGCGCCACTGCACTCCAGCCTGGGAGTCTCACAGAGTGAGACTCCATCTCATTTTAAAAAACAAACAAACAAAAAGCCTTAACTTTAATAACAAAAAAAAGCCCCCAAACTTACCAGCCCAAACTGCACATTTCTCTCTTGCCTACTATCAGATGTAGGGGGTGAAAGGCAGAGCTTGGGGTCAGCGGAAGAAGAAGGTTCTTGGGATGTGGAAGGGGGTGCGGTGGAGCAATGTGAAGGAGGAAGCACAGCACTGTGGCTACCTGTTGGCAGCATGGCGGGCATACGTAGTGGCTCAGGGACTGAAGGGAGAACACCTGGAAACCAGCAACAGTGGGGGCAAGACTGCACCACTCTGACAGTCTGCACAAAAGGTCTAGCACAAGAGGCTGGTAAACACAGCCAGTAGTCATCAACTGGCATTATGGCCAAGGTTCCTCCTTCAATACAAAGCACTGTGGGGGAAAAACAATTTGGTAATAATAGCCATTCGATCAAAGGATCAATTATGCTTCAAGTAACTAGTGTGACTCCCTACTGGGTCTCAAAGAGCATGACTTCCTGGTTTAAGAGTTAACTAATAAATCCAGTTAGATGTTCTGCTGGAAAAATAACATACAATCATTTTTTATCTCAACCTCATTTTATCTGCATGAAATTAGCAAAGATGGTGACAGAACACAATAACTGGCTGTCTAAATGAAAACCATGGTTCTAGGAATCCCCCTCCTCCAACATACCTACTAGAACAAATACCAGAAAATGTATCCTCATGCTGAAAAGTCACATATTCCCTTCACCAATGTTTACAATCCGTTCCTTACTGAAATTCTGTATGTAACCTGGCTTCTCCTGGTTCAAGCTTCAAGTCAAATTGTATCAACCAGTGCACAGATTTTACCAAAAAAGCTCTGAATGAACCTCACCATTTTTAAGCACTGTAGGTAAAATTTACCAATTGGCAAGACACAGGCAATTGAAGCATTCAGTTGACCTTAGAATGAAACATTATGAGACTGAGTGAGGTGGCTCATGCCTGTAATCCCAGCACTTTGGGAGGCCGAAGCGGGAGGGCTGCCTGAGCTCAGGAGTTCACAATCAGCCTGGGCAACACGGTGAAACCCCGTCTCTACCAAAATACAAAAAAAATTAGCCGGGCGTGGAGGCGTGCACCTGTAGTCCCAGCTATTCGGGAGGCTGAGGCAGGAGAACTGCTTGAACCCAGGAGGCGGAGATTGCAGTGAGCCAAGATCATGGCACTGCACTCCAGCCTGGGTGACAGAGCAAGACTCCGTCTCAAAAAAAAAAAAAAAAAGAAACATTGTTTTTAAAATTTTAACCAAACTTAAAATTGAAAGTGCTATCATTCAGTTCCATTTAAGTGGTACTTCACCTGAAATATAAATAAGACAGACAGTAGAAAACAGCTGCCCCAAACAGTAGAAGGTAGCACAGAGATGGGATAAGGAAAGGAGAAAAATTCCCCCATCCTCCTCCAACTACAACTGCTTGAAATTATGTCCGCTGACTGTGGTGGCTGCTACAGAGGTTCTCAAACTCTTTCATCTCAGGACTCCTTTACAATCTTAAACAGAGCTTTAAAATTGAGACTCCAAAGAGCTTGTTAATGTGGGTTTTATCTATTTACTATATTAGAAATTAAAACTAAGAAGAAACTTAAAATATTCATTAACAAATTAAAAATAATATATTTATTAAATGTTAACGTATTTTTATTTTAAAAAATTTTTTAATTAGAAGAATGGCACTGTTTTGTATCTTTGCGATTCTCTTTAATGTCTGACAACAAAAGACAGCTCATATCTGTTTCTCCATTCAATCTGTTGCCACATCACCTGTCATATAACCTCTGGAAAACTTCACAGTTTACATGCAAGAGAATTAAGAGTGAAAAGGGCAGCGAGGCGTGGTGGCTCACGCCTGTAATCCCAGCACTTTGAGAGGCCAAGGCGGGTGGATCATGAGGTCTGGAGATCGAGACCATCCTGGCTAACACGGTGAAACCCCGTCTCTACTACAAATATAAAAAATTAGCTGGGCGTGGTGGCAGGCGCCTGTAGTCCCAGCTACTCGAGAGGCTGAGGCAGGAGAATGGCGTGAACCCGGGAGGCGGAGCTCACAGTGAGCCAAGATCATGCCACTGCACTCCAGCCTGGGCTACAGAGTGAGACTCCATCTCAAAAAAAAAAAAAAGAAAGAAAAGGGCAAACAGCATCTTACTATTATGAAAATAATTCTGACCTTAAAGTATGCCAAAAGGGCCTCATACACTTTGAGAACCAATGCTATAGAATATGAGATGACCTGCAGGCAACTGTCACTTGTTGGCAAGGCTTACACATTAGATAGCCTTCCTTTTCATCCACCTGCCTGTCATAGTAATCCCTTTCCCCAGACCCACTCCTAGTAAAACACTGCTCCAGGCTCCCCCAAAAAGGGCACAAAACAGAAAGCAATTCAACTGTGGCAGTCTTTTAAAATTGGAATAAGCAATCCTGACTTTTCCCCTAAACATAGTTTCTATCCTTTGCCAGATTTGTACTTTTATTTCCCCTACCATTATAGATGGCTCTGATGCAGAAATAACCTGCGTTAAAATACTTGCTCTACCACTCACAAGGCCAGGTGACTTCGACCAATCACCTAATCCTTAACGAAGCTAACAGGTTCCTGACCTCATCAAATGGCTGAGTTTAAGAAAGATAATGCATGTTAGCATAGTGGCTGGTAGGAATTAATCCCTTTAAGTTACTAATTCTCCATCTCCTGAAGAAGGGAAATTGCCTGGAACTAAGTCAAGAAGTGCTGGAATGTATTTACACTGGTGTCCTCCGCTGAGCTTCCCTGCGTCAATCTCCACTATTTTGAAATGCCCTCTTCCTAACAAATCTTGATCCAGTATATAGACAGACTAGCATAATGTTATTTCTATTCAGTATACAAACGTATTAGCAAGAAACAAGCAGATTTGCAGTTTGATTCTTAACCTCTATAAATTTTTAATCTCCTTTTTTCTTCAAGGTAAGCAGTCAGTTTAATTTCAAAATTTCAAAAATGATGAGGCAATCCATCATCCTCATCATTTTACTGGTTGGTGTCATGCCAACCAGTAAAAATAGAAACAGAAGTGGTCAACTTTATATTTTAACAGCTATTAACTTTAGAGAAGACCAAAAAAATTACCTCTCCTAAGCCTCCAGATTCTCTATTAATGCTTTTAAATCATCACTGTCAAATACTCCTAGTAAAGACATGAGACATTCAACAGAGCAACTGAATGTCAGTAAAGTACTGGGGCGGGATCTTTTTGCTGTCATTAAGAGTACTTTTTCTTCCAACAGCAGATCTCTGCAAAACCCAAGGAACTTGGTTGGTAGAGACATGCTGGAAATGAGGATGAGTGAGATCAAATGGTGCTTCCATGACTGCTACTATAAATCAAAGGATACTAGACACTAGCAAGGGTCAGCGCTCTTTCATATGTGAAAGGAGTAACTAATTTAGAAAATAATTTGCCAAGTTTCATGAGAAAGTTCTATTTTTGCTAAAACCTCTACTCTATTATTGGTGAAGAACCTCATCTCCATACATGAAAAATCCTTCCTCTCAGTCTTGGTGTCATTTGTTGAGTCTTTGGATTTCCCTTTCCTGTACCACTAGACTTACTAGGAAAGTTTGCCACTGCTATGCATAACAGATACCTAAACATTTGCCAAAGTATTGTTTAATGGCAAAATTCCACGACTACCAAAAATTAAGCTCCTATAGGGATCAAGGGGAAGAAAGCTTATGGGTATGCTTACTGCACCTTCTCAAGTTACTTTCTTAATGACCCAAACTTTTGGCAATAATCTCCAAATAAGGTTGTAATTTATGCAACGGAAAGAAAAAAGCCTTTATGGCTTTACACTAAGTGAAGAACATCCAGATAAACTAACATGTTTTAGTTTCAGCAAGGTCAGTTTCCTGGCATTTAAAGCCCTATTAAGAAATGCAAAATTTGGCTCACACTTGTAATCCCAGCATTTCCGGAGGCCGAGGCGGGTGGATCACTTGGGGCCAGGTGTTCGAGACCAGCCTGGCTACCATGGCGAAACTCTGTTCCTACTAAAAATACAAGTATTTGCTGGGTGTGATGGCACACACCTGTAATCCCGGCTACTTGGGAGGCTGAGGCACAAGAATCGCCTGAACCCCGCAGGCAGAGGTTGCAGTGGGCCGAGATTGCACCACTGCACCCCAGCCTGGGCAAGAGTGATACTCTGTCTCGAGGGGGAAAAAAAAAGATAGAAATGCAAAATTAAAGTGGGACAAATATTCAAAGTTGTTACATGATGAAAAAGCGTAGATTGTGAAGGACATTCTATGTACTAGCAAAGACCACAAAGGGACACTAGGGGCCAGAGAAGAAATTCAGTAGATAAAAACTACAACTGGATAGCAAGATCTTGTGTTCAATGTATAATAGTTTGACAAAAACATCTTCTCAGGATATTAATAGATGAAGTTATTCAATTGTTGCCCAGCTTATCAAATATAATAGTTTTTCCATAAATCTAATGGTCCTCTCGTGCCTAACTTCTAACAATTCCATGCATTTGACCTTGCTATTCTCTTGCCTAGAATGCCTTTTCCTTCTTCGTGTTTCTACTCACCTTTCACCCTTAGCTGATACCTCAACTACTACAGCAGAGACACTACTTTTGCTGAGTACAATAACAGAAATTGTTTAGAATATGGATACTCACTCATAAATCCTAAGTCTTCCTTGCAATGACTTTTTTAGTCTTAATGTTGCATATTCACTGCCTTACAGACAGGTTTTTTTTTTTAACTTTTGTTTTTTACCCACTCTTTGCCCAACCTGGTTAGGAACCCTTTCTGGGATTCTCTTGGTTCCCTATGACAGAGAAAGCAACGCATCACAGAGCATCATCACTGATTTTCGTAAATTATTATGTTTTGCAAATTATCAAATATCCCTTAATTTGGTATCCAAAACTTGTTTTTATTAATAGTCTTAAAGGGCATTCAATAAAACGTTCCCATAAATATGCCAGTGAATTTGTTTTAATAACAGAAGATCATGACCTTATAAATTACTAAGAAAAATATGCTGCACAGTAAAACAATGTCTGATGTTCTTGAAAATACTTTTTCACTTTACAAGAGATACAATATGTGCTTCAGTTTACATTTTACTCTCCATCTAACTTCAGAAAAAAAACACAAAAAGGATGCTATACTAAGAAATCTTTAGTATGAGGAGTATGTAATCATAGCCTCAGAAATTTCAAAAGCTGCCACAATGTTTTTCCACTCCTGTAAAGTCAAAGATATAACTCCCTGTTTCCTGCCATGGCAACTGGAATCATTTCCCTCACCCATTTGGTTAACATTCATCGGCTCTAATATTGGCAGCCTGTCTTCATCAAGCCTTATTCTTGCAAAACCATCTCTTACAATAAAAGAAACATAAAATATATTCTCCACAGTACGAGAAAAAGAGTTTGGATCAATCACAAACTCAAAATAGGACACAGGAGTATCAGGATACTTTCGAAAGTAGGTTTGCAACAATCCCAAAATCCTTTCTACGTTTTTTTCTGTCGCTTCTGGATAACTACTCAGGTCCAACTTCTGCAACTTTGTAGGCATGTTGCCATTTTCTTCCATCTTGCGAACTTTTTTCTGGTGTTCAAGTCGGGGCTTTGGTGCAGAACGTTCTAGCTTGAATGAACCAAAAACAAAATGGAATGTCTCAGCTTTTACCATCCAGGATGTTGCTTCCTTTTCTATTGCCTTCCAGAAGGAAAGAGCTATGCTATCATCACAATCACTCAACTTGTCAGGATCGCCTTCCATCCAATTCAGACCCACGAACAGAAACAGAAAGTCACAAAATGCTAACTGATTAAAGAAGTTCATATCTGAGTTTAACTGCTTTGCCTTTTCTTTACCCAAATCAGAAGCCATAACAAGAAACCGGGCGTCGAGGGCTGCTTCTCTGGTTCGGCTCACGCCATCAAAGAGGACGTTGGCTTCCTCCAGAGCCTCGGTTAAGGAGTTGTTCGCCGAGCTCACGATGTCCTCCCGGTTCTGCCGCACGCAGTACATGAGCTGCCGGTACTGCCTGCGGATGCTGCGGCACTTCTCCTCGTCAGCGGTGAGCTCCAGGAGCTTTGGGTCTACGTCGGCCTCCCCAGAGCTGAGGTCGTCGGAGCAGCCCGCGGCCCTCACTGACACATCCATCTTCATCAGCGCTCCCTCCGCCGCCGCCTACTTCGCCGCGTACTCGCTACCGGGGATGATCACGAGCTGCTCCTCTCCTTTCTCTTCGTCTCCCTTCCGGGAAGCTTTTTCAACCAACATGCCGGCCACGGGTATCTCTGAGGTAACGGCCCTCCCAGCGTGTGGAAAGTGGCGGCAGTTAGAGCCGAGGACGCCCGCCCATGCGCACTAGCGGCCCGGCCCGGCGCGACCCGCCCCCAGCACGCTCCGCGGGAAGACAGCCCCGCCCCGGCCCGGCCCAGCCACAAGCCGAGGCGCTCGCTCATAGACCAGCGCGGCGCTCCCAACACGCGCAATGATGGGCCCTGACCTCACACGCGACTAATGCCCGCTCAGGGGACAGCTATTCTTTTTCAAAGCGTTTACCGACTGGATCACCTCACTTTAAAAAAAAACACTTTTGGACAACTTTACACAAAACTATTGAGGAGACTAAAGGTCCTGCGCTTTAAAACGCTCGCTGCCATCATATACTGCAGTGAGGTCGACCTGGTTTTGGTTTTTTGTGAACTAAATCTGGCTGGACTGTAAACCGTCGGTAAGGCCAAGGACCGTGAAAAGCAGAAACTCCATTAAGCAGGCTAAACTCTCAGTTCTTTTGCAAGGTGGTGTTTGGACTCATTATACAAATGTAAATCGGGTTAATTACTTTCACATGTCCTCTTAAAAACCAAGCCCCCTCCAATACCCATCCTGAGTATCTGTGGGATCGGGGGAGCCTCCAATATCCGTGCTAACCCCTGCAGGAAACTGGGTGCTGGGCACGGGCATTACTCAGGTGAACTTTGGTTCTCCACTACCCAGGAGTGGAAGAATAGAATGGGTAGAGATCTCTGCAAAAGAGCTATTTACTTGGAAGCTTGCCAACAGCTAAAGGCCACCGACACTGAATGGGTAGTAACTCTGAACCCTAAAAGGTGGGCAAAGCTATGAAAATTTCAGATACAGTCTAAGGATATGAAAGCTTAATCTGTAAACTGGGTGAGTAATCTGCGTGGGAAAATTTACCCATTGGATTTAATGGGGTCACTGGAAACTCAAGTGCAGTTAAAGACGTGACTCCTTATCTGTCTCACCAGCAGCAAATAGCAAAGTATACATAACAATGGGAATGGCCGGGCGCGGTGGCTCACGCCTGCAATCCCAGCACTTTGGGAGGCCGAGGCGGGCGGATCACGAGGTCAGGAGATCGAGACCATCTTGGCTAACCCGGTGAAACCCCGTCTCTACTAAAACTACAAAAAATTAGCCGGGCGCGGTGGCAGGCGCCTATAGTCCCAGCTACTCGGTAGGCTGAGGCAGAAGAATGGCGTGAACCCAGGAGGCGGAGTTTGCAGTGAGCCGAGATCGGGCCACTGCACTCCAGCCTGGGCTATAGAGCGAGACTCCGTCTCAAAAAAAAAAAAAAAAAAAAAGGGAATGAATACATCTGGTTTTTAAAGAGAACATGCACACAAACAACCCATGAGCATCAACAGCTTTTCAAACCTGCAACAGGTACACCTTAAAAAAAAAAAGACACCCACAATTGCACCTGTCCAATTGCCAGTTTCATAGCACCAGGAAGTAAATTAGCCCTACCTTCCTTTATGCATATAGACTTGTTCTATTTCTTTAGCATTAGCAGAAAGTTTTTTGTAAATGTATAAACAGCAAAATCTAGTAGTATTAAGTTACTCCAAAATCCTTATATTACCATTTGCTCCCAATTATTTTATTAACTAGGGGTAATTCAGGGAGATACGTGCATTTTTCAAAACACCATGCATTACGGTTAGTTGTACATATATATGATCCTACCCTATTAGATTGTTGGCTTCTCAAAAACAAAAGCTGCGTTTTAGATCTTCCAAACATAGCTGTTTTTACACGGAGATGCACTTATGTACTGAATGTATAACTTAAAATAGATTTAAAACTATCCCAGCATCTACTGCAAGTTATTTGGCAGCAAAGATTTAAGTTCACAGATTCGTGGAATTAATCCTACACACTGAAAGGAAAAGTTGACTGCTCTTCAGAAAAAGTTCTTATCCCTCTTCTAAAATAAAGGAAAAATGAAAGAAAGGTAAGTTGAGACCCAGGATCATTCAAGGATCGTATCTGTCCCTAGTCTGGCCAATTACAAACTAGTATTTGAACTTGTTTTAAATCTTAGGTGAAAATACAGTTAAGAATTCCAAGACCCAAATCCAAAAAAGTCTGCTTTTACAGTGAACGATATTCTTAGGAGCTTCTCACATCCACTTTAAATTCAACAAAAGCAGCCGGGCACGGTGGCTCACGCCTGTAATCCCAGCACTTTGGGAGGCTGAGGCGGGCGGATCACGAGGTCAGGAGATCAAGACCGTCCTGGCTAACACGGTGAAACCCCGTCTCTACTAAAAATACAAAAAATTAGCCGGGCGTGGTTGCAGGCGCCTGTAGTCCCAGCTACTCTGGAGGCTGAGGCAGGAGACTAGCCTGAACCCAGGAGACGGAGCTTGCAGTGAGCCAAGATCGCGCCACTGCACTCCAGCCTGGGCGACAGAGCGAGACTCCATCTCAAAAAAAAAATTCAACAAAAGCTACTTACAAAAGAACTCTAACAGATAAGCCAACCCTTCCCACCCTATGGTGCCTATTTTCTTCTGGCTCAGAGGAAGGAAAATAGGCTGACACCAATTTGCTACATAAAGACCCTTTCATCTAAGAATTTCAAAATGCCTTAGAAAACTATATTCTCCCAACCTGCTTATAAAGTATTACTAATACCATTTACAGGGATTTCTCAGGAGATAACAGCCCACACAACTTGCTCAGAGCAACAGAGCATATCGAGGCAAACATTAAGTTGTGATTTACAGTGCTGAATGCATTCTATGCTAGATCTCCAAGAACTTTATTAACATGTAACTTAGATCATCCTAAGAAAGGCAGACTTGCATTATGTTCCACCTTTAAAAATCTGCCTTTAGGCCAGGTGCGGTGGCTGACACCTGTAATCCCAGCACTTTGGGAGGCCGAGGTGGGTGGCTCACCTGAGGTCAGGAGTTTGAGACCAGCCTGATCAATATGGAGAAACCACGTCTCTACTAAAAATAGAAAATTAGCTGGGCGTGGTGGCACATGCCTGTAATCCCTGCTACTTCAACCTGGGAGGCAGAGGTTGCGGGTGAGACAAGATTGCACCATTGCACTCCAGCCTGGGCAACAAGAGCGAAACCCCGCCTCAAAAACAAAACAAAACAAAACAAATCTGCCTTTAGACATTGCTACAAAGTAAAACAATCTCAAGTTCAATAACTCTCCCCAATCATATAAAGAATGGGATTTCCATGCCGGTTAATCTTTAAGTCATTAAACAGTGATTTCCTAACCTAAGGTCCAAGTGCTACTAATAATTATTTAAATGAAGCTTAAAAAGAAGAAACTGCACTACTGATAAATTTGTCTGTGACCAGGAATAGAAAGCAAGAAGCGCACTGGTACTTCAAAGAAACCAGTGGCGTCTACCTTATTCCCGCAGTATAGACTAGTTCAGGCAACCATGAGACTGAGTTGCCTCAGAGATAATTTAGCTCCCCTCTTTCCCCTTTTTCCTCTTTCTTCGCTCAAGAGTTGCTACCCAGGGTTCAATACAGACCTCCATTTCCTTTCCTCTTTTCTTCACCCTTTTCTCCTATATTTTCAGTTCCTTTTCTAGGAGTTTAGGTTAATTCCAAGCATTCTTGAGCTCTTTCCCACAACCCATACTGCTCAACACAAACGTGATAGGGTGGATGACAAAGGTCACATGTCTCCCTGTAACCAAATAAAGGAAGAAGTCACGAGTCCACTATTTTTCTCCAGTGAGGTTTTGCTGTTAACACTTACCTATAACAAATGGATTTTTAAGAGACTTTTTGGAGCCAAAGCCAGGAATCAGTCAGGTTTGAGTCCCACACTCTAACATATACACTTATCCTAATAGCTACCTCCCTAAACTTTTCTGTTCCTTCTTTCATAGCAGCTTTTCTCCCTTCATACCACCATGGCTTCTGTTTAATATTGAGTTGTGAAGAAATGTGGTAAAATTCCTAGTTTGATTTGCCAGAATTAGCAGGACATTAGGTATAGTTTCTCTTTCATCTTAACTTTTTTTTTTTTTTTTTTGAGACGGAGTCTTGTTCTTGTCACCCAGGCTGGAGTGCAATGGCACGATCTCGGCTCACTGCAACCTACACCCCCCGGACTCAAGTGATTCTCCTGCCTCAGCCTCCCGAGTAGCTGGGATTACAGGCACGAGTCACCACGCCTGGCTAATTTTTGTATTCTTAGTAGAGACAGGGTTTCAGCATGTTGACCAGGCTGGTCTCGAACTCCTGACCTCGTGATCCGCCCGCCTCAGCCTCCCAAAATGCTGGGATTACATGCGTGAGCCACTGTGCCTGGCAGTTTCTCTTTCATCGTAATTTTCTTTAAAGTTATGTTTGTGTGTATATATTTTGTGTTTTGTTATTATTAAAGGTGAACTTTGCTATGATAAGACAGATATCTGTATTTTTTTTTTTAATGAAAATTAGTTTCTGAAAAGACCACAGACTGTGGGAGGGGACGATCTGGGTTCCAATCTTGACCTATTACCTATTAGTATTATCTTAGCCAGCTTGCTTAACCTCTCAGCCTCCAGTGTCTTTATTTATAAGACGGGAATACTACTGCAGTTGACCCTTGAAGGAAACAGCTTTGAATTGCACAGATCCACTTATACCAAAAGCAATAAAAAATACAGGTCTGCCTGCTCCTTAAAGAGGAAAAAGCTTGTGAGAAATAAAGAAATAAATACTGTATTTGTGAGATGTGATGTTTCACATCCGGTGAATACAGAGAGCTGACTTTCCATATATGCTGGTTCCACAGGGTGGACTTTGGGACTTGAGTATGTATGAATTTGGGTATACACAAGGGTCCTGGAACCAATCCCCTGAAGATACCGAGGGACAACTGTATTTATACCATATAATTACTACAGTGAATGAAAATTATGTAATATATCTGACAGTGTTTTCAACTACTGAGTAGGTACTTAATAAATCAAACAATCCCAAAGATAGCAAATGTAAAAAAAAAAACTGTATACAAACCAGTAGTTTCACTTCTGAATGTTGCTTTAGGAACAGAAAAAAATTTAATTTTTTTTATTTTTTATTTTTATTTTAGATAGAGTCTCGCTTGGTTGCCCAAGCTAGAGTGCAATGGTGTGATCTCAGCTCACTACAACCTCCGCCTCCCGGGTTCAAGTGATTCTCCTGACTCAGCCTCCCGAGTAGCTGGGATTACACGTGTGTGCCACCGCGCCCAGCTAAGTTTTGTATTTTTAGTAGAGATGGGGTTTCTCCATGTTGGCCAGGCTAGTCTCAAACTCCTCATCTCGTGATCCACCTGCCTCAGCCTCCCAAAGTGCTGGGATTACAGGTGTGAGCCACTGCGCCCGGCCCCAGAAAAATATTTTTAAAGGTTAAATCAGTAAGGAGGAACACAGGAATATATTCCACTATAACAAATACCAGTGAAAAGAAATTTGCCATATAACAAAATTTTAAAAACCTACGAAGGCTTCAACTATTCAAAGTGTGTACAGTAACACTTTGAAGGGTAATTCTCTGTACCAGATATTCTGAAGCAGATCCACAAATAGTCTGAGTTTATATGCAAAATTATTTATGTGCATTTTTCTCAGGAATAGCTCCTTAGATTTCAGCAGATTCTTAAGTCTAGTATCTAAAAGAGGCTTTGAATAACTGCTTTATTCAAATAAGATGGCATTATTATTGGAGAAGTAAAAGAGTCTCACTAAATAATCTGGACTCACTCATTTGAAATACTTTGGAGTAGATAAAATCTCCACCCTTGCTCTGTGGTCAAATCATATACTTAATGACACTTTAAAAACCCAGTGCTGGCTGACTTGCCAAGCCTCAAGAATATAAATAAGGGCGTGAGATGAAAAGAACAACCTTTCAGGTTACGAGAGCCTCCACAACACCTCAAAAGGCAGCAATGACTAGGAGTGTTATTTTGATAGACAGGGAGGGTAAGAAGGACTGGGTATGTGGCTACTAAAGGATGCAGCATTCTAGGAACTCCACTCAGGGATCAAATGAAAAATATCTGCATTATTAGTTTCCACTTACTTTCTTCGAAAATTGTAACAGAAGTCTATCAGATGTCTCACTCTGCCATACAGAGTGGTTGTCATCATTAAAAACAAAATCAGGCCGGGCATGGTAGCTTACACCTGTAATCTCAGCACTTTTGGAGGCTGACGCAGGCGGATCACCTGAGGTCAGGAGTTCGAGACCAGCCTGACCAACATAGAGAAATCTTGTCTCTACTAAAAATACAAAATTAGCCAGACGTGGTGGCGCATGCCTGCAATCCCAGCTACTCGGGAGACTGAGGCAGGAGAATTGCTTGAACTCAGGAGGCGGAGATTGCAGTGAACTGAGATCACACAGTGCACTCCAGCCTGGGCAACAGAGCAAGACTCCATTTCAAAAACTAAATAAATAAATAAATAAATATAAATTTATTTGTCAACAAGTGTTTGTATATTACTTTTTTTTTTTTTTTTTGAGATGGAGTTTCACTCTTGTTGCCCAGGCTGGAGTGCAATGGCAGGATCTCCGCTCACCGCAACCTCCACCTCCCAGGTTCAAGCGATTCTCCTGCCTCAGCCTCCTGAGTAGCTGGGATTACAGGCGCCCGCCAACACACCCGGCTAATTTTTTGTATTTTTAGTAGGGAAGGGGTTTCACCATGTTGGCCAGGTCAGTCTCAAACTCCTGACCTCAAGTGATCCACCCGCCTCGGCCTCTCAAAGTGCTGGGATTACAGGCATGAGCCACCACACCCAGCCTGACAAATGAATTTTTAAATAAGTACATTGCTCTACAGACTTGCGTTAGAGATTACAAAGATAGTGCCTAGCCCGATGTCAACACAGGTGCTCAGTAAATACTAGCTAAATAGATGTGAAGTGACTTTGTTCCCAACTGACCTGGACACACCTGCATAGAATGCTGAAGGCAGACAATGTTGCTGTCATACAGCTTTTAATTCTGAACTGCTTTCCAATATGCTGCCTAGAATCTCTTCTGAACAACCTAGAGCTTGGTTCCTGATAGCCCATCTTCAATAAAACCAGATACCTTAGAGCTAAATCCTTTAAGTGAGTCTCTTCTGGCCCTACCACGATCTATTCACTCAATACATATTTACTGAATGCACACTAGGTATTAAAAAATAAGCCTAAGCCAACAAAAAGCCTTTTGTAAAGACCTTATCTTACAAAAAATTTAAAAATTGGCCAGGTGTGGTGGTACATGCCTGTATTCCCAGATACTCAGGCGGCTGAGGCAAGAGGATTGCTTGAGCCCAGGGGGGTTGAGGCTGCAGCGAGCCATGATAGTGCCACCGCACTCCAGCCTGGGTTAGAGCAAGACCTTGCCTCTAAAGAAATTTTTTTCAATATATGGAAGATATTAAAATGTATATTTTTTTTTAGAAGCCCAGCCTCATTGTTCTCTTAAAGAAAGTACAAGTAGGCACAGAAGAATGAAGTTCCATTCAGCAAGCATGTAATGAATGAACACCTACCATATGCCAGCACTATGCTAGGAATACCAAGATTTGCATGGGCCTGACCTCGAATCATGAGCACACCACAGCATCTCATCAAGGACACAAGCATGTATCTCAATAGCAATAACATAAGGCCAAGTGCCAGAAGTATGAGTACATGAGAGTGAGCTTTGCAGGCAAACAGGCCTGGGTTCTAGTCCTGACTCTGCCACTTAACTAGCTTGTAATCTGGGCATGCTCCTTAAATTCTCAAGGCTTTTATTTTCTCTTCTGTAAACCTGGATAATATCACCTCCTTCACAGGACTGTTGTGGGGATTTAATCACTAAGTATTAACAACATTTAGAGTCTAACACATAATAGGTATTCAACAAATAAATGTTATAATCATTAACAGGCATATTTGCTTAGGTATCTGCTGGGCTCTAACATATGCCTGGGACCACAGGCATAAAGAATAAGACTAGCTCTCTGACCTCGATATGTAAGCCAAAAAGTTATCATTGGCAGGATTCCTCCTTTTCCAAAAATAAAGACTTATGGGATTGTCGTGGGAACAGAGGAGGAAAGGAATGGAAAACTTTGGTCTTGTATTCTGAACGGGTAGGCAGTTGGAAAAGTGGGTTGTGGTAGGAAGAGAAGACAGGTGTTGAAATAAAGAATAGAAGTGAGGAGGAAAACTGTAGGGAGAAATATTTTAGCTGCAATGATAGTCCCGGGAGCCTCCAGTAAGTGAGGGAGCAGAGCAGGAGATAACCAGAAAAGCAGGTTGGGGCTAGACCCTGGAGGGCATTGAATACCAAGCTAAGGAGCTCCCATTTCGTTCTGGATGCAGATCTGGGGCCAGCGAGTAGCAATCAGGAAGATGACTGGCAATATGAGCTGGAAGAGAAGGGAGATCAGAAGTGGGAGGCCAGTTAAAGACTGATGAAATGGTCCAGGCAAAAGTAAATAGGGGCAAGAAGGTGATGCCTAGAATAGTCAGGCGCTGGTGAGTAAACAGGAGAAGTGACCGGAAATCTGAAGTCTATACCACCAGAATTTTGACGCTACTATTAAAGAACAGATACACAGCAAAAAAAGAGATTTGTGTTTACACCTGGTAGAAGTAGGAGGAGCTCAACACGACTCTACAACCAGTAAATTTCTACGTTTATTTGCAGTTCTAACAGTCTAAGACTCTAATAAATCTTGGTAGTCCTCAACCCTTACTTCCTTTTAATGTACGCCAGAGAATCTGTCACTTCCCTCATCTTCAAAGCAATCCTCCAGTCCTCCTCAGGCCTCAACTTTAATCAAGCCAAAAGCAGATACATTACTAATGCCTCCAAAAAGAAGGGATTATTTAAGAGGATAGAAACAAAATAAATTGTGTTTTCTGTCAAGTTCTGGTAGCCTCTGCAGTTAAGAATAGTTAAGAAAGGGGATGGTTGGAGAGTTATTCAATTACCACTCATGTCCTGATGTCTATTCACTTAAGATTCTGGTTTCTGGTAACTTTAGAAGTTAGACTTGAAAGGAGACCTGGCTGGGTGCAGTGGCTCACACCTGTAATCTCAGCACTTTGGGAGGCCAAGGTAGGCAGATGGCTTAAACTCACGAGTTTTGAGACCAGCCTGGACTGTGGGTGGCAAGCCACCCAGGCACCGAGGCAAGAGACAGAGGACACGAGCTGTTCCAGTATAATATAAAACAAGAATTGTTATACCAGATATAGATCTTAGATGTGATTATATATGAGTATCATTAATCATTAGTTGGTAGCAATTACTTCTTATTCCAATATTATGATAATCCTCACTCAATAATCATAGCCTAGGAAAAACCAGGCCATACAGAGATAGGAGCTGAGGGGACATAGTGAGAAGTGACCAGAAGACAAGAGTGCGAGCCTTCTGTTATGCCCGAACAGGGCCACCGGAGGGCTCCTTGGTCTAGCGGTGATGCCAGCATCTGGGAAGACGCCCGTCACCAAGAGGATCGTGGTCCAGCAGTAGCAAAAGGTGTCAAGAAACAACACCCGCTACTTAGCAGACCGGGAAAGCCGGCGGCGGGGGGGGGGGCCTTTCCCCGGGGGAGTTTAGAGAAGACTCTGCTCCTCCACCTCTTGTGGAGGGCCTGACATCAGTCAGGCTCGCCCGCAGTTATCCGGAGGCCTAACCGTCTCCCTGTGATGCTGTGCTTCAGTGGTCACACTCCTAGTCCGCCTTCATGTTCCATCCTGTACACCTGGCTCTGCCTTCCAGACAGCAGTAGTAAATTAGTGAAAATACTAATAGTCCCTGATGTGTAGAAATAATGGCGTAAGCTGTCTTTCTCTTTGTCTCCTCTCCCTCTCTGCCTCGGCTGCCAGGCAGGGAAGGGCCCCCTGTCCAGTGGACACATGACCCACGTGACCTTACCTATCATTGGAGGTGACTCACATTCTTTACCCTGCCCCTTCTGCCTTGTATCCAATAAATAATAGTGCAGCCCGACATTCGGGGCCACTACCGGTCTCCGCGCATTGGTGGTAGCGGTCCCCCGGGCCCAGCTGCCTTTTCTCTTATCTCTTTGTCTTGTGTCTTTATTTCTACACTCTCTCGTCGCCGCACACAGGGAGAGACCCACCGACCCTGTGGGGCTGGTCCCTACACTGGACAACATGGTGAAACCCCCAATATACAAAAAATACAAAAATAAGCTGGGTGAGGTGGTGTGCGCTTGTAGTTCCAGCTATTCGGGAGGCTGAGGTGGGAGGATGGGTTAAGCCCAGGAGGCGAAGGTTGCAATGAGCCAATATCAAGCCACTGCACTGGGCAATAGAGCCAGACCTTGTCTCAAAACATAAAAGGAGACCTGCCTTTGTCTCAGCATCTACCCCCCAAGACTGGAACATGGGGCCACCGCAACTGTCTGCAAAATTCACCTGGATATTAATCCCGCATTGCTTGGTGCCTGTCATCTCTCCTAATATTGCCCTGAAGAAATTATTTAAGCCCTGAGTTGTCAGTTTTAGTCTTATCTCCCAGGATTACCTCAAACTACTAAAGTCTTAACTATGTCTGACACTTGGTATTATTCCAGTAAATACTTTTTCACTCACTCTGCTTCTCCTCTCAGTACCACCAATAGGCCTCTCTACAAGTGATTTCAAAACCCTGGAATCCTGAGGGAGATGCTGATTTACATACAAAAGAGGTTCCCTATAAGAATACTGGAACTTTGCTTTAAAAACCAAGATGTTTATGAAAGCCACATCTTTGAGCAGTAGGAACTCTATTCATAGTTCTTAACCATCTTGGAGGTCCCTAGTTCCAACTTTATACATGGACATACAAAAGCCCTGGCTGCAAACAGCTTGGTTCCCTATTTTTCTATTCATTGTTAAAGTGTTCAACAAAAAGTGTTCCTCCCCCATTGGGTTCCTATTTGCTGTTTTCTAACAAATATGTTTTGGGTATTAAAGACTAGTCCTTTGTTTTCCGCAATTCTAATTATCTCATCAAATGATCTTGATCAAACTACCCTATGTACAATAATATTAAAGCGTCTCAAACTTGACATTTATCCTAAAAATTATTGGAGGGAGCTTATTTAAAACAAAACAAAAACAATAAGGCAAGCCGGGCGTGGTGGCTCACACTGTAATCCCAGCACTTTGGGAGGCCGAGGTGGGTGGATCACCTGTGGTCAGGAGATCGAGACCAGCCCGACCAACATGGCAAAACCACATCTCTACTAAAAAAATACAAAATTAGCCAGGCATGGTGGTGCATGCCTATAATCCCAGCTACTTGAGAGGCTGAGGCAGGAGAACCACACCACTTGAACCCAGGAGGTGGAGGTTGCAGTGAGCTGAGTTCATGCCACTGCACTCCAGCCCAGGCAACAAGAGCAGAACTCCATCTCAAAAAAAAAAGGCGGGGGGGCGGGGGTAGATTCCTAGCTCTTTCCCGAGTCTACTTCAAAAGAACTCGGGTAAAGCCTGGGCATGCATAATTAACGAGTACTCCAGGGGATTCTGAGCAGGTGGTCTGGAGACTACACTTTTTTGGAACACTCTTCTGCAAAGCTTTCATCCTTTATCAAGGGAGTCACCTAGGCTCACCAACTTCTTCCAGCAGGATTCTTTCTCCCTTGTCTTCTATAGTACACTCACTGTGAAAGCAGGGTAGGTTTTGCTGCTGTTGTTTATTCAGGGAAAAGGGGATGAGGAAGAAACAATATTAAAAGGAGAAAGGAAAAGTGGACATTTTGAAGAGCTCCCTCCATTATTTATGTTGCAATTAAAGTATGAAATCTTAACCTTCTTTTTAAAGGTGTGGCCTTTAGGACTATAAGCACTCAATTCTCCACTAAATAAATGCCTTTCTCCACTGAAACCCAAAGCTCCCTTAAGGGTTTCAAAACCTACCATTTAGCCCCAAATGTGGGCAATAATTGGCTGAAAAGTTCACAGATCTTTCAAACCAATAGTCCTTACCTTGCTGTTTCTCCTTTCATTTTTTAGCACTCATTAAAAAACAAAAATAGGGCTGGGCCCGGTGGCTCACGCCCATAATCCCAGCACTTTGGAAGGCCGAAGTGGGTGGATCACGGCGTCAAAAGTTCAAGACCAGCCTGGCCAAGATGGTGAAACCTTGTCTCTACTAAAAATACAAAAATTAGCTAGGCACGGTGGCAGGCGCCTGTAATCCCAGCTACTCGGGAGGCTGAGGCAGGAGAATCACTTGAACCCGAGGGGCAGAGGTTGCAGTGAGCCAAGATCGCGCCACTGAACTCCAGCCTGGGCAACAGAGTGAGACTCCTTCTCAAAAAAAAAAAAAAAAAAAAAGCTGGGTGCGGTGGGTCACACTTGTAATCCCAGCGCTTTGGACTACAAGGTCAGGAGTTCGAGACCAGCCTGACCAACATGGTGAAACCCCATCTCTACTAAAAATACAAAAATTAGCAGGGTGTGGTGGCGTGTGCCTGTAATCCCAGCTACTCGGGAGGCTGAGGCAGGAAAATCGCTTGAACCTGGGAGGTAGAGGTTGCGGTAAGCCAAGATCATGCCACTGCACTCCAGCCTGAGCAACAGAGCGAGACTTTGTCTCAAAAAAAAAAAAAAAAAAAAAAGACACAAAGTAGAATAAGTTTACTTAAGAAATATGCTAAATGATTTCTTTTAAGTGTTCTTGATGGTATGCTTTTCATTCATGGCACTATACCTCACTAAATGTCGTGACCTGCAGTCCCAGCACTTTAGGAGGCCGAGGCCGGATGATCGCTTGAGCCCAGGAGTTCAAGACCAGCCTGGACAACATAATGAGACCTCCATCTCTAAAGAAAAAAAAGTTTTCAATTAAAAAAAAAGAAAAAACATCAGAACATCAGACCAAATCAATTAAGTGAGTTCCAAAGCTTATAAAAAGAGTGACTCTTTTTACTCCCATTGCCATTAAAACCAGGAGTATCAGTAGAATTACATAAAGATCAAATTACTATATAACTTTGTAAATGTAAACTTATGGCACAGGTGAAAATAATAGAATAATCAGACAGGAAGAAATATACATATATATATATATATATATATATATATATATATATATGTATATTTCTTTTTTTTTTTTTTTGAGACAGGGTCTCACTGTCACCTAGGCCAGGGTGCAGTGGCGCAATCTCAGCTCATTGCAACCTCCACCTCCAGGTTCAAGTTGATTCCCCAGCCTCAGCCTCAGTCCCAGAGTAGCTGGGACCAGAGGCATGTGCCACCAAGCCCTGGCTAATTTTTTTATTTCTAGTAGAGACGGGGTTTCACCGTGTTGCCCAGGCTGATCTGGAACTCCTGAGCTCAAAGCAATCCGCCTGCCTCGGCCTCCCAAGGTGCTGGGATTACAAGTGTGAGCCACCGCACCCGGCCAGGAAGGAATATTAATATAATAGACCGTTATCTCTTTTTACCTGCAAACTAAAGGTCTGAGTAACACAATATATTTTAACTAAAGCTAAAAGCCTCTGTATTTCCATTAATTTTCCATTAATTTGCTGTTTGAAGTCTAGATCCATTCCCTATAACCATTTGTCAAAAATAAATAAAATACTTTTAAAAGAAAAGGTAATAAATAAAAATTCAAATTATTAGTATTTTTCCTAAGGCTGCAACACATCTAAATATATTTTTACATTTAACGCAGGCGTTAGGTTTACTTCTAAGAAGGCAATGTTTTCATTTCTTAAAAATTACAGAGATATAAATGGATAAGGACAAAAATCACATGGATCGTGGTGATGGGACTACGGGAAGTTTTCTAACCTGGTAATCTACCACAGGTGAGATAGAACATCACCCAGGTGTCCTGTTCCCTTAAACATGCACCCAGCCGTGGATCATCTGAGGTCAGGAGTTTGAGACCAGCCTGGCCAGCATGGTGAAGCTGGGTGTAGTGGCGGGCACCTGTAATCTCAGCTACTCGGGAGGCTGAGGCAGGAGAATTGCTTGAACCCAGGAGGTGGAGGTTGCAGTGATACAAGATCACGCCACTGCACTCCAGTGCACTCTGGGTGACAGAGCAAGACTGTTTTTTTTTTTTAAATACATAAATAAAACATACATACACCCAGCCTCCAAGCATTTTTCTAACACTGTAGGCTATAAATCCCTCAGTGGCTATAACTCCTCAGTAGCATAGGTCTAAGGAAGGATTTCTACTGCGTTTGCTACCAGCCAAAGGGAAGACTTCTTCCTTTCCCTTCACCCAACTATTAACTCTGGGCTAAAAAGACACACCTGAAGGAAAACGAAGTCACCCCAAGAGCTTCCTGGTTGCTCTCCTCCAGACCCTGGGGTTTCCGGGTCCCCTACCCCTGAGAGAATTAAGAGGAAGATTACAGGGCCACCTTGATGACAAAGATAAGCATTTCCTGATCCCCTTTTCTCAGGACTTCCCTAAACAACTAACATTTAGCAGATTACATTGCTGCTAAAAAATGTTATTTACAACTGGGAGGGAAAGAGGAAGGGGAAATAGGAGAAAAAGGACATTTTTAAAAAGCTATTTTAAAAGATAAAAAGCGTTAGAAATTTCAAGTTTCCCGAGATGTGAAATTTGTCCAACGTCTCATCAACTTCGATTAACACATGCGCTAGCCCACGAGCGTTTTTCGTCATTTCCCAGCGCTGCGTCCCGTTTGGAGGGTCACATCCACGCTGGCTTTAAAAGGCAGGCTGTGACCACGCTGAGCTCAACGAGCTCATCCCCCGTTTAAAAAGATACGTTACTCTCTCCTACCTTCAAGGTTGGACCATGGCCGCCTATCTTTCTCTGTTTCACAAACACAACGGGCAGATCGGTTTCCGCGGCCAATTCCGAGAGCGTTCCTTCCAGGGCCCGACCGTCCTCTGTGTGGCACAAAAGCAGAGCGGAGCGTGTAAGGTGCTTCTCCCCCGCTAACAGGCGGGAACTGCGCCGGGGGCGGGGCTTCCGTCCCGGCCCCGCAGGCACCGCGTGCCCTCTGTTGACTCCCTTGCAAGTTAGCATGACTTGCTGCATTTCTGACAAAGGCTAGAACTCACAATCAAGCTTGGAGTCTGACCCCGGCAAATCCGCACACTGGCTGAAAACATGGCCTCAAGGCTAGCTGTAAACGTCAGAGTTCTAGTCAGGGTTAAATCATTGCACTACTCCGCTAAAATTAAACGTCCTACTTTCCCGGTAAATCCCGAATTCAGAAAAGCTTCAAAAAAGAAGCTTAATACACGTTTATCTCAACTTTCACAAAACACCTCCCAGTTTGATCTTGCTTTCAACTCTGCATCTATACTGAATGCCAAAATCCAACTTCCAACGTTTCCTTGACATTTGAAACCGTGGAGCAAAATTAAGAACACTCTGCCTACCTGGTGCATTCTTAAAAAGAATCCTGAAGCAATACACAACGCTACAGATGAAACTAGGCACTAATGGTAAAATTTCACAAAGGGGTGAACTCAGTGGAACATACAGATTCCACAGTTACACTGACATGAGGCCTATTCATTAGACATAAATCACGCCAACATTCAAAAGTATAGCTGCTTATTTGGGAGGCCGAGGCGGGTGGATCATGAGGTCAGGAGTTCAAGACCAGCCTGGCCAAGATGGTGAAACCCTGTCTCTACTAAAAATACAAAAATTAGTCGGGCGCGGTGGCAGGTGCCTGTAATCCCAGCTACTCAGGAGGCTGAGGCAGGAGAATCGCTTGAACCCAGGGGGCGAAGGTTGCAGTGAGCCCAGATCGTGCCACTGCACTCCAGCCTGGGCGACAGAATGAGACTCCGTCTCAAAAAACAAACAAACAAAAAAAACCAACAAAAAACAAAAAACAAAGTATAGCTGCTTAATTGTAATAATAGTAGCTAACATGTCTATACTGCTTCACATATATTTACATTTCAACTTCACAACCACTCTACAAGTAAGTATTACCAGGCCCAACTTACAGACAGGGAAACAGGTACAGAAAAGCTAAGAAACTTGTCCAAGCTCAAGGAGCTACTCAAAAGCAGCGGCAGGATTCAAACCCAGGCAATGTGGTCGACGCGTTTAATCACTGTCCTGTACTGCCTGAGAGAGTGAGGAAGCCCTGGGGTCGTCGTCGCCGCCCCATTTAATAGTCTGTGTCCAGCTGGGCACGCCACTTGATCTTTCTGAGCCTTGCTTTCCCTACTTGTAAAAACATGGAGACCCCATGTGTTTTGCCAACGTCTCAGGATTTCTGAGGATTAAATGGTGTGAAAATTCCTAGAGAAGCATTCTTACATAGTTATACTTTCTTAATATTCTCAAGGATCTGTCAGTCCACTCAACACATTGTCATCTACATTTCAAGACTCGGACTCTGTAAGAAACGATACAATACCCATTTTCTCCGCTGTTCTGCAAACTGTCTCTACAAAGACCAAGAGGAAGGAAACCGCCAGCCTACAGGCGCCGGCCTCACCTACCACATGACATGCTGAAGCTTTGTGTGACCGGGTCGAAACCGCACACGCCACGAAGCTGCCTGGGTTTGGAAAAGCCTCCCCGTCTGCTCAGACACGCCTTAAAATATCTTCCCTTCCCCGAGACGCACACTGCTGCACCCAGGCGCAATGCTGTCGTCCCCGCCGGCAGGCCGTCCCCCGCGTGCTCCCATCCCTGGGCTCGCGGCTTTGTCTGGTTTCACCCGACGCAGAGCTTACAAGAATTTGAGAATGATGAAGACATCAGGCCCTCCTTCAGGACTCGACCACCTTTCGCTCTGCTGCAAATGCCGGAGTGAAGAAAACTGAGGTGAAAGGGTTGCTGTTTCCTAATGGCTACGAGAAGCCACGCCCTGCGCCGAGCGGGCGGGCTAACTGCCAGAGTCAGAATGACAAAGCAGAAATCCACTCCTCGTGCAGCCCTGGCAACCTATGCTAATTGCCTCGTAAGCTGAGAGCTCCTAATTGGGTGACACCACATCCTCTGCCTGCTCATAGCCGCCCCCAACCTAAGAACAGAGCAAAAACAATTTAAGGCAATTCTGGAACCAAATTTGGAATAAGTGTGTTTTTACTGAAGAAATTAGACTATGCCCTAAGGCAGTAGCTACAGAACTTTGCTAGCTGTTGTCATCACGTGAGGGTCTTTAGAATCCTGGTGCCTGGCTCCCACCCCTAGACATTCTGATGTCATTGGTGTGGAGTGTGACCTGGGCCTCTGCGTTTAAAAAAAAAAAAAAAACTCCAAAGGTGATTGAGTTGGCAGCAAAGTTTGGGACCCACTGCCTTAAGGTCATGGATTAGTCAGTTTGGCAGTTCCCTAAAGGAAGTTATTAGGCTTTTGAAAAGAAATGTCTAGTTCATCCTGACTAATCCTGAAAAGAAATGACAAATTCTTAGGAACACACCTAACTTCCCCTGAGAGCACCTCTTCCTTATTAGATTCTAAGTTTGGTATTTATTGTTTTTTTTAAGAAAAACTCAGAGTGTCTTTTAACTCCAGCTGCACCCAGCCACCTGCAGCTACTAAGGTGAGCCATGCTCTCTCATGCTTCCCTGCTCTTACTCATGTTCTTATTCAGCACTGTGCACTAGCAGGCTATGAATATTTGCTGAATAAATACATAATAACTGAATGAAGGAAGGAAGGAAGGAATGTCTTTCCCACTTCTTTGGATAATGCCAGATTGAAGCACTCTCAGCTGAGAGCGTTGCGGGCTCCTAACAGCCAGCAGAAGCCACACTCCCTCTAAACAAACAGGCAACCACTGCCAGGTCCTGCCAGGCCCTTCCAAGGTGAAACTCAGAGGCTTGATTTAGCTTCTTCACCCTCTAAATGGGCACACACACACACTACACACACTAACTTGACACTTCCCCTGTAAGGTGATTATTGACATGAGTGTTTGATTATTGACATGAGTGTTTCACCTGATTCTGGAGTCCCTAGAACAGAGAATGGATCTAGTACGTGGGTGTTGAGGAAACAATGTGATTTAAGGAGGAAAGAAGGAAAAACATGAAAAGACTGGGTCTAAGGGAGAACAAAAAACATTTACTCCTGGCTCCCAAGCCAAGTTCTGTATTAATAATTTTATATGCCTTTATCTCATTTAGTCTACCGAATGACCCATGAACCAGGGTCATAAACTCCTCATTCTTAGAAATATATTGAAAATACACCTTATTTCAAAAGCATGACTTAGGACACAGAAGGATCATTTAACTTGAAATAATGTACTAAAAGCAAGTAATAAGGATTGATTTGAAGAGGCTTGCCATTAAAAGCATCTTGTATAGACAGCTCAGAGTGATTATAATTAATATTTTCTAACGGCATTCCAAAACAGGCTAGATAAGGCATTTTAACTTCACATTGTTCCTAAGTGAGCAAATTATAGCAAAGATGCCCAGAGTAGCACCATGTAGTTATTTTTCTTTAAATTAAAATCACCATTTTAAAACCATCTTCTTTTCTTTCAAATCCTTCTTGCTGCTGTTAAGAGCCCAGATGCCTTACCCTTGTCGTGAATTCTAGAGGAAAAACTCCTTAGTTCTATTTAGTTGCTGGTTAATGGAAGAAGAACCTCATCTTCTTCCACCATTTCTCATCATGCAGCAATTTATTTATTTATTTGTTTGTTTGTTTGTTTGTTTGACAGTCTCTTGCTCTGTTGCTCTGGCTGGAGTGCAGTGGCGCATCTCAGCTCACTGCAACCTCCACCTCCCTGCTTCCAGCGATTCTCATGCCTCAGCCTCCCAAGTAGCTGGGACTACAGGCATGCACCACCACACCTGGCTAATTTTTTGTATTTTTAGTAGAAATGGGGTTTCAACACGTTGGCCAGGATGGTCAAACTCCTAGCCTCAAGGGATCCGTCTGCTTCAGCCTCCCAAAGTGCTGGGATTACAGGTGTGAGCCACTGTGCCTGGCCGTAGCAAATCATAAACATAAAATGTTTTAATCATACATTTCGCATCTCTTGACTGGGCTCATTCTTCCTTTTCAGAATTATCTTCCCTCCCTAAGGGCCTAGTCCTTCAAAGCTCATCTGAAATGTCACCTCCTCTGGGAGTCTTCCTGGATTTTCACCCAGTGTTAATTGCTCCTTCCCTCTTCTTTGTCCCCCAAATACCTAATAATAATTACAAATCTTCTACAAGAGCTTTGGATAGGCAAACCCTTGTTTATTTTGTCTTTACAGAATCTGGTATATAGTAGGTACTCAGAAAATGCTGGAAATAGACCTCTCTATGTTCCTGAACTGTCATCTAAGCTATAACAAATTTATGCAGGTGTTTGATAAAGGCTCCTATTGTATTAAACTACTGTTCTACCTATAATAAGCCTTTCTCTCATACACACACACACACCATACTGAGCTAGAATGATCTTTCTAACACCTAAATCTTCTTTACTCAAACCTTCAGTAGCTCTCTAGGGCCCTCAATATGAAGTCCAAGCTTCTCAGTCGCGTTGACATGGCAAGGCCCACCCTTGCTGAACCTAGCTGTCCACATATTCTGTACTCCACTTAAAGCAGGAAACATTGCTGAAGGAAACACAGAAATTAAAAGTGATTTCACTTTAAAGTTAAGACCACAAACTTCAAATGTATCCTCAAGGTTGCCCAGCAATCCTTTGCATCCCTGGAATATTTGTTTTCTCAGGATCCAAAATGACCATTTCACACGTATCCCTCTTTCCTCAAACTTCTAATGCCCCTACACCTTGCATTAGCTCATGACCTACTTTCTACTTTAAGAAAATAGCATCAATCAGACAGAACTCCCTTAACCAGCAAGCTGCCATATTCTCTGCCTTCACTCTTATTATTTCCTGATGAGAAAAAAAGTGGTAGGTAGTGAAGTCAGGAGTAGCCAGAGGTCAGACCCATTATCAGGCCACAGTCAGGATTTTGGATTTCATTTTATTTTTATTTATTTATTTATTTTGAGAGAGAGAGTTTTGTTCTTGTTGCCCTGGCTGGAGGGCAATGGCACTATCTCGGCTCACCGCAGCCTCCGCCTCTCAGGTTCCAGTGATTCTCCTGCCTCAGCCTCCTGAGTAGATGGGATTATAGGCATGTGCCACCACGCCTGGCTAATTTTGTATTTTTAGTATAGACGGGGTTTCTCCATGTTGGTCAGGCTGGCCTCCAACTCCCAACTACAGGTGATCCGCCTGCCTCGGCCTCCCAAAGTGCTGGGATTACAGGTGTGAGCCACTGCACCCAGCCTGGATTTCATTTTAAATGTGTTAAGAAGCCAGAGTGTGAGGCCGGGTGCAATGGCTCACGGCTGAAATCCCAACACTTTGGGAGGCGGAGGCAGGTGGATTACGAGGTCAGGAGTGCGAGGCCAGCCTGGCCAACATGGTGAAACCCCGTCTCTACTAAAAATACAAAAATTAGCTGGGCATGGTGGTGGGCGCCTGTAATCTCAGCTACTCAGGAGGTTGAGGCAGGAGAATCGCTTGAACCCAGGAGACGGAAGTTGCGGTGAGCCGAGATCATGCCATTGTACTCCAGCCTGGACAACAAGAGCAAGACTCCGTCTCAAAAAAACAAAAACAAAAACAAAAAAGACAGTGTGAAGAGAAGAGAAGGAAATGATTGTTGTACATTCAAAGAATTGCTGTTATGTGGAGAATAGTGAAGTCCAACTTCACTTGTGTATGGATTCTCATCTTTTATTTCCTTCTTAATATTAATGAACATCACTCTTGAAGTTAGCCTCCCTCTCTGGCATCATCAATTGCTTGTTCTCTACCTGATCATTTACATCATCATACAAATGCATTGTTGTTTTACCATTTTAAAAAAGCCTCCCGACCTGGTGCAGTAACTTACACTTGTAATCCCAGCATGTTGGGAGGCTGAGGCAGGAGGATTGCTTCAGGCCAGCAGTTCAAGACTAGTGTGTACAACATAGCAAGACCTTGTCTCTACAAAAAAAATTATAAAAGTCAGCCAGGTGTGGTGGTACCTGCCTGTAGTCCTAGCTACTTGGAAAGCTGAGGTGGGAGGATCACTTGAGCCCAGGAGTTTGAGGCTGCAGTAAGCCATGATCATGCCACTGCTCTTCAGCCTGGATGACAGAGCAAAACTGTTCCCAAAAAGAAAGAAAAGGCTCTCATGATCCCATGTGCCCCAACCCTTGCAGTTACCACCACCCCATTTCATTGCTCTCCTTCACACACACACACAAAGCTTTTCTGAAAGAGTTCTTTGTACCTTGAAGAAGAATAAAGTAGGGTAGGGAAGTCAGGAAAGATCTCAGAATGTGATGCTTGAGCAGAGCCCACAGTGCTATGAGGGAACAGGCCATGAGAGTACCTAGGGAAGAAATCTTTCTAAGCAGAGGAAAGAGGAGGTACTTGTGAAAGCTGATCATAAAATTGGGTCATTCTTGTCATTCCCAATTAAATCAGAGCCAAGGGGCTAGGGGGAAAAGCACTCAGGGTACAAAACATTGCTCCAAGAATGTAATTCTCTGCAAGCCTGACTGCTGAAACTGCCTGTTGTAACCTGAGACCAGCTTTATCTATAAATGCTAAGAGAACTTGCTGAAACTCTAGGACTAATTTTGCCCACTGCCATCACTCACCAGAGCTTGCTAGCTCCCCAAACCCTAACTAGTCCCAAAGAACTTTCTTGAAGAGCAATATGTAACAGCTCTCCTGTTTCTAAAACCTCTAACCTTCTCTTTGTTCTTCAGACATACTGAAGACCACCCTGTCTGCATATATGCCCCAAATTGCTATTCTTTCTTTCCAAATAAAAAATTTTAATTTAGAGACTTGTCTCACATTTTTATTCTGGCTTCAACATACTAAAGCCCTAAGCTAGGAGTCTGCTTGACTTATCCAAGAATCCACAAAGTAACCAGTATGTCTAAAGCCTAATGAGTGAGAAAAAAAGTGGTAGGAAGTGAGGTCAGAGGAATAGCCAGGGGTCACATCCATCATCAGGCCATAGTCAGGATTTTGGATTTCATTTTAAATGTGGTAAGATGCCAGAGTGTGAAGAGAAGAGAAGGAAATGATTGTTGTATGATAAAATAATTGCTCAGTTGTGTGGAAAATAGGCTAAGGAGGGCAGGGACTTAAAAGTGGAGATATGGCCGGGCTCGGTGGCTCATGTCTGTAATCCCAGCACTTCAGGAGGCTGAGGCGGGCGGATCACGAGGTCAGGAGATTGAGATGAGCCTGGCTAACACAGTGAAACCCCATCTCTACTAAAAATACAAAAAATTAACCGGGCGTGGTAGCAGGCGCCTGTAGTCCCAGCTACTGGGGAGGCTGAGGCAGGAGAATGGCGTGAACCCGGGAGGCGGAGTTTGCAGTGAGCCGAGATCCCACCACTGCACTCCAGCCCGGGCGACACAGTGAGACTCCATCTCAAAAAGAAAAAAAAAAAAAAAAAAAGTGGAGATATGGAGATATACAGACCTGCTAGGAAGTTACTGTCCTGGTCCAAGCTAGAGATGATAAAGGCTGATTAGTGAGGTTAAAAAATACATTTGAAGGTAAAGCTAATTGCACAGATATATGTTGTACAGTTGTACAGATGGATGGAATAAGAGATGTAAGAGAAAGAGAATCAATGATAACGCTAGATTTCTGGCTTTAGCAATGGGGTAAATAATAGCACTCTTCAATGAAAAGCAGGAACACCCAGAGAGGAGGAAGAAAGATGGGAGGTGGGGGAAAACAATAGTTTGGGACAAATCCATAGTATGGGTTAACAGATCTATTATTATCCAAATGGAGAGGTTGACTAAGCAGTTGGATATGTAAGTATGGAGTTCAAGGGAGAAGTCAAGGCTAGAAATAAACATTTGGTGTCAAACATAAAAGATATTTAATACCATGTGTATTAGTCACAGCTCTTCAGAGAAACAGAACCAATAGGATACATGTATATATAGAGAGATTTTTTTCTTTTCTTTTTTTTAAAGAATTGACTCACACAGTTGTGAGGGCTGATAAGTCTGAAAACTCCAAGGCTGGCTGATAGGCTGGAAATTCAAGCAGGCATTGATGTGGCAATCTTGAGACTAACGGTGGTCTGGGTGCAGAATTGCTTCCTCTTTGGGAAACCTCCATCTTTTCTCTAAGGTCTTCAACTAATTGGATGAAGCCCATCCACATTATGGAGGGTCACTAGCTTTACTCAAAGCCTACTGATTTCATTGTAAGTCACATCTAAAAAATACCTTCACAGCAACATCTATGCTTTTATCTGCCAAACAACTGGGCACCGTATGCTAGCCAAGTTGACACATAAAATTAACTGTCACTCCATGGGACTAGATGAAATTACCCAGGAGTTAATGTATTTAGAGAAATAAAGATGGCCCAGGACAGAGCCCTGGCACGCTCAAACTGCAAAAGGGGAAAAGAACCCAGCAATGGAGCCTAAGAAGGAGCTGGCAGGAGGTAGGAGGAAAACCAAGACTGTGTGGTGTCTCAGAAGCCAATGAAGAAGTGCTCCAAAAAGGAAGATCAACTATTTCAAGCACTGCCAAGAAATCCTATAAGGTAAGGGCTGAGTCATGGAGGTCACTTATGAAAATGGTGGTAGGTAAGAAATCCTAATTAGAAGAAGTTCAGCAAGAAACAGAAAATAAGGAAATGGAGGGAGTAAGTATAGGCAACTCTTAAAGGGGTTTTGCTATAAAAACAAAACAAAACAAAACAACAATAGGAAAGGAGCTAAAGAGGGATGTAGGATAGAGGAATTTTTTTTTTTTTTTTTTTTTGAGACAGAGTCTCACTCTGTCACCCAGGCTGGAGTGCAGAGGCACGATCTCAGCTCATTGCAACCTCTGCCTCCTGGGTTCAAGCAATTCTCCTGCCTCAGCCTCTCGAGTAGCTGGGACTACAGGTGCATGCCACCACACCCAGCTAATTTTTGTATTTTCAGTAGAGAGAGGGTTTCACCATGTTGGCCAGGCTGGTCTTCAACTCCTGACTTCGTGATCCACCCTCCTCGGCCTCCCAAAGTGCTGGGATTACAGGGGTGAGCCACCGTGCCTGGCCAGACTTTTTGGTTTTTTTGGTTTGTCTAAGAAGGAAATTATTACAGCATGTTTTTATGCTAAAGGAATAATCCAGTAGAGGGAACTTTGGCAATTTCCAAAGAAGGAGCAAAAAGAGATAATTGCAGAACCAAAGTCTGTTGAATATACCCTTATTATGCAGTGTAGACTTTGAAGTCAAATCCAGGTTCTATTACTAACTGCAAAGCCAAGTTACTAAGCCTCTCTGCTTCTTCATCTTCTTTCTACAAGGCCCTTTGTGGTCCTTCCACCCCTTCATCTCACCCAAACTTCTCCTCAATCCCCATGATTCAGTCATTAGCTTGCTTTCAGTCCCTGTAATTACTGTCCTCCCTCCCACCACAGGGCTTTGCTAACTTCCAAGCATTGAGCAAATCTAGTTTGAACAGGTTTTCCTTGGGAAAACCAACAGAGAAGTCAAATCCCCCTATGAAATGTTCTCATGTTACCATCTATTCTTTCTGCCTAGTACTTACTACAATTGCAATCATACTTTTATGAGTATTTGATCAATGTCCACCTCCCTCACTCTAGAATAGCACAGTCCAAGAGGACTTTCTGTGGTGATGAAAATATTCTAAATCTACACTGTCCAACCCAATAGCCACTCACCACATGTGACTATTAAGTACATAAAAGATGGCTAGTACAGGTGTGGATGTGAAGTTCTAATGTTATTTAAGTTTAATTAATATAGATGTACATAGCCACATGTGAGCAGGGACCAGGATTAGTTATGCTCACCATCATGTTCCCAGCACTTAATATAGTATGCACACATAGTAATTGATCAATAAATAATTGTTGAGAGATTAAATCTGTAAAAATGCAGATATTACTTAGTTAATTTGTATATTCCATCTTTTTCACAGAGAAAAGGAGAAAAAAAAGCTTTTACAAGGTAAATGTTAGGGGGTCCTCAGTTTTATAAAGGTAATTTGGCCTTTAAGAATTTGATCAGAGGCTGGGTGCGGTGGCTCACGCCTGTAATCCCAACACTTTGGGAGGCCGAGGCGGGCGGATCACGAGGTCAGGAGATCAAGACCAGCCTGGCCAACGTGGTGAAACCCTGTCTCTACTAAAAATACAAAAAAGTAGCCAGGTGTGGTGGCGTGCACCTATAGTCCCAGCTACTCAGGAGGCTGAGGCAGGAGAACTGCTTGAACCCGGGAGGTGGAGGTTGCAGTGAGCCAAGACGGCACCACTGCACTCCAGCCTGGGTGACAGAGTGAGACTCCATCTCAAAAAAAAAAAAAAAAAATTAGGCTGGGCGCAATGGCTCAAGCCTGTAATCCCAGCACTTTGGGAGGCCAAGGCGGGCGGATCACGAGGTCAGGAGATCGAGACCGTCCTGGCTAAAATGGTGAAACCCGTCTCTACTAAAAACGCAAAAAATTAGCCAGGCTTGGGGGTGGGCGCCTGTAGTCCCAGCTACTCGGGAGGCTGAGGCAGGAAAAAGGCGTGGACCGGGGAGGTGGAGCTTGCAGTGAGCCGAGATCACGCCACTGCACTCCAGCCTGGGCGACAGAGCAAGACTCCGTCTCAAAAAAAAAAAAAAAAAAAAAAAAAAAAAGAATTTGATCAGAGGCCAGGCATGGTGGCTCACACCTGTAATCCCAGCACTTTGGGAGGCTGAGGCGGGTGGATCAGAAGGTCAGGAGATCAAGACCATCCCAGCTAACACGATGAAACCCCCTCTCTACTAAAAATACAAAAAAATTAGCCGGGCGTGGTTGTAGGCGCCTGTAGTCTCAGCTACTCGGGAGGGTGAGGCAGGAGAATGGAGTGAACCCGGGAGGCGGAGGTTGCAGTGAACCAAGATCACGCCACTGCACTCCAGCCTGGGTGACAGAGTGAGACTTCGTCTCAAAAAAAAAAAAAAAGAATCTTGCCAAAGGTCACAAACCAGGTAAGTGTTGGAGCTGGTATATAAATCCAACTGTGCCTACCTCCAAATCCATTGTTTGTCTTACAATTAAATAATATAGAGTGAGGAACAGGCTAAAAACCGGTAAAAACAACAAGTAAATCCGGTAAACTTGATTTGTAGGGACAAAAAAAAAACCCCGGTAACCTTCTGATAACAAACAAGGAAAATCATCCATGAATCATCCACCCTGAAAACTCTGGAATCTACTGAGGGGACTATGACCTGTAGTCATTCTGTCTTTATTTCTTTTGTTTATTTGTTTGTTTTTTGGAGACAGAATCTTGCTCTGTCATCCAGGCTGGAGTGCAGTGGCACAATCATAGCTCACCACAGCCTCAAACTCCTGGGTTTAAATGATCCTCATGCCTCAGCTTCCCAAGTAGCTGGCCAGAGGCACACACTACCGTGCCTGACTAATTTTTTTTTTTTTTTTGAGACAGAGTCTTACTTTGTTGCCCAGGCTGGAGTGCAGTGGCGCGATCTCAGCTCACTGCAAGCTCCGCCTCCCGGGTTCATGTCATTCTCCTGCCTCAGCCTCCCTAGTAGCTGGTACTATAGGCGCCCGCCACCACACCCAGCTAATTTTTTTTTTTTTTTGTATTTTTAGTAGAGACGGGGTTTCACCGCATTAGCCAGGATGGTCTTGATCTCCCGATCTTGTGATCCACCCGCCTCGGCCTCCCCAAGTGCTGGGATTACAGTCATGAGCCACCGCACCCGGCCTATGCTTCATTTAAAAAAATGTTTTGTAGAGACAGGGTCTCGCTTTGTTGCCCAGGCTGGTATCAAACTCCTGGGCTCAAGCAGTCCTCTCACCTCAGCCTCCCAAAGTGCTGGGATTATAGGCATGAGCCACTGTGCCCGGCTCCCATCTTTATTTCTTATATCAAGCTATATGAAAGACATCTGTTTACATGTCCCCACTCTTAGAACCATCACTTAATGAACACCTCTGTGCCAGGAACTTTACATGTTCTCAGTCATCTCAATAACCCTTTGGGATATATATTATTATCTCCATTTACAGATGAGTAACCCAAGTTTAAGTGACTGTCCCAAGAGCCGACAGCTAGTCCAGGATTTACGCCTGCATGCTCTTCACTCTCCACCACAGTATTATTTACTTGAGGGGTTGGTCTTTCTTACCCTGGCATCTGGCACAGTGCCTTTCCCATAATGGGCACTCACTCAAGCTTCAAATTCAACTGGCACTTCAGCAGGCTTTTGACTGTTAGTGAAGTGGAAAAGAGAAGAAAGGGAGTGTAAGGTGTTCTGGTAAACCAGTTCTGAGTGGTGGTGGGGAGGCCCTGATTTGTAGTATTTGCTAATTTCTGGAGTTGAATACTCCCACTTTGGCTAATTTCAAGCTACCAACCTACTTGCAAAATTCCTTGATGTTTAACAAGGGGTCTCTTGAGCTGGTACGAGCCAGCTCCAGCACACTGCCCAAAGGCTCAAGTCGTCAGGTACAAGTTACTTTCACTTCTCTGTCTTCTCTTCCCAGCAGCTCTCTATACTTACATGTCACTGCAACCTCAGAAGAATAAGGATTGTTCTACCTCTGCTAAAGCTCGCCTTTACCAGAGCACTACAACCTATAACCTATCCCAATTCCAAGTGGTCTTAGGGGACCCCACCTTTCTTCAACATCCTCTTCCTATCTTGTATTCAGGGCCGTTTAAGCCATTCCGCCTTCAAATGTGCCCAGGTCTCCTCTTTTGTAAATCTCTGGGCTAATCCCATAGCATCATCTGGCGTTCTACTAACAAGCAGTATAGCTCAATAGTTATAAGAGCCCGCAATGAAATCACGTAACCTGGCTTTTCTGCTGGCAAACTGTGTGCCCTTAGGCAACTTCTGTTACCTCTCTGTGCCTTTGTTTACTCATCTATAAAATGGTGATAAATACAGTATCTACACTTCATGTGGTGATTGTGGAAAACGAGATGAGTAAATAGATGTAAAGGATGTAAATAGATGTAAAAGACTCAATAGCTTAGTTATTATAATCATTATGTCCTCATGCATGGTATAAATCCATGATGACCTCAGTGTGGTTAGAAGTTTGGATTTTCCCCTTTTACAGGTTGGTCATTCACAGTAACTGTCAACAAAGCATTACAGTGGACACCGATCAAAACTTAACTCAAGGCTGGGTGCAGTGGCTCATGCCTGTAATCCCAGCATTTTGGGAGGCTAAGGCCGGTGGATTACCTGAGGTCAGGAGTTCGAGACCAGCCTGACCAACACGGAGAAACCCCTTCTCTACTAAAAATACAAAATTAGCCAGGCATGGTGGTGCATGCCTGTAATCCCAGCTACTCAGGAGGCTGAGGCAGGAGAATCGCTTGAACCTGGGAGGCAGAGGTTGCAGTGAGCCGAGATTGCACCATTGCACTCCAGCCTGGAGTAGCACATTCATTTTTTCATTTTACTTTTAATTAGCAAGCAGTCTGTGGCTAAGCATGCCATTTTCCGCAGTGCATATATTCTCATTACCCAGAGCTTGTCTTTTCTTGCCAGAAGAAGAAAAACATAATTTTCTTTTTTTTTTGAGATGGAGTTTGGCTCTTGTTGCCCAGGCTGGAGTGCAATGGTGCGATCTCAGCTCACTGCAACCTCTGCCTCCTGGGTTCAAGTGGTTCTCCTGCCTCAGCCACCCGAGTAGCTGGGATTACAGGCATGCGCCACCACACCTGGCTAGAAAAACATAATTTTCTTAAACAACTTGCTAAAAGGAGTGAAAGGAACATGAAAAACCTCTTTAAAAATTAGTGCCTGCATTCTGCATTACATGTACACACATGCGTAATATGCACATGCTAGTACATGCAGAATATTTCCCTTCTGCAATCCATTTGCTTTTGGTCGCTCAGTGTCCCATTTCAATCTTAGAGGAAAGAAAAAGTTTTCAGGTAGAAAACCACTGACCAGAAGTACCTCAAGAGGTACAGGCTCCATTCCAGTCAACTCTCAGATGTTTCATCTCATAAAAGTGCAGATCAACCACCCTCACCACCAGCCAAGGAGTTACATACTAATTAGTAGTGGTAAACAGCTATTAGAACCTAAGATGAAAGAAGTGCCATATAGCTTATTATTATTATTTTTTTTATTATTAATTTTTTTTTTTTGAGATGGAGTCTCACTCTGTTACCCAGGCTGGAGTGCAGTGGCATGATCTTGGCTCACTGCAACCTCTGCCTCCCGGGTTCAAGCAATTCTCCTGCCTCAGCCTACCGAGTAGCTGGGACTACAGGTGCACGCTGCCACGCCCAGCTAATTTTTTTTTGTATTTTATTAGAGACAGGGTTTCACCGTGTTGCCCAGGCTGTTCTCGAACTCCTGAACTCAGGCGATCCACCCGCCTCGGCCTCCCAAAGTGCTAGGATTACAGGCGTGAGCCACCGTGCCCGGCAGCTTATTATTATTAACCTCTAAATTCTTAAACACTATTAGATAGTTGATCTTGAGAAGAACATCCCCCTCTAATTTCTCTGAGAGCCAAAATCCCAGAAGCCCGAGACAGTTGATGGCTACCAGTCGTTAATGGAAAGCTATGGTCACTTCATGGAGCTGGGCCTGAAGGAGCCTTGGATCTTTCTAATGCTCTAGGCCCTGGTTTGAATTGAGAGTGACCTATGTCTCATTAAGAGGCATTCAGACCAATTTCTCCACCCCAAAGACAGATGAGAACCTTATAGTTCTCCACCAGTATATATCTGAATTCCTTTATCTATAGATTTTTTGTTTTTTGTTTGTTTTGTTTTGTTTTGTTTTTGAGATGGAGTCTCGCTCTGTCGCCCAGGCTGGAGTGCAGTGTCACTATCTCGGCTCACTGCAACTCCACCTCCCGGAGAACTCACACCATTCTCCTGTCTTAGCCTCCCAAGTAGCTGGGACTACAGGTGCCCGCCACCACGCCTGGCTACATTTTGTATTTTTAGTAGAGACAGGGTTGCACCGTGTTAGCCAGGATGGTCTGGATCTCCTGACCTCTTGATTCATGTTTTTGTTTTTGAGAAAGCCAGCTGACTATTGCTTTGGGGGCAGGTTTTCTAATCCTCTTCCTCTTTCTTCACCATCACAGGCTTCTGGATGTGCAGGATGGCGCTGGCCTGCAGAAGGCTGCCACGCGCAGGTCGGGGCGGTACTTGCTCTTGAGGATCCTGTGTCTGATGCTGCTGAGGGTGGCGCGAGCATTCTTGTTTTTTTCTGTTGTTTGTATGTTTGTTCTTTTGAGATGGATTCTCACTCTGTTGCCCAGACTGGAGTGCAGTGACGCAATCTCGGCTCACCACAACCTCTGCCTCCTGGGTTCAAGCGATTCTCCTGCCTCAGCCTCCTGAGTAGCTGGGACTATAGGCGCGCACCACCATGCCTGGCTAATTTTTGTATTTTTATTACAGACGGGGTTTCACTACGTTGGCCAGGCTGGTCTCGAACTCCTGACCTTGTGATCCACCCACCTCCGCCTCCCATTAGTGCTGGGATTACAGGCCTGAGCCACCCCGCCCTGCCCGAGCATTCTTGTTAATGGTGGTCTGCATGTAGAAGGTGGCAGGCTTCCACTGGCTGGATCTCTGCTTCACAACTATGAAACCTTTGCCGTGGGCTGCCGGCTCCACGCCCACAGTCTTGCGTTGAATAAGCCCATTGTAGTGGAAGCAGTTGCAGGCCTTCAAGTTATTGGGCATGGTGCTGTAGGTCTGCTTATTCCTCTTGATCAGGAAACTGGAGCAGTGCCAACCACCCGTTGCAGATATGCAGACATGGCGGCTTCTTTCGCAGCCGCAGCCGGAGACTGAAAATTATCTATAGATTTTAAATGCTTTTTTTTTTGAGATGGAGTCTCACTCTTGTCACCCAGGCTGGAGTGCAATGATGTGATCTTGGCTCACTGCAACCTCTGCCTCCCAGGTTCAAGCAATTCTCCTGCCTCAGTGTTAGATATGAGTTCTAAATTTCTTTTCAAAGAATCAATATGTCAGTATGTTCAATTCTTTGCCTTCTACTTTTTTTTCTTTTCTTTTTTTTTTTTTAGGTGGAGTCTCACTCTGTTGCCCAGGCTAGAGTGCAGTGGTGCGATCTGGGCTCACTGCAAGCTCCGCCTCCCAGGTTCATGCCATTCTCCTGCCTCAGCCTCCCGAGTAGCTGGGACTACAGGCGCCCGCCACCACGCCCAGCTAATTTTTTTGTATTTTTAGTAGAGACTGGGTTTCACCATAGCCAGGATGGTCTTGATCTCCTGACCTCGTGATCTGCTCGCCTTGGCCTCCCAAAGTACTGGGATTGCAGGCGTGAGCCACAGCGCCGGGACTTTTGCCTTCTACTTTTAAACTTAACTTCCTCGTAAAGCAACCTTTTCGAGTACCTACTCCACTCTGACTCATTCCGATTATCTGCTCCACCCTTAAGTCATTCCGATTACCTACCCCACCCTGACTCATTCCGATTACCTGCTCTGTCATAATGATTTTTCCCACCAAACCACTCACCCTGTCCCTCTCTTTAAATTAGTGAATTGGAATGTTTAGCCTTTGCGATCTAACCTTAGCCAATAGGGGAAAGACACAGCAGCAGGGGCCACGTGTGTCAGGGATAAGAACCCCTTCCTCTCCCTTATCGAAGTGTGTGCTCACCATTGCTCCGTCTGTAAGGGCGCACCCTTCTATAGAAGTAACTTGCCTTGCTGAGAATTCAAAAGAAAACTTTATATTCCAGTGCTATTTCTTTTGCGGCACCGAAACTTTACTTATAACATCAGCCTCCAGAGTAGCTGGGATTACAGGCACTCGCCACCATGCCTGGCTAATTTTTGTATTTTTAGTAGAGACAGGGATTCACCATGTTGGCCACTGGGATTACAGGGGTGAGTCACCGCGCCTGGCCCTAAATGCTTATTTGCTCTTTCTTAAAGTGAATCCAAATACATCTTTCTTTCTTCTACTTTTTTTTTTTTTGAGATGGAGTCTCGCTCTGTTGCTCAGGCTGGAGTGCATTGATGTGATCTTGGCTTACTGCAACCTCTGCCTCATGAGTGTCAGGCCTCTGAGCCCAAGCTAAACCATCATATCCCCTGTGACCTGCACGTATACATCCAGATGGCCTGAAGCAACTGAAGATCCACAAAAGAAGTGAAAATAGCCTTAACTGATGACATTCCACCATTGTGATTTGTTTCTGCCCCACCCTGACTGATCAATGTACTTTGTAATCTCCCTGACCCTTAAGAAGGTTCTTTGTAATTCTCCCCACCCTTGAGAATGTACTTTGTGAGATCCATCCCCTGCCCACAAAACATTGCTCCTAACTCCACCGCCTATCCCAAAACCTATAAGAACATTTAATGATATGGCCAGGTGTGGTGGCTCATGCCTGTAATCCCAGCACTTTGGGAGGCTAAGGCGGGCAGATCACGAGGTCAGGAGATCGAGACCATCCTGGCTAACACGGTGAAACCCCGTCTCTACTAAAAAAACACAAAAAATTAGTGGCGGGCACCTGTAGTCCCAGAAACTCAGGAGGCTGAGGCAGGAGAATGGCATGAACCTGGGAGGCGGAGCTTGCAGTGAGCCCAGATCGCACCACTGCACTCTAGCCTGGGCGACAGAGCGAGACTCCGTCTCACAAAAAAAAAAAAAAAAAAGAAAGAACTAATGATAATCCCACCACCCTTTGCTGACTCTCTTTTCTGACTCAGCCTGCCTGCACCCAGGTGAAATAAACAGGCTTGTTGCTCACACAAAGCCTGTTTGGTGGTCTTTTCACACGGATGCACGTGAAACTGAGTAGCTGAGATTACAGGCTTGCACCACCACACCCGGCTAATTTTTTTGTATTTTTAGCAGAGACAGGGTTTCACCATGTTGGCCAGGCTGGTCTCAAACTCCTGACCTCAGGTGATCCACCCCCCTCGGCCTCCCAAAGTACTGGGATTATAGGCGTGAGCCACCACACCCGGCTAGTTAATCTTTCAATAATCTCAGGAATATCCTGAGGCTGTATTGCTATAAAGGAGGCTATATTGCCTCCTACTCTGCTTGACAGGATTCAATGTTGACCATTAAGTGGCTTTCCTCCTTCTCGGAGGAAAAACATACATTAGGCCAGTATTTAGTCATTGCCCTTTCTAAGATGGCAAAGTATTTTCCATGTCACTACTATCAAATAATGGCCATATTAAGGTGTTTCTATACTTATGATTTAAACAGGAGACAAATGGACTTACAATGAAAATCCTAGGGCCCTTAAGAATTATGATAAATCTACTCTGCCTTTGCTTTAGAAATGGAACAACAAAGCCTGAATGACAGCACATCTGTTTACAACTTGGTTTATTTTAAGCCCACTGTTGAGACCTATTGCTCAGAAAAGAAGACTTTTGAAAATATTACTGCTCATTGACAGTGCATGTGGTCACTCAAGAGATCTGATGGAGATGTACAAGGAGATGAATGTTGTTTTCATGACTACTAACAAAATCCATTCTGCAGCCCAGGGATAAAGGATTAATTTTGACTTTCAAGTCTTATTATTTAAGAAATATATTTTATAAGGCTATAGCTGCCATAGACAGTGATTCCTCTGACAGATCTGGGCAAAGTAAGCTGAAAACCTTCTGGAAAAGATTCACTATTCTAGATGCCATTCAGAACATTCATGATTCATGGGAAGAAGTCAATAATATATCAACATTAACAGGAGTTTGGAAGAAGGTGATTCCAACCCTTATGAGTAACTTTGATGAATTCAAGACTTCAGTGGAGGAAGTAACTGAAGATATGGTGGAAATAACAAGAGAAATAGAATTAGAAGAGAAGGCCAGGCATGGTGGTGCACATCTATAATCCTAGCACTTTGGGAGGCCAACGTAGGATTGCTTGAGCTCAGGAATTCAAGACTAGCCTGGGCAACATAGTGGGACCCTGTCTCTACAAAAAAAATTAAAAATTAGCTGGGTGGGCTGGGCGCGGGGGCTCACACCTGTCATCCCAGCACTTTGGGAGGACAAGGCAGGCGGATCACGAGGTCAGGAGATCGAGACCATCCTGGCCAACATGATAAAACCCTGTCTCTACTAAAAATACAAAAAAAATTAGCTGGGCATGGTGTCGCGTGCCTGTAGTCCCAGCTACTTGGGAGGTTGAGGCAGGAGAATTGCTTGAACCTGGGAGGCAGAGGTTACTGTGAGCCGAGATCGCGCCACTGCACTCCAGCCTGGGGACAGAGCAAGACTCCATCTCAACAACAACAACAACAAAAATTAGCTAGGTGTGGTAGCATGTGCCTGTAGTCCCAAGTACTTGAGAGGCTGAGGCAGGAGGATCACTTGAGCCCGGGAGGTTGAGGCCACAGTGAGCCATGACTACATCACTGCAGCACAGCCTGGGTGGCAGAGTGAAACCCTGTCTCAAAAAAAAAAAAAAAAAAGAAAGAAACACAGAAAAAGAAGAAAAAAAGAACCCACAAAAAATAGAGTCTGATGACATGACTGAATTAATGTAATCTCATGTAAAATTTGAATGGATGAGGAGCTGCTTTTTATGGATGAGCAAATAATGTTTTTCTAGAAATAGAATCTACTCCTGATGAAGATGCTGTGAACATTGTTGAAATGACAACAAGGGCTGGGCACAGTGGTTCACGCCTATAATCCCAGCACTTTGGGAGGCCAGGCGGGCCAGATTACCTCAGGTCAGGAGTTTGAGACCAGCCTGGCCAACATGGAGAAACCCCATCTCTACTAAAAATACAAAAATTAGCCAGGCATGGTGGCAGGCGCCTGTAATCCCAGCTACCCAGTAGGCTGAGGCAGGAGAATCACTTGAACCCGAGAGGCAGAGGTTGCAGTGAGTTGAGATAGTGCCTGGGCAAAAAGAGTGAGACTCTATCTCAAAAAAAAAAAAAAAAAAGAAATGACAACAACGGATTTATAATATGACATAAATTTAATTGATAAGCAGTGGCAGGGTTTGAGAGGATTGGTTCCAGTTTTGAAAGAAGCTCTACTGTACGCCAGGTGCGGTGGCTCACGACTGTAATCCCATCACTTTGAGAGGCCAAGGCGGGTGGATTACATGAGGTCAGGAGTTCGAGACCAGCCTGGCCAATGTGGTGAAACTCCGTCTCTACTAAAAATACAAAATTAGCCAGGCGTGGTAGTGCAGCCTGTAGTCTCAGCTACTCAGGAGGCTGAGGCAGGATAATTGCTTGAACCTGGGAGGCAGAGTTTGCAGTGAGCCGAGATCGTGCCACTGTACTCCAGCCTGGGGACAGAGTGATACTCTCTTTCTTTCTTTTTTTTTGAGACGGAGTCTCGCTCTGTCACCCAGGCTAGAGTGCAGTGGCGCGATCTCAGCTCTCTGCAAGCTCAGCCTCTCGGGTTCACGCCACTCTCCTGCCTCACCCTCCGGAGTAGCTGGGACTACAGGCGCCTGCCACCATGCCCGGCTAATATGGGTGGGTTTTTTTTTTGTATTTTTAGTAGAGACGGGGTTTTACCATGTTAGCCAGGATGGTCTCCATCTCCTGACCTCGTGATCAGCCCACCTCAGCCTCCCAAAGTGCTGGGATTACAGGCGTGAGCCACCGCACCCAGCCAGTGATACTCCATTTCAAAAAATAAAAATAAAAAATAAAAGAAAGAAAGAGAGAGACAGAGAGAAAGAGGAAGGGGCCGGGTCCAAGTGGCTCACACCTGTAATCCCAGCACTTTGGGAGGCCAAGGTAGGTAGGTGGATTACCTGAGGTCAGGAGTTTGAGACCAGCCTGGACAACATGATGAAACCCTGTCTCTACTAAAAATATAAAAAATTAGCCTGGCGTGGTGGCAGGTGCCTGTAATCCCAGCTACTCAGGAGGCTGAGGCAGGAGAATTGTTTGAACCCGGGAGATGGAGGTTGCAGTGAGCCCAGATTACGCCATTGCACTCCAGCCAGGGCAACAAGAGCAAAACTCAGTCTCAAAAAAAAAAAGAGAGAGAGGAAGGAAGGAGGGAAGGAGGGAGGGAGGGAAGGAAGGAAGGAAGGAAAGAAGGAAGGAAGGAGGGAAGGGAAGGAAAGGGAAGGGAGGGAGGAAGGAAGGAAGGAAGAAAGGAAAGAAAGAAAGAGAAAGAAAGAAAGAAAGAGAGAAAGAAAGAAAGAAAGAAAGAAAGAAAGAAAGAAAGAAAGAAAGAAAGAAAGATACCATCACATCTAGGAACACCTATCATGATATCAACACCATGAACATTATACATAAGACAGGTGGGGCAGGTCATGGAAGGTTCTACGGGATAGTCTCAGAAAAAAGAAAGAAAGGAAAGGAAAGGAAAGAAGGAAAGGAAGAAGTAAGGCAGGCTGGGCATGGTGGCTCATGAGACTCCAGCTCTACAGAAAATACAAAAATTAGCTGGGTATGGTGGCACATACCTGTACTCCCATCTACTCGGGAGGCTGAGGTGGGAGGATTGCATGAAGCCAGGAGTTCAAGGCTGCAGTGAGCCAAGATCATACCACTGCACTATAGCCTGGGCAATAGAGCAAGACAGACAGACAGACAGAAAGAGGAAAGAAAGAAAGAAAGAAAGAAAGAAAGAAAGAAAGAAAGAGAAAAGAAAATAAAGAGCTATATATAAAGGTTTCTTCCTATTATTATTAATTATTATATTATTTTTTTTTTTTTTTGAGAGGGAGTCTCACTCTGTTGCCCAGGCTAGAGTGCAGTGGCGCGATCTCGGCTCACTGCAAGTTCTGCCTCCCGGGTTCAGGCCATTCTCCTGCCTCAGCCTCCCAAGTAGCTGGACTACAGGTGCCCGCCACCAGGCCTGGCTAATTTGTTGTATTTTTATTTTTTATTTTTATTTTATTTTATTTTATTTATTTATTTTTGAGACGGAGTCTCGCTCTGTCGCCTGGGCTGGAGTGCAGTGGCTCGATCTTGGCTTATTGCAAGCTCCGCCTCCCGGGTTCACACCATTCTCCTGCCTCAACCTCCCGAGTTGCTGGGACTACAGGTGCCCGCCAACACGCCCGGCTAATTTTTTGTGTTTTTAGTAGAGACGGGGTTTCACCCTGTTAGCCAGATGGTCTTGATCTCCTGACCTCGTGATCCGCTCGCCTCGGCCTCCCAAAGTGCTAGGAGTACAGGCGTGAGCCACCGCGCCCGGCCCTGTTGTATTTTTAGTAGAGACAGGGTTTCACCGTGTTAGCCAGGATGGTCTTGATCTCCTGACCTTGTGATCCGCTTGCCTCGGCCTCACAAAGTGCTGGGATTACAGTCGTGAGCCGCCACGCCCAGCCAACTAATTTTTTTTTTTTTTTTTTTTGAGATGAATTCTCGCTCTGTCACCAGACTGGAGTGCAGTGGCGTGATCTCAACTCACTGCAACCTCCACCTCCCGGGTTCAAGCGATTCTCCTACCTCAGCCTCCCTAGTAGGTAGGACTACAAGCATGCGTCACCATGCCCAGCTAATTTTTGTATTCTTAGTAGAGACAGGGTTTTACCATGTTGGCCAGGATGGTCTCGATCTCCCCACCTCGTGATCCACTCACCTTAGCCTCCCAAAGTACTGGGATTACAGGCGTAAGCCACCGCACCGGGGCTCTTCCTAGTATTATTATCCCATGAGGAAAATGAACAGGCAATTCAGATAATGAAATACAACACAGTGACTACAATTTAGATAGTCCCAGCTACTTGGAAGGCTAAGGTGGGAGGACCACCTGAGCCCAGCAAGGTACACATAGGAAATACAACATACAGGAAAAAATATTGTGCCTCATTAATAATCAAAGTGATACAAATTAAGATAAAGAAATCTGTTTTTACCTCTCCAATAGGCAAATAATGATTTTTAAAAACCTATTATTATTTCTTTTCTTTTTTTTTTTTTAAGATTTTGTGTGGGACTGGCTCAGTTTGTCCAGCCAGATCACTTTTTTTTTTTTTTTTTTTCCACCGGGGCGTTCCTGAGTTTATTTGGGGCACACCCGGACGAGGGCCCTGCACCTAGAAGAAGGTGTTGGGCCTCTTGGTGGTGAAGCGTGGCTTGTGCTGACGGCGCAGGACCCGGTGGGGCAGCGGGAACTTGATCTTGGAGTCGTGGAACTGCTTGACAGCCGGCCGGCGGCACTTGCTGGCCGCGATCTCCTCCACCTTCATGATCTGAATGGAGTGGGCTCGGGCGCGGTGCCGGGCACCCATGTCTCGGTAGCACTGGGTGACAGCGCCTGCGGTGGTCAGGTCCCGGTATTCCCGGTACATGTTGTGGGTGCCGCTCCGGGAGTCATAGCGCAGCCAGATCCTGAAGTTCTTCACCCGCAGGGGGGACTTCTCAAACACCTGCCCACAGTAGACAATCTCCCCTGAAGACTTCTTCATCTTCTTTAACTGAGATACAAAGTACCAGAAGCGGGACTTGGCGACGACATGATTAGGCGCAAAGATTCGCATGCGGTAGAGGGGCGGCGTGTGGCATTTGGGGGTGGGCAGGCAGCGACCCACTACCTTGTACTCTCGTAGCGTGCCCGAGGCCTTCATGGCGTGCTCTCCGCGTTCGCCGCCACCCGCAAAAGGAAGTTTTTTTTTTTTTTTTTTTAAGACGGAGTCTCACTCTGTCACCAGGCTGGAGTGCAGTGGTGTGATCTCAGCTCACTGCAACCTCCACCTCCCGGGTTCAAGCGATTCTCCTGCCTCAGCCTCCCAAGTAGTTGGGACTACAGGCGCATGCCACCACGCCCAGCTAATTTTTGTATTTTTAGTAGAGACGGGGTTTCACCATGTTGGCCAGGCTAGTATTGATCTCTTGACCTCATGATCTGCCTGCCTCAGCCTCCCAAAACACTGGAATTACAGGCAGGAGCCACTGCACCTGGCCCAAAACCTATTATTATTTCTTACTACTAAGTACAGGGAACTCTTTGAGCTTATGAAGTTATTAATTAGTACACACCATTTAAAGGGCTCTAGAACCTTAGAATTGTTCATACTCTGACCCATAAATCCATTCCAGTAATCTATCCTAAGAAAATAATTCTAAATACAGCAAAAACTTCACGTACAAAGAAAAACATTTCTAACCTATTATTCCACAATAGCAAAAAATTGGCAATAGACTGTCCAAATATAGTAGAATGGCTAAGTAAATACATGGACTATTTTGTAGTCATTGAGAAAATTAAGAACTTATATAACATGTAAAATATTAAATAATAAAACAGAACAGAGTTTACAAAAAAGACATAAAATATTAATAGTGGCTATCTCTGGATGCAATTATATGTGATTTTTTGTATTTTATTATACTGTGGTCTCCAAATTTAAAAAAATTAACATTTTTATAGACAAAACCAAAATGCTTAAAGAATATTTTGAGCCTCATTCATAAAATAAATAGAACAACCTCCCATGTCTCCTCATTCGCTATGGGAGAAAGCCTCTTTACTTTTCAACTCTTAACCTCTCATCGTTCTCTGCCCCAGGCCTTGCCAGTTTTGCTCTAAATGAACATGCCATGATGTTTTCTAAGTTGCTTTTGTTTACAGCTTTAAATGTCTTACCCACTACCTTTGTCCACCCGTGATCCTACAGCCTTTAGAGATACCAGATTACACTGAAATTGGAAGTGAGGCAGAGGCAAACAAGTAAAATGATCTTAAAGAATGAGGTTGTGCCTTACTCATCTTTTCTCTCCTGCCAGTGCTTGGCATATAAATAGGTGCCCAAAGCAAATCTGTTGAATGAGTAAGTATCAATACCAAAGTGGTGAGAACTGAGCTAGCTAGGGTACCTCTGCTTGTGAGGGGTTTTTATTTGTTCAAGGAAAACAATGCCAAAGAGGCAACTAGGGAAGCAGACAGGCCTGGGCTTGACACAGCAACATTGAGCAAGTTATTCAAATGCTGAGCATCTGCTTCCTCACAACAACAGAATTAATTCCAACAACCACACAAAGCTGTTGTGAGGATTAAGTAAGAGAGATATGAGACACTGCCATAAAAAGAAACTCAAATATTAGTTCCTCTCCCTCTTGCTGAAGGCATTAAAGCCATGTCCTCCATAAGCAGCCAGGAGACATGAATAATACACATCAGAACCCCTAAGCTAGTGACATGTGGCATCCAGATGCACACTTTTGGCAAACTCCTGAAATCTTATGTCTGTTTTCCACATTTATAGCTATAGAATGTCAGCAGCTGCCAGACCAAATTAAGATGATTACACTGATGTTGTCTGTTCCTTAGATCAAAGCTCCTAGGAAGACACCTGAAGTATAGATACAAGTCTTTGTAAATCAACAGGCCCTGTGAGTGGCAGCTCATCCACAGGGATAGCCAAGATGTGTGTAGCTGGCATGGTGGCAGATTGTACAACCTCTGCCACCAAACACACCACCACATGTGTGTGCAACAGACACCATCACATCTAGGAACACCTATCATGATATCGACACCATGAACATTATACATAAGACACTGGGGGCAAGTCATGGAAGGTTCTACGAGATAGTCTCAGGAAGTAGTGGGAGGGGCCACGAATTGCCAGTAGGTTCACTAGAAAGCCAGCCACCCTGTATACTAATACTTTACTATGTTTTTATTTCCTCATCATAAGAAGGTGATATCACCACCTACCTGATTGGTGGTATTCTGAAGATTAAATAGGAGAACATGCATGAGCCTCTGGCACAAGGAGGATAGCATGTATGACTACTACCACTACCTACACACAGGACATGAATGCCAGGCCTCCCGGTTCTGAGTTTCTCTCTCCAATACCAATCTCAGTAGAACTCAGTGGACCCTGATGGTTGTTTTCAAATAATAACCTTAATTTATGTAGACTGGCCAAAATACAGCCAAAAGAAGGAAGAAGAAAATGTTAGGGTGAAGAGAGAGGATCCCCTGGTAGCACAACTTCTCTTCTTGATTTTCTGTGAGAGGTGATACTATTGCAAACACAGGAATTCATGGGGCACTCACTCCATTACCAATCCAGTTAGGCAGTACACAGGCCCTCAACTCTAAAGGAAAATAAAAGGAATTTGCTGGGAAAAAAAAGAAAAAAAAAACACAAACAAGTCTAATTCCTTTAGACAGGAAGCACACCTGCCTAGTATACTACTGTATTCCCAGTGCTTAGTATACAGAGCCTAGTGCACAGCAGGCACTCAATAAATATGCTGAATGAATAAATGCACCCATGTGATTCTATGCCAAATACTCCTGTCTACCAATTGATCTTCTGACTTTTTAAATACCCACTATGATCCAGGCCCTGGGAAGATTACGTAGCCAACACTGGTGTGAAAATCATGCCTATGGAGGGTTCTTTTGGAACCCAGAAGAAACAGATAAAGGAGGTGTTTATTCATGAAACCAGCACTTAGAAGACTGCATCAGCAGTTCCAGCTCCATGATTACAAGCTCCTCGAAGACATGAACCAGATCACACCTCTCCTGTGTGGCTAAGGCCAACTGCACATGTAGAACGGTGTTCCTCCTATGCTTGGGACAAATAAATCTCACAAAATCAAAACTGTGTTAATATTCATGCTTCCTACTTGCCTTAGAACGGGGTGTCAAACTTGGTCTTTTTTTTTTTTTTTTTTTTTTTTAATACAGAGTCTTGCTCTTGTTGCCCAGGCTGAAGTGCAATGGCACAATCTCAGCGCACTGCAACCTCCGCCTCCTGCGTTCAAGCAATTCTCCTGCCTCAGCCTCCTGAGTCGCTGGGATAATAGGCGCCCACCACCATGCCTGGCTAATTTTTGTATTTTTAGTAGAGACAGGATTTTGCCATGTTGGCCAAGCTGGTCTCGCGCCTGTAATCCCAAAAGTTTGTGAGGCCGAGGCAGGTGGATCACCTGACATCAGGAGTTTGAGACCAGCCTGACCAACACGGTGAAAACCTGTCTCTACTAAAAACACAAAATTAGCCAGGCATGGTGGCACATGCCTGTAATCCCATCTACTTGGGAGGCTGAGGCAGGAGAATTGCTTGAATCCAGGAGGCAGAGGTTGCAGTGAGCTGAGATTGCACCTTTGCTCACTGAGCTGAGAATGCACTTATTTCGTCTCAAAATAAATAAACATAGTGAGAAGACTGGCATTGTTTCACATTTTTTTGAATTTTTTTAGCATTGGTCCTAATAAAAAACAACTAGATTCCCATATTTGCTTCTGGATTAATTTGTTGCAATATACGTTGTTTTGGCAGAAGTAAATGAAAAATCCAGTCTCACACAGAAAAGTAGTTGGAAAAGGAGAAATTTAATAGATTTTTCAGTCACCGCACCTCCCCACTGGCAACACACATTTAAAAAAGATAAGAATAGTCTGAAAAATGATAGAGAAAGTAAAGAGGACATTTAAGAAAGAACAAGGGGGACGGGCATGGTGGCTCACGCCTGTAATCCCAGAACTTTGGGAGGCCGAGGTGGATGGATCACCTGAGGTCAGGAGTTCAAGACCAGCCTGACCAACATGGAGAAACTCTGTCTCTACCAAAAATACAAAATAAATTGGCCGTGGTGGCGCATGCCTGTGATCCCAGCTACTCTGGGGGCTGAGGCAGGAGAATCGCTCGAACCCTAGAGGTGGAGGTTGTGGCAAGCCCAGATCGTGCCATCGCACTCCAACCTGGGCAACAAGAGCAAAACTCCATCTCAATTAAAAAAAAAAAAAGAAAGAAAGAGCAAGGGAAGTATAACTGGGGAACCACCGGGACAAAAGTCAATTCATAATCCAATGCTTATTTTCTGGGACTGAAAATAAAGTTCATACATGTATTAAATCACAGACTCTTAAAACTTCCTTAGCCACTTACTAACAGATTTAGAAATAAAACATCTGCCATTTGTTACCAAAAAACACAAGTTTTCCACATTCAGAGAGTAAATCCTTACAAATCATGCTCCCCAAGCACTTAGTGCATTCATCCTGCCCATCTCTTCCGATGTTACCTCCTTTACCTTTCCCATCCTTGAAGGACATGTTCATTTGCTTTATCTTATATTAGTTTAATTTGCTTGTTTGGTTATTGTTCCGTTTGGTTATTTTTCCCTAATTCACAGCAAGTTGCAAGTGACTTAAGTTTCCCAGGAAAATTTATATTTTTATAAAAGGCTACTTTTGGACCCAGAAGAAATTTTATTTATTGAGATTACCTTTCATACTATGGAGTATTTAGGGGCAAGAGCCTTCCTTGATGAAGGAATAGAAGGGTCACCGTAGAGGAGCCAGACAACATGGTATTATGGAAATAACACAGGCTTCAGAATTACATGGGCCTGTGTTCAAATTATAGATCCAGTATTTATATGAAGTTAGGGAAGTTTTCTGTTGTTGTTGTTTTTTGTGTTTTTTTTTTGTTTGTTTTGTGAGATGGAGTTGTGCTCTTGTTGCCCAGGCTGGAGTGCAATGGTGTGATCTTGGCTCACCGCAACCTCTGCCTCCCGGGTCCAAGCAATTCTCCTGCCTCAACCTCCCGAATAGCTGGGATTACAGGCATGAGCCACCATGCCCGGCTAATTTTGTATTTTTAGTACAGACGGGGTTTCTCCATACTGGTCAGGCTGGTCTTGAACTCCCGACCTCAGGTAATCCTCCCGCCTCTGCCTCCCAAAGTGCTGGGATTAGAGGCATGAGCCACCATGCCCGGCTAATTTTGTATTTTTAGTACAGACGGGGTTTCTCCATACTGGTCAGGCTGGTCTTGAACTCCTGACCTCAGGCAATCCTCCCACCTCCACCTCCCAAAGTGCTGGGATTACAGGCGTGAGCCACTGCACCGGGTCAATGTTAAGGAAGTTAATTGACTTCTCTGGGATTCAATTTCCTCATTTATAAAATATAGAGAATATCTCCCTTGCTGAGTTCATGTGAGGATAGGTGACTATACTTAACCCAGCATAGTCCATGTAAAACAGGGACTAACACTCTATATATGGTAGTTATTATGTGATGCTCTCTGTGTTAGAGAACCTGTCTTTAGAAACATCAAGTAATATGTCTTGCCACACAACTACCTCCTTCCTCCTGACCCTAGAAATGAAACTTATGGCCGGGCGTGGTGGCTCACACCTGTAATCTCAGCACTTTGGGAGGCTGAGGCGGGCGGCTCACCTGAGGTCAGGAGTTCGAGACCAGCCTCAACATGGAGAAACCCCATCTCTACTAAAAATACAAAATTAGCCAGGCGTAGTGGTGCATGCCTGTAATCTCAGCTACTCAGGAGGCTGAGGCAGGAGAATTGCTTGAACCTGGGAGGCGGAGGTTGCGGTGAGCTGAGATCGCACCATTGCACTCCAGCCTGGGCAACAAGAGCGAAACTCCATCTCAAAAAAAAAAAAAAAAAAGAAATGAAACTTATATGCCAATTGTTCATATCTCCCAATTGCCATATATCTTTCTCTGTCTAGTTGAATCCTTTCTTTGTTGTTGCTGTTGTTGTTGTTGTTGTGGTTCTGAGACAGAGTCTCACTCTGTCACCCAGGCTGGAATGCTGTGGTGCGATCTTGGCTCAGTGTAACCTCTGCCTCCTGGGTTCCAGCAATTCTCCTGCCTCAGCCTCCCAGGTAGCTGGGACTACAGGTGCACACCACCACACCCAGCTAATTTTTTTTATTATTTAGTAGAGACAGGGTTTCACCATATTGGCCAGGCTGGTCTCAAACTCTTTACCTCAGGGAATCCAGCCACCACAGCCTCCCCAAGTGCTGGGACTACAGAAGCGAGCCACCATGCCAGGCCCTTTCTTTGTATTCCTTTGGAGACTGAGCAGAAGCTGTCAATGCCCAGGACTCTGCTTCCTTAAAGCTACTAGGCATGAAGTTTACCTCCTCTTCCTAATCTGGAAGAGCCCACTTTTCCTAATAGAAATGATGGTGCTGGCCACTAGCAGATCCTTTTTGTTTTTCGATACAAGGTCTCACTCAGTAATCCAGGCTAGAGTGCAATGGTGCAATCATAGCTCACTGTAACCTTGAACTCCTTGGCTCAAGCAAACCTCCTGCCTCAGCCTCCTGAGTAGCTAGAACTATGGGCTCATGCCACTGTGCCTGGTTAACTTTTTAATTCTTTATTTTTGTAGAGACAAGCTCTCACTCTTGCCCAGGCTGGACTCAAACTCCTGGCCTCAAGCGATCCTACTACCCTGGCCTCCCAGTGTGTTGGGATTAGAGGCATGAGTCACCAACAGGCCTAGATTAGATTCTTAATAATGTTTGTCTGTGAGCCCTTGGGATTTTCTGACCCACAAAAAAGGAGCACCATGGTCCTAGAAAGAAGCTTTCCATTTTACTCCACCAATCTTTCTCTCCCTGGGATTTCCCAGTAGCACTTTTCATGGATCTTTCACCTTTACTGATCTTTGTATGTCCCTGCCAAAATTTCTGAATGCATCTCAGTTTATATTTAATTCAAATACTATTTGTATTACTTATCAGAAAGGAGACAAATTTGCAAAAGTAAAGTTACCATAAAACCAGCAAATACTGTATCTGTAACTAGATTCATGAGTAATAAGAAGAATAATTTCAATAAGAGGAAACTCTGGGTAATACCAAGGCTATACACTAGGTAAAGGCTAAAGGTGAATATGATTAGCTCCAGGAGAGTACCCTGTCTAAAAGACCAAAAAGAAGAATCAGCTAGCAAGTGCTCACTAAACAATAAAAACCTCAAGGAAGACAAATTAAAGCCAGATAGAATAAATGAGATAAAATGTACAGTCAGCAGCTATGATTTACATATTAAACAGAAACTTACCTGTTTGATCAAGTTCAAGCACAAAATAAGGAACACACAGAGATTTAAATAACTTCTTTACCTGGAAGAAGTTGAAAAACAAGGAGGAAAATGAAAAATGAGGTTATAACCAACAAGAGAATCTCTTATCCAGCTTTGTTACTTCCTTCCTCAACCAGCCTTCACCTTTGAAAACTTTCCAATTCACTTTTATGTAACCCATAAGATTCTCCCTGTTGACAGAAATGATATTTACAAGAGTATCTGAAGTCTGTTGATTCTATTCAATTGTCAATGATTCATCTGTATCGCTTCATAAGATACATTTTATATGTTTAGTGACTCAGTCTACCTCATTATAAAATGGGTTTAATACTATGTTTAAAAAAGCAGGCCGGGTGCGGTGGCTCACGTCTGTAATCCCAGCACTTTGGGAGGCTGAGACGGGTGGATCACCTGAGGTCAGGAGTTCAAGACCAGCCTGGCCAACATGGGGAAACCCCGTCTCTATTAAATATACAAAAAAATTAGCCGGGCGTGGTGGTGGGCACCTGTAATCTCAGCTACTCGGGAGGCTGAGGCAGGAGAATCACTTGAACTCAGGAGGCGGAGGTTGCAGTGAGCCAGGATTGTACCACTGCACTCCAGCCTGGGCGACAGAGTAAGACTCTGTTTCAAAAAAAAAAAAAAAAAAAAAGCATTGGAACACTTAATGTTTCCAAAGCATTATGTGGCAAACCTGGGAAAAATATATTCTACAATAGTTAAAGTATTATTTCTTTTTTGGCTGAGTAACCCTCAACCAATAAATCAGTTACAAAAAACCTATTATGCTCTGAGACTATTAAATAAAACAAACAAACAAAAAATCTTATGCTCATGGTTATACAAATTATACTGGTAAAAAACAAAATTTTATTTAAAAGTTACTTATACTACTAGATAACATTTAAACTACTGACACAAGAGACTTTTATGTACAAGACACAAACAGCCTGTCAATAATTTAGGAAAGTTTAGAACCATATTCCTCCAGTTATACAATAAAATTTAAAAGGCCAGAGTAGCCTGAAGTTCACAGAGATGATCAATGAGGAAAATGATTCTTGAAAAAAAAAAAAAAAGAAAAGAAAATATATTCTCATCTCATTCTAAACTTAACTACTAAAACAGTACTTCCTATTGTATGGAAGTACACTCGGAGATTTCTATCATTTCTATAGGACCAAATTCAACATTTTGATAAAATGGGAAAATATGTTCATTCATACAACCTCATTAGTCTTCTTTTTCTTTCTTTTTCTTTTTCTTTTTTTTTTTTTTTGAGACAGAGTCTCACTTTGTCACCAGTGGAGTGCAGTGGCACTATCTCGGCTCACTGCAATCTCTGCCTCCCCGGGTTCAGGCGAGTCTCCTGCCTCAGCCACCCAATTAGGTGGGGTTACAGGCATGCGCCACCACACCCAGCCAATTTTTGTATTTTTAGTAGAGACGCGGTTTCACCATGTTGGCCAGGATGGTCTCTATCTCCTGACCTCGTGATCTGCCCACCTCGGCCTCCCAAAGTGCTGGGATTACAGGCATGAGCCACCATACGCAGCCAGTAGCCTTTTTCTTAAACTCTTTTAGATGTCACCTAAGCCCCAGTCTGAATCTGAATTCAGTTCCCCCCACCACTCTGAAATAGCTATAAGAAATAAATATTGCAATTCTGAAAAGGTGGAGAGGGATTATCTTTGCACTTTAAAACCTCTTCACAGCAAGATGCACGCAAAACACATATGGTAACTAATGTGTTATGCAAGAGCGGAAAGCTACCTTTACGTAGACGTTAGTTTCCTTATGGGCACTTCCCACCTTGAATTAATGCAAATGACATTACTCATCCCATAGAGAAATACACATTCATCAGACCAAGTACAAATATAAAAACAAAGTTTCTCTATTCTGATTTACTCATATCCCAGTTGTTAAATGAGATGATTAAATAAAAACTAAAGAAAATAACCTGGGAAAATTCTACTTCAAGGTAATTTAAATAAATAAATAAATGTGAACAGCTAAGTATATGAGTTGTACACCCTCAGAAGAAATTCACCACTTTACCAGGAAAAGCACCTAATCATCTTTCATGGCCAAAGACATCGAAAATTAATTTCCAAATTAACTGGCACCAATCTGAAAACAATCTGAAATCAACAAGGTAAAACCAGGGGATGTTTATCTAGAAGACTTGACATACCCAGGGATTGTTTGGATAATGATATTAAATAAATTTGCCAGGATGACTATATGTTGTTGTTGTTGTTGAGACAGTTTCACTTTTGTTGCCCAGGCTGGAGTGCAATGGTGCGATCTTGGCTCACTGCAACCTCTGCCTCCCGGGTTCAAGCAATTCTCCTGCCTCAGCCTCCCTAGTAGCTGGGATTACAGGCATGCATCACCAAGCCCGGCTAATTTTTGTATTTTTAGTAGAGACGGGGTTTCTCCATGTTGGTCAGGCTGGTCTCCTGACCTCAGGTGATCCGCCCGCCTCGGCCTCCCAAAGTGCTGGGAGTACAGGTGTGAGTCACTGCGCTCGGGCAACTGTATGTTTAAATAAGCATGCAAATAACTAACCAACAAATGTTATAGGAAAAGTTCTTCATTCCCAGGCTAGTTTTAATTAAGTAAAACTGGGGGAAATATAGGCAAGGCTTTACATTTTCAGGGATAGGCAGGAGAGCTGGGAAATGAGGGAGTTAGTAGATTTCAGAGATAACAGTAAGAATAAGAACATTCTGGGGCATAATAGGGACTAAAAAAAAGAAAAGAAAAAAAGAACAATGATAGGTCAAAGAGATCTGGGATTGCAAGGAGCATACTGACTATCTACCACTAGTAGCAATCCTGACCGCTAGCCCAACTTTTCATTCCAGAACTACAGCAGGGTTAAAATTGGAATTTTCTGTTTATTTATTTATTTCTTAATTTTTATTTTTTTTATTTATTTATTTAGATAGAGTCTTGCTCTGTCACCCAGGCTGTAGCTTAGAGGCACGATCTTGGCTCACTGCCCCCTCAGCTTCCTGAGTTTTAAGTGATTCTCATGCCTGTGCCTCCTGAGTAGCTGGGATTACAGGCATTCACCACCATGCCTGGCTAATTTTTGTAGTTTTAGAAGAGACAGGGTTTCACCATGTTGCCTAGGCTGGTCTTGAACTCCTGGCCTCAAGTGATCTGCCTGTCTCAGCCTCCCAAAGTGCTGGGATTACAGGTGTGAGCCACTGCGCCCATATGTATTTATTTTAGAGACAGGGTCTCACTCTGTCACCAAGGCTGGCGTGCAGTGGTATAATCATAGCTCACTGTAACCTTTAACTCCTGGGCTCAAGTGATCCTCTCACCTCAGCCTCCTGAGAAGCTAGGACTACAGGCACATGCAAACCATGCTGATATATATATATATATATATATTTTTTTTTTTTTTTCCATAGACATAGAGTCTTGTTATGCTGCCCAGACTGGTCTCGAACTCCTGGCTTCAGGTGAACCTCTTGCCTTGGCCTCCCAAAGCATTGAGATTACAGGCATAAGCCACTGTGCCCAGCTCCCGATTCTTTAATAATGTTTGAAAATATGAGTAGAGTGACCGAATGCCTGGCACATAGTTGGCACTCAAATGGTAGCTATTTACCCACTGATAGGATTAATTGTACTTAGCATTATGTCAGGTATTTGTTGATTACCATTTAATCTAGCCTCAGTACTGACAGAAGGAAGATTAACCACCCAAGGTTTTAAGTCCTGATAGGAAAAGGAAAAATGCAAGTAGTTCTTTTATTTAACAAACACTGATATAGTGTTTACTATGTCTCAGGTATGTTCTATGGCTTTTATAAATATTAATTAATTTAATCCTCATAACAAACTTACGATATAGATACTATTATCATCCACATTTTACAGATGGGGAAACTGTGGCACCACAGGTAAATAACTAAAGTCACATGGCTGATAAATCACAGAGCCAAGATCCACACTCTGACTTTAGAGTCCAGGCTCTTAACCTGTTTGGTAACGAAAAAGACTAGACAAGCACGTAATTTCAGAACTAAGAAAACCCTCAGGCTGGGCGCAGTGGCTCACGCCTATAATCCCAGCACTTTTGGAGGCTGGGGTGGGAGGATCACGACAAGCTCAGGAGTTCGAGACCAGCCTGGCCACATAGTGAAACCCCATCTCTACTAAAAATACAAAAATTAGCCAGGCATGGTGGTGTGCACCTGTAGTCCCAGCTACTTGGGAGGCTGAGGCAGGAGAATCACTTGAACCAGGAGGCGGAGGTTGCAGCGAGCCGAGATCACACCACTGCACTCCAGCCTGGGCAACAGAGCGAGACTCTGTCTCAAAAACAAAAACAAAAAAACCCTCAATAAGCAACTAGTTCAAGCCCTTCATTTTAAAGATTAAAAAAAAGGAAGTGGCAGGCGGTGCGGGGGAGGGGCAGTAGGTCCCAAAAGCAGATAAGAATTGCAGAGCTACATAATTAAGCCCCTAGAGGCCAAGAATTACATAGCAGATTTCTAATGCCCAGCCCTCTTCTAAATTCTCTAGCACTTGCTGCCTGTCCAATCATGTAGAATTTAGCATGGGTTATCTGAGATCATTTTTCTTCTTAAGCCTATGTTCTGCCCTCAGTTGAGCTAAACCCCCAGGGATGGGACTGTGTCTTCTGCCTCTTTGCAATCCTACTCCCAATATGATGTCCTACATGAAAGGCATCACTATCATATTGATAGGGATGAAGCCTAAGGTGGCATCGATGCAGAATGTGTTCAGGAGAGACACAAGGATGAAAGGGTCTCCGTACCTCAGTGTTTTTGCCGCCCACCTTCCTTTTTCTTTACTTGGGAAAAAAGTGCACGTGTGCACAGACACACACACATGCAGAACGAGAGAGAGAAACAGAGAGAGAGAGTCCAAAAAGCCCATAAGCCCATTTATTTCTATGTAAGGCTTCCAGAATAAAAAGACTTCTGAATTCAAACTCCTTGAGATCTGGAAAGTAAGTCATGGGGCAGACAAGTTGAGAGAAAATTAAACTTAATAATAAAATCGGCCGGGCGCGGTGGCTCACGCCTGTAATCCCAGCACTTTGGGAGGCCGAGGCAGGTGGATCACAAGGTCAGGAGATCGAGGCCATCTTGGCTAACACAGTGAAAACCCGTCTGTACTAAAAATACAAAAAATTAGCGGGGTGTGGTGGCGGGCACCTGTAGTCCCAGCTACTCAGGAGGCTGAGGCAGGAAAATGGCATGAACCCGGGAGACGGAGCTTGCAGTGAGCTGAGATCGCGCCACTGCACTCCAGCCTTGGCAACAGAGCGAGACTCCGTCTCAAAAAAAAAAAAAAAAAAAAAAAAAAAAAATATATATATATATATATATATATATATAAAAAATAATAAATTAACCTCTCAGTGAACCTGGACAGATGGCCAGTTATATTTACCTAAGACTCCATTGTGTAGGCCTAGAGCTAAACTTCAGTGACATTTAAATGCCCTCAGCCTTCCTATGAAGCACCAGACAGATCAGGTTTGCCTTTCAATTCTCACCTTCGTTAATGGTTAAGTCCACCCTGGTTTATTCAGGGTGGACTAAACTAATCCTCCCCTTGGCTGTAACCACTGACCTTTTCTCTCTGATAATCTAAGATTAAGAACCAAGTAGGAAACAGTTTATTCTTTGTGAAGTTATTTTCCCCATAATAAACCAAAGCATGAAGAGATATTTATCAAAATTTGGTAGTACCCTAAGTAACCATTCCTTATGAAATATTCCCTACAGACATATCTGAAAGGGCCGCAAATCAACCGGTTTGGTAACTCCCCCACCCTAACCTTCCCTGACCTCGACTACCTGAATATGTCTCATACTTCCCAAAAGCTCAGAAAGATTATTCAAACAATATTTTGTTATCAAATCCACATTTTACAATTACTCTGAAGCAAGTTACACCTACATATACTTTTCCTTTTTTTTTTTTTTTTTTTGAGATGGAGTCTGACTCTGTCCCCCAAGCTGGAGTGCAGTGGCACTATCTCGGCTCACTGCAACCTCTGCCTCCTGGGTTCAAGTGATTCTCCTGTCTCAGCCTCCCGAGTAGCTGCGACTACAGGCACATGACACCACGTTGGGCTAATTTTTGTATTTTTAGTAGAGATGGGGTTTCATCATGTTGGCCAGGATGGTCTTGATCTCTTGACCTTGTGATCCACTCACCTTGGCCTCCCAAAGTGCTGGGATTACAGGTGTGAGCCACCGCGCCCAGCCTACATACACTCTTCCTAAAGGTAAAATCCAGTTGTTTACATTTGAGCTCAAAAGTCTGTCAAATTCCTTCAATTCCATTTAAACCCCTTGAGTTTAAAGCCTTACCTCAGTACAGCGTGTGCATGTGGACCTACTGAAGATGACCACAGAGTGACCATCTATATAGGCCTGAAGCAGGGCTCTGGAGTCTGCAGTGGCCGTGCTGGTGAATCCTGCTGGGTTCTCTGGCAAAGTTTTACCAGGGTGATGATCTTTAGCTAGAAGTAATGGAAGTAAGGATGGTAATTATCACAAAGGAAAACATGATGATGCATTTTCTAATATTAGGTTCACTCTAAAAGCATTACCATTTAAGTCCCACAGGCCAAAATAAGGAATCTGAGGAAGGAAGGACTCTAATGAAGATTATAGATTTACTTCTTTCATCTGACTGGAACCTCTGACATATTATTCAATATTCCTAACTCAGATCACAGTCAAGATATGTTCTCAGGGGATCCTGCCAACAAGCCATAATCAGAACCTTCCCTGGACACAGGAAAATAAGTAACAGGTTGGAAATACTGAGGCCACATTTTATGCCATCTCTATTCCCAACCATGGTTTAAATGCAGAGAGGCCAAATGTCAGACAGATGTCCCCTTCCAACACAACCCTGCTTACAGACATAGGGGCAGACCACTCAAACCAAGGCTTACATGTTTTCTCCCAGGTTAACTCCTGGATAAGCAGACACAGGATCTTCAGGCAAGATGCAGCAAGACTGCAATAAAAATACTTACTGCGAATTATTTTCTCCTCAGGATTTTGTGCTGGCCCAATCAGGCATCAAAACAAACATGATCCAGCTTAGTGGTATGTTATTCCCACATGACAGCACTGTCATCCTGGGCATCATCACCAGTCAAAACCACCAAGAGATTGCTACCTCCAACTTGTAAAAATGTTTAAACTATCCATCTTCTTCAGGGCCCATGAATAAACCAAGTTCAAGCCCACCCTTACTACTTGTTCCTTAGGTGATTTCTTCTCATTTCTGCTGATCCAAGTAAGCCATTCATCCTTCTTCAATCTCCTTATCATCTTCATAGTTGATATTTGTATTTATCCAGAACTAGACAGAGGGTTAATGTTTATATGCCTCCTTTCATTTAATCCTTCCAGCAATATCGTTAGGTGGGCACTGCTACCATCATCCCCATTTTACAAACAAGGACACAGACTCAGAGAGGTTATGCAACTTCCTCAGGGTTGCACAGCTTACAATAAGTAATGGAGCTAAAATTCAAACTTAGGTTATCATTCTCTAGAACCTACACTTTAAAAAAAACAGCTTTAAAATATAGAAGTCTTTTTGAAATATAGTTTTAAATTTTGATCAAGTCAAATTTATCTTTTTCTTTTTTGCTTATACTTTTGGTGTCATATCTAAGAAACTATTGCCTATTCCAAAGTCACAAGGATTTTATTTTTTTTGTAAGAGTCTTATAGTTTTAGTTCTTACTTTAGGACTATGATCCATTTTAAGTTAATTTGCATGTGTTCTATGAGGCAGGCATCCACTTTCTTCTTTTGCATGTGGATAACCTGCTGTCTCAGCACCATTTGTTGAAAAGACTAATCTTTCCCTATTGATGTATCTTGCCAACCTTGTCAAAAATCAATTGACCATAAATGTAAAGGTAGCGCCCATGCTTTTAACCAGTATGTTATACTGTCACTACACCTAGACTGATATTTAAATGGTGTTAATAAAATCAGCTAAATCCCCAAAATGTTTATTATTAATCATTATTATTATTAATCATTATGTCTAGTAAGCTTTCACTTTTTTTTTTTTTTTTTTTTGAGACGGCGTCTCGCTCTGTTGCCAAGGCTGGAGTACAGTGGCACGATCTCGGCCTCACTGCAAGCTCCGCCTCCCGGGTTCACGCCATTCTCTTGCCTCAGCCTCGCGAGTAGCTGGGACTACAGGCGCCTGCCACCACGCCCGGCTAATTTTTTGTATTTTTAGTAGAGACGGGGTTTCACCATGTTAGCCAGGATGGTCTTGATCTCCTGACCTCGTGATCTGCCCACCTTGGCCTCCCAAAGTGCTAAGATTACAGGCGTGAACCACCGCGCCTGGCAAGCTTTCACTTTCATCGTACTTTTGGTACTATGTGTTTTTAAACCATGAACATGTATTATTTTATAAAAATAGTTTTTAGAAAGATAGTTAATTTAAGAAATTTTTAAATAACCCCTATCATACAATGTCAAGACAGGGTCAACAACCAAGAGACTGTTTCATTATATACCAGACAATCAAATGTTACTAATACTTAACATATGGATAGAAAAGTGAAGAGGAACATAGAAATCTCCTTATCTTTGAGATATAAGCGCTATGATCTGAATGCTTCTATACCTCTAAAATTTCTCTGTCAAAATCTTAATTCTCAAAGTGACAGCATTAGAAGGAGGGGCCTTTGGGAGGTGATTAGGAGCCCTCAAGAATGGGATTAGCGCAGTTATGAAAGAAACTCCAGAGAGCCCATCTCCCCTTCCACCATGTGAGGACACAGCAAGAAGGTACCTACTGAGAATCAGGAAGTGGGCCCTCACCAGACGTGGAATCTACTGGCACCTTGATCTTGGACTTCCTAGGCCACAGAACTGTAAGAAATTGTTTTCTGTTGTTGATAAGCCTCCTAGTTTATGTTATTTTGTTTTACCAGCCTGAACAGATAAGAAAATGAGAAGTGGGTTCTTCTTAAAGAAAAACTAGCTTGTTGTAATTTCTCGCTTGTAATTTCTCTGGGCCCGGGGCGGTGGCTCATGCCTGTAATCCCAGCACTGGGAGGCTAGGCAGGAGAATCACTTGAACCTGGGCGGGGGAGGTTGCAGTGAGCCGAGATCGTGCACTCCAGCCCAGGTGAGAGTGCGAGAGACTATCTCAAAAAAAGAAAAAAAAAGAAAAGAAAAACTAACATCTGTGCCAATTAATTATAGGATCCCAGAAGAGCAATGGGACTTATTTGTTGCAGAGTATACCAGACCAATCTATACCTGCAGTATCTGCCGTAAGTGGAAGGGAGGCCTTTCAACCCTTATTTGCATCTGAATAACCAAGACTTCCTAGGTCTCATCCTTGTCCCTAACCTACTGAATCAGACTTGCAAGGCATGGGCCTAAGCATGCATATTTGTGTGTGTGGCCAGGCGCGTGGCTCACACCCGCCCGTAATTCCTGCACTTTGGGAGGCGATGCAGTTGGATCACCTGAGGTTAGGAGTTTGAGACCAGCCCGACCAACATGGTGAAACCCCATCTCTACTTAAAATACGAAAATTAGCTGGGTGTTGTGGCACGCGCCTGTAATCCCAGCTACTTGGGAGGTTGAGGCAGGAGAACTGCTTGAACCCAGGAGGTGGAGGTTGCAGTGAGCCAAGATCGCACCACTGCACTCCAGCCTGGGCAACAGAGTGAGACTCTGTCTCCAATAAATAAATAAGTAAATAAATAAATAAACAAACATATTTATGTGTGTATATATTCATATATGTTCACACACATATATGCATATACTTTAAATGTTCACTGGTAGTTCTAATGCATACTGTTAATTAAGAACTATTGGACTAAAGCAACATGACACATGACGATAGCCTCATCCATGACACTTCAAAATTTTAAAATTAAACTCTAGTTCTCATTTTCTGTTCTCCATTTTTCTTATTTTAAAAAGTAACGTATAAGTAAACATTCCTCGTGGTAACATTTCAGAGAATGAGAATCACAGAATGTTAGCTTGGGAGAGACATCTGGGGTCACTAGGCCAACTGTGTTCATTCCACTGATGAGGAAACTGAGGTCCAGTCAGGTCATTAATTGGTATCAGCGTCAGAGCTGTCACACAAGCCTCCTGATTCCATAACGCCTTACTGACTCCTTCGATTTCATGGGATGACTGACTCTAAAAGCAGGTGACAATTCCTTACATAACATCTATGCCAAGGGCACCACCCAACTATTAGGCTCAGATATTTGCCAAGACACAGAACAGAGAAGGCCATTACAAGGAAAGGAATAACTTCTGTGATTAAGAAGAACTGCATTCTTACTGGGGAGAGACTGTTTACCAAAAAAACAAACAAACAAAAAAATGTACAAATAGATGGAAAGATAAATAGATAGGTAAATAAATCATAAGAGGTTAGCCACTAACTGTAATCAAAATCATCAGAATTTTTCCTTAAATTCTGCCTCTAACAAAAAAGGAAAATAAAATTTTGTTTATGTTTATCATTTGCTTATTTTTCCCCCTCAATTTTGAAATAAAATTTGAAGCAGCATTCAAAGAAATATGTTAAGTAAATGTTGCAGGAACAGCACAGAACCAGGCAGTCAGAAAAATGCAGATAAAACTGTAATGGGCCAGGCGTGGTGGCTCACACCTGTAATCCCAGCACTTTGGGAGGCTAAGGCAGGCAGATTGCCTGAGGTCACGAGTTTGAGACCACCCTGGCCAACATGGTGAAACCCTGTCACAATGAAAAATACAAAAATTAGCCAGGCATAATGGCGGGTGCCTGTATTCCCAGCTACTTGGGAGGCTGAGGAGGGAGAATCACTTGAACCCGGGAGGCATAGTTTGCAGTGAGCTGAGGTTGCGCCATTGCACTGCAGCCTGGGCGACCGTGAGACTCTGTCTCAAAAACAAACAAACAAACAAACAAACAAAAAACTGTAATGATAAGTTGCTTTCATTTTGCCCCAACTTTTTTGCCTAAGATCAATTCCTAATATTTGGATCCATGAAGTACTTACTATCCACTTGTAACAACTGAAACTAAAGAGTAATAATAAAATAGTCTCCCTACTTGTATTTATAAAAGTAAACAGAGATCAGTAAAAGAGATTAGATAGACCAGAAAGAGACAAATACAGAATCATTTATGATTTTTAAAAAGCCATCATGTGGCCGGGTACAGTGGCTCACACCTGTAATCCCAGCACTTTGGGAGACCGAGGCGGGCGGATCACAAAGTCAGGAGATCGAGACCATCCTGGTCAACATGGTGAAACCCAGTCTCTACTAAAAATACAAAAATTAGCTGGGTATGGTGGTGCACGCCTGTAATCCCAGCTACTCAGGAGGCTGAGGCAGGAGAATGGCTTGAACCTGGGAGGCAGAGGTTGCAGTGAACCGAGATCGCACCACTGCACTCCAGCCTGGTGACAGAGCGAGACTGCATCTCAAAAAAAAAAAAAAACCATCACAAAGCAATAAAATGTACTTTCAAAATAGTATGGCAATGATGACTTGATAATTTGGGGAAAAGTTTTTTGTTTTTTTGTTTTTTTGTTTTTTTGAGATGGAGTCTCGCACTGTCGCCCAGGCTGGAGTGCAGTGGCGCGATCTTGGCTCACTGCAAGTTCCGCCTCCCAGGTTCATGCCATTCTCCTGCCTCAGCCTCCCGAGTAGCTGGGACTACAGGCGCCCGCCACCATGCCTGGCTAATTTTTTTGTATTTTTAGTAGAGACGGGGTTTCACCGTGTTAGCCAAGATGGTCTCGATCTCCTGACCTCATGATCCACCCGCCTCGGCCTCCCAAAGCGCTGGGATTACAGGTGTGAGCCACTGTGCCCAGCTGGGAAAAGTTTTTTTTTTTTTTTTTTGAGACAGAGTCTCGCTGTATCGCCCAGGCTCCAGGCTGGAGTGCAGCGGCGCGATCTCAGCTCACTGCAAGCTCCGCCTCCCGAGTTCACGCCATTCTCCTGCCTTGACCTCCCGAGTAGCTGGGACTACAGGAGCCCGCCACCACGCCTGGCTAATTTTTTTGTATTTTGTTTAGTAGAGACGGGGTTTCACCATGTTAGCCAGGCTGGTCTCGAACTCCTGACCTCGTGATACGCCCGCCTCGGCCTCCCAAAGTGCTGGGATTACAGGCGTGAGCCACCGCGCCCGGCCCCGAAATGTCATTTCTTACATACAAAAAAAATGAAAACTCCCAGTGCTGATAAATGTACACTGAAGTGAGTCCACAGGGCTGTGTAACACAAGCTAATACTATTCTTTTGAAAAACAATTTGACAGTGTGGGTCAAAAACTACTCAAATGGCCATACTTTTTTTTTTTTTTTTTTTTTTGAGACAGGGTCTTGCTCCAACACCCAGGCTGCAGTGCAGTGGCTCCATCTCGGATCTCGGCTCACTGCAACCTCCTGAGATGGCCATACCTTTTAACTCAGTATTCTTTTTTTTTTTTTTTTTTTTTTTTTGAGATGGAGTTTCGCTCTTGTTGCCCAGGCTGGAGTGCAATGGTGTGATCTCGGCTCACCGCAACCTCTGCCTCCCAGGTTCAAGTGATTCTCCTGCCTCAGCCTCCTGAGTAGCTGGGATTACCGACATGTGCCTGTGCCACCATGCCCAGCTAATTTTGTATTTTTAGTAGAGACGGGGTTTCACTATGTTGGTCAGGCTGGTCTGGAACTCCCAACCTCAGGTGACCCGCCTGCCGCAGCCTCCCAAAGTGCTGGGATTACAGGCGTGAGCCACCGCGCCGAGCCTTAACTCAGTATTCTTATTTGTGACGACTAGCTTTAAAAAAAAAAATCTAAAATAATGAAAACATTGAAAGACCCCTACCTCCTAGCCTTCTCTTAGGAAAAGCTTTCAGTAGTTTTTATTAACATAGCTATTATCACCTAGTTAAATGGGGATAGTCCCAAATTCCCTTTCAATAAAAGTGCTATAGCTTTAGGATCAATCATGTTAACTTCCTGTAAAACCCAGTGGAACAAAACAGGCCACAGGCCTATCAATACTCACCATTCCGGACCTCCTGAACATGTCCATAACCTTTCTAGATACAGGGACAAAGTTATACCTTGCCACAGCTTTTCTCTCTCCCAAGCCTAAGCTGCAAAGAGGTTCTCTCCCTGCTCTACAGCCTACACCCCTTTCTTTTCCCTGTCTTCAATCCCTTCTTTTTATCCAATTATTACCAATGATTTCATTGTAACATCATTAGCTATTGCAAAAAATTAGAAACAACAAATGTCTGACATTAGAGGAATGGCTAAATTACAGTAGCTCTCTTGTTCTAACCTTATTTAGTGGCTGCATACTATTCAAGATTCAAAATAATGTAGAAATAGTTTGACACAATTGTTAGTTTTTTAAAAACCTAGAATACCAAGTCCTATGTACCATAGTTTTACAATTCTGTGAAACTCGACATATAGGAATCCTGAAAAAGAATGTGCAAAATGGTCATATTAGTTATATTGGCGTGACAGAATTATCCATGACTTTTCTTTCCTGTATTTCCCAAACTTAAAAAAAAAATTAAAGTTGCATACCAGCCTATTGCATTTGTTCCTGTCTCTGACTTCACTAAACAGAGAAATTCATTGAAATCTTTGTACTCTTAGGGATATAAAGCAAGATATTTGAACTGTGGGATTAGTAAAGGGATTACTAAAGGAAAACACTTCCACTCCAGGACACTCCTCCTCAAGAAACATCTTCATACAATTCATATGTGTTTGTACCTGCCAAAACCACTGACTCTCACCCATGACTACTGCCACCTGAAAGCCTGCAGAGAGCCAGGTTTTGAGTGGCTCTCAGTCTACACATTGCTTAGAGAGCTATATAACTGATACTTATCTCTTTGGAGAAACCTTGATCAGCCACTTAGCTGTGGGAAGAAGCTCTAGTTTGACAACAGAGGAACATCACGGTACATAAGGAATGCAACTTAACTGGGGGAAACTGGAAAACAGAAAGGTAGCATGAAATATGAAAAGCACAGGTAATAAAGCCACTGTCCTATTTTGAGTTATCCCCAAGTGGCATTTCACAGTAAACCAGGACAATGAATGAACTTCAAAGCAGGGAAACAAAGGGGAAAGCAAAGAGGAGCCTGGCAGATGAAAGCACATGGCAAGGCTAAACACAGACTAAAACTGCCATGTGTTAGAACTTGAGTTTTCGCCATTAATGAGCAACACGATCACTTCAAGTGTGATGATAAAAATTTTATAGCACGCCACTCTGCCTGCTGTCTTCACTTTCTGGTTTACAGGTTTGTCATGCACATATTTTTACTCGTTGCCTGTGGTTAAAAGCATCTGGACTGCAAGTCAGAAGAAATCAAGGATTTCCACAGAACCCCAGACCTCTTAACAAAACTCATTCAGTTCAAGCTCAAGGAGTATGGCAAACACACCACCACTCTCAGAAGATTCCTTTTAACAAAGTAAGAATTATTACAATATTATATTCAACCCACAAGACACACAAATATTACTCTTGGGTCTGACAAGACCCCATCAAGTAAAGAAGTTACTCCATAAGAGACCCAAGAGTGGGGAAGCTTAAATGGGTAAGCTATACCCATTACAGTGTCTATAAATCAAGTGAAGACAAGAAAGTAGTTATATGTGTTTCTGAAAGTCTGTAGGATATGAGACAAGCTGGAAAAATAAAACAGAAGTCTTTATGGAAACACACGGAAGGAAGACTAAAGACTCCCTAAAAGGACATGATAATGAATTTCTAGTGTTGAAATTAATAATAAGTACATTGTAGTTATTAGTATTATTTATTTACCAAATTGAAATAAAACCCTAGGTAGGTTTTTTAGCCTTAAAAGGATTTTTAGTTTTTACAAATAAATGTCATAAGAAGAACTTAAGTGCTATAAAAAGGACTACAATATCCTGTTTATAGCTCTTGTGCTTGTACCTCCTTCAAAGGAGTCTTATTTAAGGTTAAGATTAAACCTTAGTTATGTTGGGGTCCTAGCCAAGAATTCCCACTTGCCTCACTCCACAGTTGTATTCTAATATGATTATATGCCAGGTCCAGGATTCAGTGGCTGCGTGAGCCTGAGAATACACATTTGAAAGGAACTCTCTTTTCTGCAGAGGACTGGTTTATGGAATGGTTCATGATAAGAGAAATTACGCCAGAAATCCATGTAGGCTACCACTGTAACTAGACACTGTGTGTTTGAGGTAGGAGAGGGTGGGGGTTAGTCTTGGTTTACTGGATCACTCAGCACCAAGAGTCTCCTGTCAGGGTTGGGCTCTACCACAGGGAACGTGGAAGAGGTACTGAAGGACCAAATGGAAGAAGAAAAACATATCCTTTCTTTCACCTAGCTGTAAATTTAATATTGATGCTGTTAATAAGATAAGAAAATCATTTTAAAAGCAATACTACAGAGCTTTTTTTTTTTTAGACGGAGTTTCACTCTTGTCGCCCATGCTGGATTGCAATGGCACAACCTCAGCTCACTGCAACCTCCACCTCCCAGGTTCAAGCGATTCTCCTGCCTCAGCCTCCCAAGTAGCTGGGACTACAGGCGTGCGCCACCATGCCTGGCTAATTGTTGTGTTTTTAGTACAGACGGGGTTTCACCATCTTGGCCAGGCTGGTCTCGAACTCCTGACCTCATGATCCACCCGCCTTGGCCTCCCAAAGTGCTGGGATTACAGGCGTGAGCCGCCGCACCCAGACACTACAGAGCTTTTAAAAAATCATTAGTAGGCCGGACACAGTGGCTCATGCCTGTAATCCCAGGACTTTGGGAGGCCAAGGTGGGTGGATCACCTGAGGTCAGGTGTTCAAGACCACTCTGGCCAACTTGGTGAAACCCCATCTCTACTAAAAATACAAAAAAATAGCCAGGTGTGGTGGCGTGCGCCTGTAATCCCAGCTACTCAGGAGGCTGAGGCAGGGAAATTGCTTGAACCAGGGAGGTGGAGGTTGCAGTGAGCTGAGATCGTGCCCTGCACTCTAGTCTGGGCGACAGTGAGACTCCATCTCAAAAAAAAAAAAAAAAAAAAATCATTAGTATAAAAAATAAAAGATGTTAAATGAAAAAATAAAATGTTAAAGTTTTTCTTAGCATATCACCTTTTAAAACTGACTTAAGAAATCAGACTTTTCACTGAGCATGGTGGCTCACGCCTGTAATCCCAACAGGGAGGCTGAGGAAGGAGCATCACTTGAGCCTAGGAGTTCAAGACTAGCCTGGGCAACACAGTGAGAACCCATCTCTACAAAATAAATAAATAAATAAATAAATAAAAGTAAAATTTAAAAAGAAATCAGACTGGCTGGGTGTGGTGGTTCACGCCTGTAAACCCAGCACTTTGGGAGGCTGAGGCGGGCAAATCACCTGAGGTCAGGAGTTCGAGACCAGCCTGACCAAAGTGGAGAGTCCGTCTCTACTAAAAATACAAAATTAGCCGGTCGTGGTGGCACATGCCTATAATCCCAGCTACTTGGGAGGCTGAGTCAGGAGAATCGCTTCAACGTGGGAGGCGAAGTTTGCGGTGAGCCGAGATTTGCCATTGCTCTCCAGCCTGGGCAACAACAGCAAAACTCCATCTCAAAAAAAAAGAAATCAGACTTTTCTCATCTGTGAGAGAAATACCATTGGCAGCCGGGCACAGTGGCTCACGTCTGTAATCTCAGCACTTTGGGATGCTGAGGCGGGCGGATCACCAGGTCAGGAGTTTGACACCAGCCTGGCCAACATGGTGAAACCCCATCTCTACTGAAAAATACAAAAATTAGCCAGGCATGTTGGCGTGAGCCCGTAGTCCCAGCTACTTGGGAGGCTGAGGCAGGAGAATCACTTGAACCTGTGAGGCAGAGGTTGCAGTGAGCCGAGACCATGCCACTGCACTCCAGCCTGGGCGACAGAGTGAGACTCTGTCTCAAAAAAAGAAAAAAAAAAACTGGGCGCAGTGACTCATGCCTGTAATCCCAACACTTTGAGAGGCCGAGGCGGGCGGATCACGAAGTCAGGAGATCGAGACCATCCTGGCTAACACGGTGAAACCCCATCTCTACTAAAAATGCAAAAATTAGCCAGGCATGGTGGCGGGCGCCTGTAGTCCCAGCTACTCAGGAGGCTGAGGCAAGAGAATCGCTTGAACCCAGGAGGCAGAAGTTGCAGTGAGTCGAGATAGTGCCATTGCACTCCAGCCTGGGTGACAGAGCAACACTCCAAAAAAAAAAAAAAATTCCACAAAGATACCTTTTCTGGACAAAAAACATATACACAGAAGACAATGTAGGTGCTTTTTCTGATTGTAAAACCTGAATTACAGTCATTAAAATATAAAAGGAATCTGTGGACAATTACTAAACTGATCCTTCATATAAACACATACTATATACCAGTTGAGAACTCAATTAAGCTAAAAAGTTCTCTTGCCTATACTAGACCAATAACTCTCACAATTTCACTAAATATGCTTTATACATATATACAGAAAATATGTTCTTTTTTCATATTGTTACCTTAGTATTAAGAATATCCAGTAAGTGGAGTAATCCTAGTTCACTAAAATGTTCAGTCAATGTGACCAACAACAGGGCTTAAAAGAAACTACCTCAATCTTCCCAGTTGAGATCTCTCACAAAAAGCTGAGAAATAAGACATGTGGTTACACTGTATTTCAACAGATTTCTTTTAACCCCAAGGTTTAAGAGAAAACTGCAGAAAACAATGGTACTTAGACTCTCTCTGATTCAGTAACATTTTCTGTTTCTCACACACACCTACAAACAGGATATCTGGAGGAAAATAAAACTTAATAAAAGATACCCTACCAATCTATACAATCTTGTCCAGAAAATACAAGGGGAGGGGCCATTTTCAAACTTATTTTATGAGGTCAGTAGCATCCTGATACTCAAACTAGACAGAGACAGTACAAGAAAAGGAAACTGTAAATCAATATCCCTCATAAACAAAGATGCAAAATTCTTCAACAAAATAATGGCAAATTGAATCCAGCAATATATAAAAGGAATAATAATATTCCACGAGCTAGTGGGGTTTGTCCTGGGAATGCAAGGCTGGTTTAGACTGCTCATATTAACAGTATAAAAAATTCAATTATATGCCAACGAATTAGATAATCTACATGAAATGAACAAATTCCTAGAAAGACATGATTACCCAAACTGAGTCAAGAAGAAATGAGGCTGGGTGTGGTGGCTCATGCCTGTAATCCTAGCACTTTGGGAGGCCAAGGTGGGTGGATCACCTGAGGCTAGGAGTTGGAGACCAGCATGGCCAACAAGGTGAAACCCCTGACTCTACTAAAAATACAAAATTTAGCCAGGCATGGTGGCACATACCTGTAATCCCAGTTACTTGGGAGGCTGAGGCATGAGAATCACTTGAGTCTAGGGAAAAAAAAGGAATGAGAAGCTAAATAGACTTATAATCTTGAATAGACAAGAGATTGAATTAGCAATAAAAACTCTTGGCCAGGTGCAGTGGCTCACACGTGTAATCCCAGTACTTCGTGAGGCCGAGGCAGGAGGATCATCTGAGGTCAGGAGTTTGAGACCAGCCTGACCAATATGGTGAAACCCTGTCTCTACTAAAAAGACAAAAAATTAGCCGGTTGTAGTGGCACACGCCTGTAATCCCAGCTACCCAGGAGGCTGAGACAGAAGAATCGCTTGAACCCAGGAGGCAGAGGTTGCAGTGAGCCGAGATCGCGCCATTGTACTCCAGCCTGTGGAGCAAGAGCGAAACTCCGTCTCAAAAAAAAAAAAAAAATTCCCACAAAGAAAAGCCCAGGCTCAGATGATTGTTGCTGATAAATTCTCCCAAACGTCTAACACAGAATTATCAGCAATTTTTCACACTCTTTCCAAAAACAGAAGAGGAGGGGATACTTTCCAATTCATTCTATGAGATTGGTATTACCCTGATTCCAAAACCAGACAAGGGCATCACATGAAAAGGGTGTGGTGGCGGGCATCTGTAATCCCAGCTACTTGGGAGGCTGAGACAGGAGAATCACTTGAACCCGGGAGGCAAAGGTTGCAGTGAGCTGAGATCACACCATTGCACTCTAGCCTGGGCAACAGTGCAAGACTCTGTCGCAAAAAAAAAGAAAAGAAAACCACAGACCAATGCCCTTTGTAAATATAGACAAAAAAAATTATCCACAAAACATTAACAAACCAAATCCAGCAATATATAAAAATTTTATACACCACAACTGAGTGAAATTTATCCCAGGATAAACCTTGCACAGGTTGATTAAACATATGAGAATCAATCAATGCAATACATCATATTAATAGAATAAAGAATGAAAACCACACAGTTATTTCAACAGATACAAACATTTGACAGAGTCTAACACCCTTTCATGATAAAAAACACTCAACAAACTAGGAATAAAAGGAAACTTTTCTACCTGATAAAGGTCATCTATGAAAAACCCACAACATCTTTTTTTTTAAGGCTGTAAATAGTTCAAAATAAGTTTCCTTGACTCTGAAAAACAAAACAAGGATCAGCAACATTTCAAGCAAAAGTCAAAAAGGGTGCTTTAACTTTCTGAGTGCAATCCATTTAGTTAACTTGTGTTTTGCTTGATATTTGTGAACATGTCAGTTCTTTATGAGTCCCATACATTCTTTCTCTATGTCAATGTTACAATATTAAAAGCTATTAAAAACCTGCATTTGAGAACACCTGTTAACGTCCTTAATATAGCTTGATTATAAACCGTCTTTTGAGAAAGAACAAAGCAAGACAACAATTGTCTGCGAATGACAAAATTTGCAGGTTAGTTAAAAACATGACTGTAGACCACCTATTTGCATTTTGATGACGCTTGCATTTTACCAATAATCCTTGAGACTATTTTTATTTCTTAAAGTCATGTGAACTAGAAAATTTTTTATTTAAGCGTTTATTTTTCTTTTTTCTTTTTTTCTTTTTTTTTTGAGATGAAGTCTTGCTCTGTCACCCAGGCTGGAGCGCAGTGGCGTGATCTCAGCTCACTGCAACCTCAGCCTCGTGGGTTCAAGCGATTCTTCTGCCTCAGCCTCCCGAGTAGCCGGGACTACAGGTATGCGCCACCACACCCAGCTAATTTTTGTATTATTAGTAGAGACGGTTTTACCATATTGGCCAGGCTGGTCTCGAACTTCTGATCTCATGATCCGCCTGCCTCAGCCTCCCAAAGTGCTGGGATTACAGGCATGAGCCACCACGTCTGGCCTAGTGCTTATTTTTCTTTAAGCCAATCAATTAGAGCTGTTTTTATAGACATTACACACAACACATCTATAACAACACAGACAGAATATTCAGCACTTGTTAAGATTTTTCATTTGCCAGTTTCTTAATTGTATTACTGGCTTTAGGGTGAAACCCTTGGAGGAACAGGGCCGGGTAGTATGCGTTTTTTAGGGCCTAATAAGCAGGCACAACTGAAGGCAAAGAGAGATCCCTAAAATTAACGGTGCCATTTTATACTGGATTTTGGGTCCCCAAAAGGAGGAAGATACTATGGGAGAAGACAGTGTAGTGCTTCTACCATGCATTTCATTGCAAGGCAACTCCAAGCTAATTGGCTTAATTTGTAATTAGCCCATCCCTCAAGGGAGTCTCATCTCTTATTGGGGTATGGGGATGTCTCCATATCTTTCAGATGGCGCAGAGCATGCTTCTCTGATTTATAACTACTATTAGCCACCCCTTACAGTGTATTTTCTACACTGTAAGTTATTACACACCAAAGCTCTCCCACAATGTGAAGTAATTTGATACCCCAAAACTCAAAAGCGGTAGATAACACAATACATAACAGTACAGAGCCTTTGATTTTGAGGGAACTATCTGCTTTTAATTTGGAGAGTTTCATGAGGAAAACAGAGGTTTTTTTGATTTGTTTCTTGTTCCCTCCCAACCCCCCCAGAACGGAGTCTGTGATGCCTCCTCTGTTTTTCTCCAGCAGTCCCATGTTACCAGAAGTTATCTTAGGGCCTCTCATGCATGCATTAAGAGTGGTAAGACAAAAAATGGAGAAAAATAATTCAGTCAACTGAGAAGAAAAGAGCCTTTTTCCAGAAAAACAAGATCCAAGAAGAGAAAAACATAAAGGCCTTAAATATACCTATAACCCTGTAACTTGAATATCCACTTTTTTTTTTTTTTTTTTTTTGAGACAGTTTTCACTCTTGTTGCCCAGGCTGGCATGCAGTGGTGCAATCTCAGCTTACCACAGCTCTGCCTCCTGGGTTCAAGCGATTCTCCAGCCTCAGCCTCCCAAGTAGCTGGGATTACAGGCATGCACCACCACACCCGGCTAATTTTGTATTTTTAGTAGAGACAGGGTTTCTCCATGTTGGTCAGGTTGGTCTCAAACTCCCGACCTCAGGTGATCCTCCCATCTCAGCCTCCCAAAGTGCTGGGATTACAGGTGTGAGCCACCATGCCTGAACTTTTAATTAAGCTCAGTGCTCTTTAAGAAAATCCTTTAAAATCCCTTGTTACTCGACTTTAGCCATGCCAAGCAGTTAAGATTTTTGGCTTTTGAACTTTACAAACAGTAACCTCACAGGTGAAACCAATGAGCCTTAATTAGGTTATGACTTAATGCAAGTGTACAAGGTATTTTCAAAGGAGTGATAGGAAGCTTTTGAAACTGTCATTGCAAAATTGTGACTGAGACAGTGAAAGAGATCTGACCCAAACAATTCCATTTTGTTTTCAGCCCCCAAGCTGTCCTTGCCCATCCCTGGTTTAGGCCGAACCAACTTTGGGAGGAGTCGGATTTACAGTCTATAGTCTAAAACAAAGATGATAACAGTATTTCCCAAGATATACTTCCCTCTTGCCTGGGAACAGACCAAGAAACTAGCCACAAGATTAGAAACCATGGCCCAGGAGCCTGCAGCTGGAGGCTACAAGATTTTCACCCTCCCTAAACCGCTCTTAAGGTTAGCACTTAAGATATTTTGTAAACCCTGCCCTTGATGGATCAGCTGGCACCACCCAGATTAACAAACTGGTTTACTTGATTTTGTGGCCCTCACCCAGGAACTGACTTAGCACAAGAAGACAGCCACCATTGTAAAATTGCAGGGACTAAAATAAAGTATTGCCACGTGGCTACAGGTTATGTTCCCAAGGACATGAAACAACATGGAAGCTTGTAGCTAAGTTTGTTACTGACCATTTTGTTGGGGTGGCTCAAACAGCAGGCTTATGGGTTTCTGGGCCTGCATTCTAACCTAAGATACCCTTTCCTCAACAGAACCACACAGAAAGACATGCAAAGCACACCAGATTGTCTACAGCTTAAGACTAACCTCACAAATCCTTTTTCATTAACTATAAATTTACAGAGAATATAAACAATGATCCTTATTATCCCTTTTACTGGTTTGCACAAGGAGAGAGAAGCCAAAAGCCCGACTGGTAAACCTTTTTACCCTCTTGATGTCATATCAGGCTTCTGGGTTCCCTTTGCTGGAAACAGTGAGTTCTTCTTTAAAGGTTCTGCTTGTCCTCTATTTTCAAAGCCTAACTTCCTTGCCTCCTTGCCCCTAGGTACGGTAAACAACCTTCCAGCCATTCCCAATCTGTAACGCACATCCGTTCCCAATCTGTAACAACCCACATCTGTTCCTTATTTGGCACCCTTACTTTTGTAGCCCCCACCCCTGCTCCATTTCAAGTAGCAAATCAGGATCAGCTTAGATTGTGCGGTCCAACCCCAACCAATGGGGATCGGACACAGTAGCAAGGACTGACTGCATTAGGGATAAAAACCCTTCCCTCCTTTGTTCAGTGTGCTCTCACAGTGACCAGAAGAATGAGCAGCACCTTTCTGCAGAAGTAAATTTGCCTTGCTGAGAAATTCTTTGAGTGCTCATTTTCTTTGCGACTCCGAGCTCTTATATCCAACACCTTCCCCCAGCTCAACTCTAAGCCAAGCATTTTAAGATTTGGAAAATTAACTTTTCCCAGGTTAGAAGAACATTACATAAGAGATAGAAGCCATTTTAAACTGCAAATGAAGGAAAAACACCATAGAAAGGAGTTCCAATTGAGGGTCATCAAGAGGTATTGCCTCTTTTCCTATTGGGAATGGTGTTCCCCCTATTTCTTTGCCTTCCCTATTTTTTCTTTTCCCTTCTGGCCTACTATAGGAGATATATTGCTCATCTCCAAAATTTTCTTCTGCTTGCAGAGCTGCCTGTTCTAGCTGCAGTTAGAGTTTGGCTCAGAAGCAGCATAACATTCCTTCATGAGAGGTCAAATACCTGAGTTAAATTTTGGAAGGCTTCTTTTTTTTTTTTTTTTTTCCCTGACTTTAAAATGTTTATTTTTTAAAAAATTAGTTGCTTTTTGGCCAGGCACGGTGGCTCACACCTGTAATCCCAGAACTTTTGGGAGGCTGAGGTGGGTGGATCATGAGGTCAGGAGTTCAAGACCAGCCTGGCCAATATGGTGAAACCCCTTCTCCACCAATAATACAAAAATTTGCCAGGCATGGTGGTGCGTGCTTGTAGTCTCAGCTACTTGGGAGGCTGAGGCAGAAGAATCACTTGAACCCAGGAGGCAGAGGTTGCAGTGAGCTGAGATCATGCCACTGCACTCCAGCCTGGGTGACAGAGTGAGACTTCGTCTCAAAAAAAGAAAAAGATGTGCTTAAATCAAATACTTTTTAGTTCATGTGACTTTAAGAAATAAAAACAGTCTCAAAGATTATTGGCAAAATGCAAGTATCATCAAAATGCAAATAGGTAGTCTACAGCCATGTTTTTAACTGTAACTCCTACATATTTTGTCATTTGCAAACAAATTGTCTTGCTTTGTTCCTTCTCGAAGACAGTTTATAATCAAGCTATATTAAGGACTTTAACAGGTATTCTCAAACACAGGTTTTTAATAGCTTTGAAGATTGTAATATTGAAATAGAAGAAGAATGTATGGGACTCATACAGAACTGACATATTCACAAATATCAAGCAAAATAAGAGTTAACTAAATGGACTGCACTCAGAAAGTTAAAGCAACCCTTTTGACTTTTGCTTGAAATATTGCTGATCCTTGTTTTGATTTTCAGAGTTAAGGAAACTTATTTTGATATATTTACGGCCCTAAATAATTCAGTAAGGGGGCCAGGTGCGGTGGCTCACACCTGTAATCCCAGCACTTTGGGAGGCCGAGGCAGGCAGATCACCTGAGGTCAGGAGTTCAAGACCAGCCTGGCCAAAATGGTGAAACCCCATCTCTACTAAAAATACGAAAATTAGCCAGGCGTAGTGGCTGGCACCTGTAATCCCAGCTACTCGGGAGGCTGAGGCAGGAGAATCACTTGATCCTGGGAGGCAGAGGTTGCAGTGAGCCGAGATTGTGCCATTGCACTCCAGCCTGGGCAACAAGAGCGAAACTCCATCCAGAAAAAAATGAGTAAGGTATACTCCTGTGAACAAAATTTGGAGCATTTTTATTTTTCTCTGTCTGGTTCCTCTAGAATTTGGAAACTCTCTGTGAGTACTCTTAACTTATGGCAATATAATTGTTTGCATCAGTGCAATAAAAATCCATTTTTCTTTGTCAACAGGACACAATTGGAAAAACTGGTTATTTTACCGTGAAAAGTAAAAAGTTCCTCTTCAAAAGTTTCCCTTTTTGTTAAAGAATAAATAATAAATGTTAGAAATAATAGTTTCTTTTAAAAACTAACTTCCGTCAAGCTTCCTTGCTTTTTGCTAGTAACTCTTTGTTAAGCCCTATGTAGCTGTTAAATATAGTAAGGGAATAAGTACATTCTATGTCCTTGTACTTTAACCAAGTTATTTGTTCTGGCTTATAACCTGCTCAGACATGTCTGAAAATGCCCAGGCATTCCCAGCTTACAGCATACATCTCTTCCTTATTTGGAAATGTTATTATTCTCCTAGTTTGTAAACAACCCCCTTCCTTCCTTTGTTCTCCATTGTGCATTTACCTATTTAGGAAAGTTTTAAGTTTTTAGCCAATCAGGATCAGTCTAGATTGTGCGGTCCAGCTCCAGCCAATGGAGATAGGACACTGCAGTAAGGACCCAATGTGTCAGGGATAAAAACCTCTGCTTTTCTTTGTTTGGTATGCTCTCATGACAATCAGGCTTCTTAGAAGCATCTTTTCTGCAGAAAAGTAAAGTTGCCTTGCTGAGAAAATTCATATTCGAGCGCTATTTCCTTTGCAGCACCGAAAATTTATGTCTAACAAGATCAAGGCTTTGACTAAAAGGGTGTGTTTCTCTTTAAGGAATCAAACTTGACATGCAGAGCCAATAAAAGCCCTTGGGGAGCACTGGCCTCATGTCTTGTCTACCCAGTCCCCGCACAGGGTTCCTAACCTGTGGTCAGTAAAGAACGTCACTTTTTTTTTTCAGGTGGTGTCTCGCTCTGTCACCTACGCTGGAGTGCAGTGGCTCCATCGGCTCACTGCAATCTCCACCTCCCAGGTTCAAGGAATTCTCCTGCCTTAGCCTCCCAAGTAGCTGGGATTACAGTTGTGTACCACCACACCCAGCTAATTTTTGTATTTTTAGTAGAGATGAGGGGTTTCACCATGTTGGCCAGGATAGTCTTGATCTCTTCACCTCATGATCTGCCCACCTCGGCCTCCCAAAGTGTTGGGATTATAGGCATGAGCCACCGTGCCAGCCTAAGAATGTCACTTTCTAATAGGCCAGGAGCTCCAAGTTTATCTTGGGACCTCAAGGAGAAGAGGATCACCCAACTTACAGATATTTGAGGATACAATCCCATGGCTGGGCTTGGCTTTAAAGGTCTTATCTGAAATTCCTTGTGGAATAGTGTTTCATCAAAGCCAATCCAAAAGTCCTATGCAGAAATAACCATTCTTGCTGCACTTTATGCAAATAATCAGGCCAAGTATAAGACTAAAGTTTATTCTATGAACAACACACACAGTCCTATAATAATTTGTTTTTACCAAAAATAAGGACTGGAGAGAGAAATTGTTCTCCAAAGCTTATCATACATTTGTCATTAAATCCTAGTCTCATTAATTGTTTTTAAGCTTTTTGCCTACATTTTAAACTAACCCTGCTTATTCCTGTGGACCAAGTGGTGATCACCTGCAGCTTGGAAGAAACAAAAAGGGATGGGTAACGTAAAAATCCAGATCAATATGGTAGTTCTGAGCAATTATCCTGCAAATTCTGCCAGGTAATGAAAGTGAGTAGGGTGCCCATAACCCAGAGGTTTCTTTGTTTGGGAAAATAAAATCAAGGAACTTCATAGACACCCCCCAGAGGGAAATTCTATATCTTGGCAAGTAAAATTTTAGATGAAAATTATTTACTACACCAGGTACTTAAAGATCAAATCAAAACTATTGACAGGCTGACGGAAAAATGGAGGCTTCAGCCCCGGGTGGCTACAATCCCTCTTTAATGCATTCCAGTCTTCTTTATGGAATTGGTTAACCCCTTTATTAAGCCCTCTCTTGCTTATATGTCTTGTATTAATATTTGAACCCTGTATTCTCAATACTATAAATCAAATTGTTTCCTCTCGCCTAGAAGCAATCCAACTCCAAATGCTGCTGCAAACTGAACCATGCATGGACATGCCATTCTTCTGAGGACCCTTATCGACCCCAGGAGGGGCCCTAGCTGCTGTTCCCCATTCGACACCCCTTTTCAGCAGGAAGTAGCCAGAAATAGTTGTTGCCCAAAACCCCCTAACAGCAGTTAGGGTGACCTCTCCACAGGGGAGAATGTTATAGGAGTTATTAATAAATTATTTTAGGCAGAGAGACAGGAAAAGGGGTCCTTGGGAAGTTTTCGTTTCTTTTAAAGCAGCTCCAGAAATGTTTCTTGTCTAGCAGGGAAGACCGGGCTCTTAGAGCCGGGCAGGCAACCTTTGATATGAAAATGCAAGCCATTAGAAACTGAGTCCACCCAAACATGGTGATTCCCACCCTCTTTTTCTTGCCCTTGCCCCGACATGTGCCTGGCAACATGGTCACCCCCACACATCCTCACGTGTGTAAAACATCATGGCGCCCTGCATTTGCATATTAAAAGGCTAGGGTGTGAGGGCCAGATTTTTCAGGGGCTTCGTGAATGACATGCTGATCAAACCAATCCACTGAGCACTATGCAAATCAGACACCACCTCCTCCAGCCTCCTCATATAAGTAGCCACTTTTCTGCCCCACACAGGGTTTCCTCTTGACTTTCCCTCTGTCTCTGTATGGGGGAGCTTCTTCCTTCTTTCTTGCCTATTAAACTTTCTGCTCCTTAAAACAAAACAAAACAAAACCCAATTAAAAAATGGAAAAAGACTTTGAACAGACATTTATCCAAAGAAGATAAACAGTAAGCACATGAAAATATGCTCAACATCATTATTCATTACGGAAATGCAAATCAAACCACAGTGAGATACCACTTCACACCACTAGGATGGCTAGAATAAAAAAGATAGACAATAACTAGTGTTAACAAGGATGTGGAAAATTTGGAACTCTAATACATTGCTGGCAGAAATGTAAAATAGTATAGACACTTTGGGAAACAGTTTAGAAATTCCTCAAAAAGTTAAACATGGCTGGGCACAGTGGCTCATGCCTGTAATCTCAACACTTTGGGAGGCTGCGGTGGGTGGATCACCTGAGGTTGGGAGTTCGAGACCATCCTGGCCAACATGGTGAAACCCCATCTCTACTGAAAATACAAAAATTAGCCGGGCGTGGTGGCATGCACCTGTAGTCCCAGCTACTCAGGAGGCTCAAGCAGAAGAATTGCTTGAACCGGGAGGTGGAGGTTGCAGTGAGCCAAGATCACACCACTGCACTCCAGCCTGGGTGACAGAGCAAGAATCTGTCTCAAAAAAAATGAAAAAAATGTTAAACATATAGTTACCATATGGTCCAACAATTCTATTTCAAAGTATATGCCTAAGATAAATAAAAAATACATGTGTACATGAAACTTGTACATGATGGTTCTCAGCATTATTCATAACAGCCAAAAAGTGGAAACAACCCAAATGTCCAAGAAGTGGTTAAAATAGAAATAAAAATTGCCCGGGCACAGTGGCTCACACCTGTAATCCCAGCACTTTGAGAGGCCGAGGCAGGTGGATCACGAGGTCAGGAGTTCAAGACCAGCCTGACCAACATGGTGCAACCCCATCTCTACTAAAAATACAAAAATTAGCCAGGCGTGGTAGCGTGCGCCTATAATCCCAGCTACTCAGGAGGCTGAGGCAGAAGAATCGGTTGAACCCGGGAGGCAGAGGATGCAGTGAGCTGAGATCTCGCCATTGCACTCCAGCCTGGGCGACAGGGTGAGACTCCATCTCAAAAAAAATAAATAAAATAAAATAAAATAAAATAAAATAAAATAAAATGTTGTATATTCATACAATGCACTGTTATTCAACAATAAAAAGAAGTACTAATACATGCTGCAATGTGAATAAACCTTGAAAATATTATGCTAAGTGAAAGAAGCCACTCATAAAAGACCATAGATTGTATGATTCCACTTATAAGAAATGCCCAGAATAGGCCAAGGCAGGCAAATCACTTGAGCTCAGGAGTTCAAGACCAGCCTGGGCAACACGGTGAAACCCTGACTCTACAAAACGTACAAAAATTAGCCAGACATGGTGGTGTGTGCCCGTAGTCCCAGCTACTGAGGAGGCTGAGGTGGGAGGATTGCTTGAGCCCAGGAGGTAGAAGTTGCAATGAGCCAAGATGACACCACTACACTCCAGCCTGGGTGACAAAGTGAGACCCTGTCTCAAAAAAAAAAAAAAAAAAAAAGAAAAGTAATGCTCGGAATAGGCAAATCTATAGAGACAGAAAGTAGGCTAGCAATTGCTAGGGAAAGAGTGAAAATTTACTGCTAATGGGTATGGGGTTTCTTTTTGGAGTAATGAAAATGTTCTAGGCTGGGCACGGTGGCTCACGCCTGTAATCCCACTACTTTGGGAGGCCGAGGCGGGGGGATCACCAGGTCAGGAGATCGAGACCAGCCTGGCTAACACAGTGAAACCCCATCTCTACTAAAAATACCAAAAATTAGCCAGGTGTGGTGGCGGGCGCCTGTAGTCCCAGCTACTCAGGAGGCTAAGGCAGGAGAATGGCGTGAACCCGGGAGGCGGAGGTTGCAGTGAGCCGAGATCAAATCATTACACTCCAGCCTGGGCAACAGAGCGAGACTCCGTCTCAAAAAAAAAAGAAAAGAAAATGTTCTCAAATTCAATAGTGGTGAAGGTTGCACTCTAAACTGTGCACTTTTAAATGGTTATTCCCCTGCCGCCCCCACTTTATTTTGAGAGAGAGTTTCACTCTTGTTGCCCAGGCTGGAATGCAATGGTGCAATCTTGGCTCACCACAATCTCTGCCTCCTGGGTTCAAGCGATTCTCCTGCCTCAGCCTCCCAAGTAGCTGGGATTACAGGCATGTGCCACCACGCCCGACTAATTTTGTATTTTTAGTAGAGACGGGGTTTCTCCATGTTGGTCAGGCTGGTCTCAAACTCCCAACCTCAGGTGATCCACCTGCCTCAGCCTCCAAAGTGCTGGGATTACAGGAGTAAGCCACCACAACCGGCCTATATTTATGGTATGTTAATCAAATACAGATTTTTTTTTTTTTTTTTTTGAGATGGAGTTTTGCTCTTGTTGCCAGGCTGAAGTGCAGTGGCACAATCTCGGCTCACTGCAACCTCCGCCTTCTGGGTTCAGGTGATTCTCCTGCCTCAGCCTCCCGAGTAGCTGGGATTACAGGCATGCAACACCACACCCAGCTAATTTTATATTTTTAGTAGAGATGGGGTTTCTCCATGTTGGTCAGACTGGTCTCTAACTCCTGACCTCAGGTGATCTGCCCCGCTCGGCTTCCCAAAGTGCCGGGATTACGGGTGTGAGCCACTGCACCCAGCCTTATATATCAATTTTTAAAAAACTTATATACCAATGCTTATAGCAACTCTATAATCACTAAAAAATGGAAAAAATCTAAATATCCTTCAATGAATGAAAGGACAAAAAAATTATGGTACACTTGTATAATGTAATACCACTCAGTAATAAAATGAAGTAAACTATAGATACACATGACAAATTAGATGAATCTCAAAAGTATTATGCTGTGTGAAAAAATCAATCTCAAAATGTTATTTTGTGATTCCATTTATATCGCATTCCTGAAAAGACAAAACTATATTGATGGAGAACAGGTCAGTGGCTCCAGAGATTGGAATACAGTTGTATCCTAATCAACTGGGGAGGCTGTAACCACAAAGGGATAGCATGGGTGAAATTTTGTGGGGTAACGGAACTGTTATGTAACCCGATCATGTATACATATGTTAAAATTCATAAAATGAACACCAAAGGCCAGACACGGTGGCTCCCACCTGTAATCACAGCACTTTGGGAGGCCCAGGAGGGAGGATGGCTTGATGCCAGGAGTTTGAGACCAGCCTGGCCATCATAAGAAGACTTCATTTCTATAAAAATAAAAATAAAAAAGTTAGCCAGGCATGGTACCACTCACCTGTGGTCATAGCTACTCAGGAGGCTCAAGCAGGAGGATTACCTGAGCCCAGGAGTTTGAAGCTGCTGTGAGCTATAATTACACCATTGCACTTGAGCCTGGGTGACAGAGCAAGACCCTTTCTCCAAAAAGAAATAAATTAAAATAAATAATAAAAAATTAAAAGGACACCAAAAATCTATTTTATTTGTATACCAATTTTAAAAATAAAATTAAAAAGATATCCTACTAGATATATTTGTTACTCAGCAGTTGTTATAAAACACTGCACTAGAGATCTTAGGAGGAGGACATGAATTTAAGGATCACTACTTTCAGATAACTGGTTCCAGAAATGTACTTGAATGTAGCAAATTCCTCTACCCAAATCTTTTCCAAATATAATTGACAGTCTTTTGGGTCTTAACATATTTATTACTTTAAAGCAAGTTATTCCTTACTATCTTGAGCTACTGACTTACCATATAAAATAAAGTGAATGAGTTAAAACCTTAGTAGTCATTCAGGCATGCATTCCAGGAGCCAAGACCGGAAAAAAAGACACATCTTAGATAATACATGGGAAATTACCTTGCTATTGTGGAATCCAAAAATGCTAGGTATTTTTATTTGGAATTATTACATTTTCTACGCATTTACGGGCCTAATTTTAATTTTATGGGAGACAGACCTACAGAATTTTACAGCTTGAGAGGACTTAATATTCATCCATTCACTTCATTTTGCAAATGAGGGAACTAAGGCGCATAGGTGCTTTGGAACTTGTCTAAAATCACACAGCTATTTAAGGATATAACAGAAACTAGAATTCCGTTCTCTTCACTCTAATTCTCTTTCCACTTTGCCTCAAATGACTTGTGGAGCCATAATCTAAATAAGTAGCCTGAAATATAACAGGAGATCTCTGTAAAGATCATCTTATATTGGGGATCAACCTTAGAGGCTACACTGTTATTATATCAGGCTCTTCTGCTTCAAGATTATATTCCAGGGACATAACTGAACTTATGGAAATGAAGTGATAAAGGTATTCTACAGTGCTTCATAGGCAAGGGTCAGTGAGCCCACAGCGTTCAGCATCTACAACCTAAGCTAGACATTTTTGGCTGTCTTCAGCATCCGTATAACTGTCTACCTGTCCCTAAATATAAGGTTAAACTGTTATGAATAAGCTCCTTTTTCTTTTTCTTTTTTTGTTTTTTTTGAGACAGAGTTTCACTCTTGTTGCCCAGGCTTGAGTGCAATGGTGCCATCTTGGTTCACTGCAACTTCCACCTCCAGGGTTCAAATGATTCCCCTGCCTCAGCCTCCCAAGTAGCTGGGATTACAGGTGCCCACCACACGCCCAGCTAATTTTTTGCATTTTTAGTAGAGATGGGGTTTCTCCATGTTGGTCAGGCTGGTCTTGAACTCCTGACCTCAGGTGATCCGCCCACCTTGGCCTCCCGAAGTGCTGGGATTACAGGCGTGAGACACTGTGCCCGGCATAAGCTCCTTTTTCTATTGTTTCCAGATACTGGTAATCCACTAAAAAGTTTGATTTTATTTCAACTGCTTATTTTAATGGGAAACAGTGCTTCCTGTTCAGGTCTTATGAAGGGATGGAGGAATCCAGGTGTATTAGTCCATTCTCACGCTGCTATAAGGACATATCTGAGACTAGGTAATTTATAAAAAAAAAAAAAAAAAGAGGTTTAATTGATTCATAGTTCTGCATGGCTGGGGAGGCCTCAGGAAACTTTTAGTCATGGCAGAAGGCACCTCTTCACATGGTGGCAGGAGAGAGAATGAGTGCCAAGTGAAGGGGGAAGCCCTTTATAAAACCATCATATCTCATGAGAACTCACTCACTATCATGAGAACAGGCATGGCAGAAACCACCCCCATGATTCAGTTATCTCCATCTGGTACTGCCCTTGACACATGCGGATCATTACAATTCAAGGTGAGATTTGGGTGGGGACACAGAGCTAAACCATATCACCAAGGTTTCATTAGACGTGCCCAATCACTCTATTAAGCAAGGCAGTAGAGCACAGTGGTTAAGTACACTAGCTTCCAGCATGAGAATCCTCGCTCCACTACTTAATAGTTGTATGCTTGTTACCTCTCTGGGCCTCACTTTCCTCATTTGCCTCTTGCAGTGATTAAATGTGTTAATACATATAAAGCACTCAGCACAGTACCTGGATCATAATAAGCATTCAATAAATGTTACTCCTTTTTATTAAAGCTCTCAGAAGTTCTACATTACTCTAGAAAACAACTCCATATGGGCATATTTACTCACAGATCCCCAGCACCTACAACAATGCCTAACATATGGAAGATGGTTAGTAAGTATTAAATGAATAAATATTATCTAATTAACAAGACTACTTTGGTGTTATCCCCTCTTTCAAAAAAACTGTATTACTGGGAAATACAATGTTCCATATGGGACATTGGAAATACACTGTAAAAAATCTGCATTCTCTCACCCTCATAACAATGGCAATTTTACCTGCCTGAGATGTCCCATTTGTAGGATTCCAGTGAGTCAGGGGCAGAGAGGTAGATAAAAGAAGTTTCCAAGGGGGAAAGAGATTCCTGGGTTGATCAAACAGTGGGGGAGAAAATCAGGAGGGAATAACTTGACACAACTATATTTGAACATTTACCGAGCATCTACTATGTGCCATGAACTATCCCAAACAGGAAATTCAACTCTAAACAAGACAGCTATAGGTGCGGTGGCTCATGCCTATAATCCCAGCACTTTGGGAGTCCAAGGCAGGCAGATCACAAGGTCAGGAGTTTGAGACCAACCTGGCCAACATGGTGAAACCCCGTCTTTACTAAAAAAACAAAAATTAGCTGGGTGTGGTGGCCACCTGTAATCCCAGCTACTCGGGAGGCTGAGGCAGAAGAATTGCCTCAACCTGGGAGGCAGAGGTTGCAGTGAGCCGAGATTGCGCCACTGCACTCTAGCCTGGGGACAGAGCAAGACTCTGTTTCAAAAAAACATAAATAAAAAATAAACAAGACATCCTTACCCCCAGGAGCCCAGTCTAATAGAATGCTACACAATACACTATATGTCCTACAAAAAAAATGAGAAGAGCCACAGATGTCCAGAAAGGGCAAAACTATCTCTACTTGGGGAATTACAAAACTGTCATTTGGACTGGGTCTTGATGTGTGAGGAGAGTTTGCCCAGCAAAGAGAAGGAAGGATATTTTAGGTAAAAGAGAACAACCATTCATGAACAGATGAGTGAGGGAGTCTGGCAAGGTCAGGGAACAGGGGAAAAAAAACTTGTGCCACAAGCTTAAAAGGAGACCTAAACTTGTCACACGTCCTTCATCCTTAAAGAAATTTCATCAGGAGTTACAGCTTTGACTAATCCAGTGCGAATGGTTATGCATCAGTGCCTATGCAAAAAGAAACAATCTCACATATATTTCCTTTGCAATCTGCCCTCTCCCCTTCCCACACTACTCTGCCCACACCCAGGGCCAGAGTAACTAAATTGCTTTTGTTGTTGTTTTAATAAACACCATTAGCACTCCTTAGCAAGTCTGCACCAGCCACTGGTCCCCAAAGCTGGCTGCCAGATGCAGCAGTTCATGCTCCCTCCTCACCAGTCCCCACCTTCAGCTGCCTCTCAGTGAGTGATTCAAGAGCTTTTACCACTTTTTCCCAGTGCTTGATCAAGGGTCACCTCCCGGTTTAGCTTTCCTTTTATTCTGCTTCAACTGGACACACCCTCCCTTCCCACAGGTAAGGATTTTTACCAGTCCAGCACATCTAGAAAGATCCCATGGAATCCCGTGAAAGGAATGGTACAGCGAAACCATGCTCCTTGGTCTCCCAACAATGGTAGTCCAGTGTTACATTTCTAACAAACTTGACTTGGGAGTGGGGAGCTGTTTGCTAAGTTCTATTCCTTCTATTCCCCTTCTTCCTTGATCTCACTCTATACATAAAAGAGTGAAATCTAGCTCTTGCTCCAAGAGGTAAGATTACTTCTCTAAACCTAAAACGAATTTGATGACCAAGAGCCTTGTGCCCACTTCTAAACAAATCTTTGTGATAAAGCACTTAATGAAACATTGACCCTATATAGAGTGCAGCAAGCCTTCGATTTGCTCACAGTTGTTTTAAACATTTTTAAAAGTTTAAATGCACATACTTGAGAAAAGCTGCTGCACATACTTGAAAAAGTAGAATTTTGGCAGCACATTTGAGGGGATTAAGCAGCTTAAAATGCCACTATATAAGTGAGCAATAATCTCAAGGCAGCCATAGCTACACTGTAATATCCACAATCTTAAGAAAAATGTCCAAACTTGGAAGTAAAGAAAGAAGTTGACTAAATGTCCTTTCAATGTCATACTGGACCATGTTTAACAAGCCCACCCAAGGATCATTTAATTTTCTTAAGAGAGTGTATCTGTACTTGACTTTGCTGTTTACTATTTTATTACAGCCTAGACACTGAAGTTTCATGTTAACTCGTACATTTCTGCTCAATAATCCCAAAAGTTAGTTTTGTTTGTTTGTTTGTTTTTTGAGACAGAGTCTCACTATTTCACCCAGGCTGGAGTGCAGCAGTGCAATCTCGGCTCACTGCAACCTCCGCCTCTCAGGTTCAAGTGATTCTCCTGCCTCAGCTTCCTGAGTAGCTGGGATTACATGCGCATGCCACCACCTGGCTAATTTTTGTACTTTTAGTACAGATGAGGTTTCACCATGTTCGCCAGACTGGTCTCGAACTCCTGACCTCAAGTGATCTGCCTGCCTCAGTCTCCCAAAGTGCTGGGATTACAGGCATGAGCCACTGCATCTGGCCCAAAAGTTAGTTTTATTGCTCTGTGAGACATTAACCAGCTTTGTAACTACTGTACTAGCAAATTCAATTCATCATTTCTTTGATTATATGTCCCTAGTCCTTGAATTTGCCTTTAAATTAGCTTTACCATTTTATTGGTTCTTTCATTTATTGGTTTAATTAATGACTAAGTTTTGATACCTGTTTTTTTTTCTGTACAAGATCATATTTTTAACGTTTCGAAAACCATACTTTGACAGCGGTCATTTACACTGTTCACTCAGACACTTCTCTGCACTGTGTTACTATCTAAGAAAAACTGTTTTCTGTCCCAGCCACTTCTATACATTCAAAAGACACCATCTTTTTCTCATTTTTTAAATGTGTGCCAGCTTGACATTATTCTACACATTCACAGACCATATTTACCTGCAATCACATCTTGTTTGACCCTCAGTATTTTGCTTAATTGCATTACTGCTGACATTCACAAGCTGGGGAAGTCACAAAAATGATAAATAGAGATTTCTAGTTTCTCTTGAAAAAAAGCAGGTCTGGCCACACTACACTCATTTTCCCACCCAAAGAAAGGGAAGCTCAGTAGAAATTGCCCTGTCTGTACAGCATTCTCTCCTCAGTCCACCCCAGTCTCCACCACTCCCTGCTGTTTACTACCTGCCTGGGTCACTCATTTATATGACCTGCCTGTCCCTGCAGATTTTTAATTTTCAACCCATTAATTGTGGCCTCTTAATTCTTCCCATAACAAGTTATTTCTGGGTCTATACAACTTCCCACCACCTGCCCAGCTCAGTTTTTCATCTAACAGACACTGTCATCTGAAGTTTCTGTATACACCTTCCATAAACACACTAAATTGTGGCAAAAATAACTTTTCTATATTTGTCAAAGTTGGGAGCGTACTTGAATGTTGAAAGCTGAAAACCACTGCACTACCACTAAAACCAACAGGTGGCCGGGAGCGGTGGCTCATGCCTATAATCTCAGCACTTTGGGAGGCTGAGGTGGGCAGATCACCTGAGGTCAGGAGTTGGAGACCAACCTGACCAACATGGAGAAACCCTTGTCTTTACAAAAAATACAAAATTAGTCGGGCGTTGTGGTGCATGCCTGTAATCCCAGCTACTTGGGAGGCTGAGGCAGGAGAATCGCTTGAACCCAGGAGATGGAGTTTGCAGTGAGCCAAGATCATGCCAATGCACTCCAGCCTGGGCAACAAGAGTGAAACTCCGTCTCAAAATAAAATAAAATAAAATAAAAATCCAAACAAACGAAAAACCCAACAGGTAGATTTGTTGCTGTTTTTCTGAGACAGGGTCTCCCTCTGTTACCCAGGCTGGAGTGCAGTAGCCTGATCATGGCTCACTGCAGCCTCGACCTCCCACGCTCATGCGATCCTCCCACCTTAACCTCCTGAGCAGGTGTGACTAACAGGCGCACGCCACCATGCCCAGCTATTTGTTTTTGCAGAGACTGAGGCTCACTTTGTTGCCCAGGCTGGTCTTGAACTCCTGGTGTCAAGCAATCCTCCCAGCTGGGCCTCCCAAAGTGCCAGGAATACAGGCATGAGCCACCACAACCAGCCAGATAGTTTGTTTTTAACATCAAAGAGTGATTTGTGATAGTCATTTATAGTTATATACATGTAGACTAGTTTCTACCAGCAAAGTAATGCTCAGAGCTAGAAAGTAGGATATAAGGAATATTCATGAAATATTCCCTGATGTTTTATGAAGGTAAAGAAAAGGCATTAACAGATTAATTCCTTCTTTTGAGTTCTTTCAAGGATTTAATCCAACTGTAAATCTAAAATACCGCCTCCCCCCCACCGTTTTTTTTTTTTTGGAGACGGAGTTTCGTTCTCATCACCCAGGCTGGAGTGCAATGGCACGACCTCAGCTCACTGCAACCTCTGCCTCCTGGATTAAAGCAATTCTCCTGCCTCAGCCTCCTGAGTAGCTGGGATTACAGGTGTGTGCTACCACGCCCAGCTAATTTTGTATTTTTTTAGTAGAGATGGGGTTTCACCATGTTGGCCAGACTGGTCTCGAACTCCTGACCTCAGATGATCCACCCGCCTTGGCCTCCCAAAGTGCTGGGATTACAGGCATGATCTACCGCACCTGGCCTAAAATACACTTTTTAAAAAAGCTAATTTAAAAGCTTTAAATACTCAGTACACATTAATACAAAGAGTAAACATTCAAATGTGAAAATCCAAATAATGAGTAATGACTTTAAATTACCTGGTTAAAATCAACAAAAAGCAAGATTACTCTACAATTATCTAGCGCATCGTGTAATACTAACTTCTGATTGCAGATTGCATGACTGCATGTCAGTCACGATCTTTGGTTCCATTCCAAAGCTTTCAATTTCCTCTTGGGGCATCTGACTCACCCTTATCAGCCTCAGTGATCTGCAGTAGCAACCTCCACCCCAGCCTCAGCCCCATTGCTAAGGATAGGCACCTCTGCCCAGAAATAGGTGATTTGACGCTGGCCTAAACACCTCACTGCAGTGTTCTCAGGCCTTGGTTCAAATAGAATCACTTGAGACACCAAAAATGAAGCTTCCTTCACTCTGAGGCTGATTTAGTAGGTCTGAAATGGAGAACAGGAAAATGAGTTTTTAATCTACACATTCCCAGCATGTAATTAATTCTCTTGCAGGTGGTCTTAGGACCGCACTTTGAAAAAATACTGTCTCCTCTCCTTACTAGAAGAAGCTGGTCAATGTTAATAGCATTGGCTTTTGGAACATTCCTCACTTATTAAAAAAAAAAAAATTGCCTTTTGCCATATGAGTCATATAAACACATTTACTGATTTGTAGGGCAGTATGCCAAGGACTGTAGGAGATAAGATAGTGAACAAAACACATTCCTGATCCTCAAAAATCCAGCAGGAAAAATGTTTGCAAGCTCATTAAAATAGAATGGAATGTGTGTTACAGAAGAAATACTAAATGCTAAGTGCCAAGATGTTAACTCCCTCTGCCATTCTCCTGAAGTGGTGTGTACCCATCTACTTTTATGATTACACATCATGACACTGCATTTTCTACGCCATTCTTCTCCACGAGACTCTATGTTCAAGGACTGAGATCATGCCTTGTTTATCCCTGAGTTCCCAGTGCCTGATAAATAATAGATGCTCGGTTGAAGAGTCATTCAAGCAAAACCTTCTGCATCATTAAGAAATTAGTTTCTTGAAACTTAACCACATAATTTTAATTTGAGAAGGAACTTAGAGATCATATGGTACTTAAGGAAGGTGGCTTCTAGAGTGTTTGTAGGTGACACACAAAAGAACATTTTTAATGTCAATAGTTATGTATAATATGGGCCTGGTGCAGTATACTTTGGGAGGCTGAGGCAGGAGGATCACTTGAGGCCAGGTGTTCGAGATCAGATGGGGCTGTTGCTTAGTGAGACCTATCTCTACAAAAAATTTAAAATTGAGGCTAGGCATGGTGGTGTGTCCCTGTAATCCTAGCTACTCAGGAAGCTGAGGCAGGAGGATTACTTGAGCCCAGCAGTTCAGTTTCAGTGAGCTATGATTCATGCCACTGCACTCTAATCTAGGCAACAGAGTGAGACCCATCTCTAGAAAAATAATAATCATCATTATGTATATATGTATGTGTATAGAAAAATATCTAGGCTGGGTACAGTGGCTCACACCTGTAATCCCAGCACTCTGGGAGGCCAAGGTGGGAAGATCACTTGAGCCCAGAAGTTTGAGACCAGCCTGGGCAACATGGCAAGACCTCATCTCTACAAAATGTAAAAAAATTAGCTGGGCTTGGTGGCACACTTTACCACACAGGAGGCTGAGGTGGGAGGATTGTTTAAGACCAGGCGGTTGAGGCTGCAATGAGCTATGATTGGGCCACTGCACTCCAGCCTGGGCAACAGAGCAAGACCCTATTTCAAAAAAAAAAAGAAAGAAAAGAAAAAGAAAAATACCTAGTATAAAGCCGTGCTTTAATAGATTAATGCTTAAAATATGCCTAAATTTAAGTTTCAAAAAGTAAATGTAAATAGGTGAAATTCTTCTATGCTGTTAGAAATCAGAGTAGTGTTTGCCCTTGGTATGGGGGTAAGAGACATTAGAGGGGCTCCTGGGGTACTGGAAACGTTTATTTCCTCAGCTGAGTGTGGGCTGCATGCATATACTTCGTTTGTAAAAATTTAGCAAGTTGTATTATAACGAGTGAGCTTTTCTGTATTATAAAATAGTTCAGGCCGGGCGTGGTGGCTCAAGCCTGTAATCCCAGCACTTTGGGAGGCTGAGGCGGGAAGATCACGAGGTCAAGAGTTCAAGACCAGCCTGGCCAACATGGTGAAACCCCGTCACTACTAAAAATACAAAGATTAGCTGGGCATGGTGGCGGGCCTGTAATCCCAGCTATTTGGGAGACTGAGGGAGGAGAATTGCTTGAACCCAGGAGGCGGAGATTGTGGTGAGCCAAGATCATGCCACGGCACTCCAGCCTGGCGATAGAGCAAGACTCCATCTCGGGAAAAAAAAAATGTGGTGTGTGTGTGTATATATATTCCATTTTGTGTGTGTGTGTGTGTATATATGTGTGTGTGTATGTACATATACACACACACAATGGAATATTATTCAGCCTTAAAAAGTAAGGAAATCCTGTCGCATGCTACAATACAGATGAAACTCGAAGACAAGTATGCTAAGTGAAACAAGCCAGTCACAAAAAGACAGACACTGTATGATACCAACTTATATAAGCAATCTAAAGTAGCCAAATTTCACAGAAACAGAAAGTAGAATGATGGATACCAGGGGCTGGGGGAAACGGCAAATGAAAAGTTAACGAGTTGGCATGGAGTTTCAGATTTGCAAGATGAAAAAGTTCAGGGGATCTGCTTCACAACAATGTGAATATACTTAATACTGCTGAAAACTGTATACTTAAAAACGGTTAGGGTCAGCTGGGTGCAGTGGCTCATGCCTGTAATCCCAGCACTTTGGGGAGCTGAGGTGGGCAGATCACCTGAGGTCAGGAGTTCAAGACCAGCCTGACCAACATGGTGAAAACCTGTCTCTATTAAAAATACAAAATTAGCCAGGCGTGGTGGTGCATGCCTGTAATCCCAGCTACTTGGGAGGCTGAGGCAGGAGAATCGCTTCAACCTGGGAGGTGGAGGCTGAGGTGAGCCAAGATGGCGCCATTGCACCCCAGCCTGGGCAACGAGAGCGAAACTAAAAAAAAAAAAAAAACAAAATTGTTAAGATGGTAAATTTTTTTTTTTTAACCACACACAAAAAGAATGTAGCTAAAGAAAAACAGTAAATAAATGGAAGGACATAGATATCAAGAAGATCCTGAGGATGGCACATGAAACGTCAATTTGGGATGCACCTGCTCAAACTCCTTCATTGTACTAATGGCCACAAATTAGCTGCCTGACCTGGACCTTGCCTGACCTTGCTCCTACCCTGTTCCTTTATTCTTCCCTTCCCCTAATCCAAGTCCTTAACTCCAGCAGGATATACAGGCCTCCCTATCTCTAGCATGGTCTCACCGGCTGCTTCCCCTAACAAGAATGTTCTCCCTTCAGACACCTCTACCAAATCCTACCTCATCTATGGGAGCTGCCATCCCCACTTGGCTGTTTTTACCACTCCTTTTAGCCCTTCACCATATGCTGCCTTGTAACTAAACTGTAAGCCTTTGAAAGAGGCAGATCCTACAGCATTTAATAATTCTAGCCATTGGGCAAGGCACTTTTTGGAGCCTCACTTTCTCAAGCCTATAAAAAAGGTGGAGGCGGCCATATGACTATGACCAGGGCTTTTGAGTCAGATGGCCTCAACTGGTATCCCAGCTCTTCCACTTACTAGTTGTGTGCTTTGGGTAAGTTTTATAACCTCTTTGCTTCTCAGTTTCTTCATCTGTATAATGGGGTTTATGATAAATCTCTCAGTATGGCTGGAAACATGAACCAAGATTATTACCCATGTCTAGTGCTTCCAAAGGCCCCTCTCATGTCAGTGCTTAGTAACCACTAGCCATTATTGGCATTATCCGGACAATGGAGAAGAGACTGGGAGCTTTCTCTTCTGGAAGAACAAGTGAAAGGATAAAGCGGGATGATGGTGGGAGAAATGTGCCCAAAATTCAAGGGGATGGAGAAAGGGGGCCGGGAAGGCGTGTCGGACAAGATTCTCGATGGAGGAGGATGCTGGGAGTGGGCCGGGGGCTTCTGGAGAGGTGAAGGGGCACCCCCGGACTCGGCTGTCGGTTTGGTCGCTTCCCCCGTAACCTTTCATTGGAAACACGGTGCTTGTAGGAAGAGGACGCCCTAACGGGCCCTGAGCGAAATCAGGCGGGTCGCTGCCGAGATCTCGGTTCGGTTTCCGACAGGTTTCCGGGCAGGTCCTCGCGGCGGGCCCGCTCCTCCTTCCACCTCCCACCTCTCTCACAGCCAGCGGGCGGGGCAGCCCTCGGCCGGCCGCCGGCCTCCGTCTCCCGGGGTGACCTGGGGGAGCGTTTCTGGGGTCTCCAGCGTGGCGCGCGGTCAGTCACTGACTCCAGTGAGGGGCTTCAAGGCCAGGGCTCCGGGGCACTTTATCCCCAACCCCGGCCGGAAGGCCCGCTTCGGCCCGTCGACCTGGGGACCAGGCCTTCGCCCTCGGTCGTACCTGACCTACGGCGGCCATCGCCGTTCTTGCCTTTCGTCTGCAGCTCCGTTGGGGCGGCCGCCGCCACTGCCTTGCCCTCGGCGCAGCCCATGTCGCACAAGGCCCTGTGGGAACTGACGGAGCCGAAGGACGCCTGGCGGAGGCCGCGAGCCCCCTGCCGGCCGCGGGTCGGAGAACGCGGTGGGCGGGGCGCTCGGTGACAACAGCGAAGTCATAGCCCGTGTATCTTCTTCAAGGTCGTGAATTTTTTTTTTTTAACAGGAAAGAACGGTCGCTAAAGGTAAATTGGAAAATGCAGAAATGGAAAGGAGAAAAGAGCGCACCACCCAAAATCCTTATCCTTCGGCTGGGCGCGGTGGCTTACACCTGTGCACTTTGGGAGGCCGAGGTGGGAGGATTGATCGCTTGAGCCCAGGAGTTTGAGACCATCCTGGGCAATGTAGAGAAACCCTGTTTCTACAAAAAATAATTTTAAAAAATTTATCCTTCACACAAACTACTTTTGCTGTGTTTACTATTTCTTTCCAGTTTTTCCCCTCTATGCATAGTTTTGCATCCAGCATTTCACTTAATACTAGTATTTTCCATACTATCACATAGTCTTGTAAGCCTCCCAGATAACCACCTGGCTTCCACTGTCACTTCAGTCTTTGCCTCTTTGACCGTAGATGAAGCATACACTGAACATCGTAGTTTCTTTTTAATACACTTTATTTTTTAGAGCAGTCTTTTTTTTTTTTTTTTTTTGAGACGGAGTCTCACTCTGTCACCCAGGCTGGAGTGCAGTGGCGCGATCTCAGCCCACTGCAACCTCTGCCTCCCAAGTTCAAGCGATTCTCCTGCCTCAGCCTCCCGAGTAGCTGGGACTACAGGCGTGTGCCACCATGCCCAGCTAATTTTTTGTATTTTTAGTAGAGACGGGGTTTCACCGTGTTAGGCAGGATGGTCTCGATCTCCTGACCTTGTGATCCGCCCGCCTCGGCCTCCCAAAGTGCTGGGATTACAGGCGTCAGCCACTGCGCCTGGCCTTAGAGCAGTCTTAAGTTCACAGCAAAAAGACCATCCTATTTGAACAGAAATCTGATCACGCCCCCCTCAACTCTACCCCCACCCTTTACTTTACTCTATTTTATTTTTACCAGCACTGAGAGCCTTCTAACTTACCCTATATTCTCTGTCACCTGCTCCCACTCCCTCCGCCAGCCTCCCCACGACACCCTGCCCATGTAAACGCTGCCAAAATAGAACCTTTGCATTTTTTTCTTGTATCTTGGCCTTCAGCTTGGGCCAGGTGGCCTCCCCCACCTCTTGAAGGAAAGCAGGGAAGAAGCGGGAAAATATTAATTTGAATAATTATAATAATGTAATAGTCCATCCACTAGAGCTACTGGACGATTACATAGCCTATTATTAGATGTTTAGTTTGTTTTTTATTTTTAAAAATTATGAATAAGGCTGCAGGGAACATCTTTGTGTTTATAGTTTTAAGGCTGTCATTACACGTTGCCAAAATTGCTTTTTTGGAACTGTGGTTCCCATTTGAACTCCTACTAGTAATGAATGAGAGTGATTTTTTTTAACACCAAACCACATTGCGGCACATCAGGTGCACAGTCACTGTTCTCTATCAGTGCAGTGCTCTGTTTTTCCTTCTTTCAATTAACTAACATATGGTAAGCATCCAACTTATGCCTGGCTTTGTTTAGGGTTACAAGGTGACTCAAATTCCCTGGTCTCAAGGAACTTCCACCCCAGCTGAGATTTAGTGAACTTGTCTGGTCACCAGATGCGTGGCAATTGTGTGGGCCCTTTGTTTTCATTTGGGTTTGTGGACAAGCTTATATCCTGCTTCTCTGGAGAGCAGCCCAGAGTCAAAATGCTCTTGGAAAACACTGGGTGTTTATTTGCTTAAACACAGAAAACAAATAAAACTGAACCAAAGGCTTTTTTTTTTTTTTTTTTTGGAGATGGAGTCTCGCTCTGTTGCCCAGACTGGAGTGCAGTGGCACGATCTCGGCTCACTGCAAGCTCCGCCTCCCGGGTTCACGCTATTCTTCTGCCTCAGCCTCCCTAGTAGCTGGGACTACAGGCGTCCACCACCACGCTAATTTTTTTTGGTATTTTTAGTAGAGACGGGGTTTCACCATGTTAGCCAGGATGTTCTCAATCTCCTGACCTTGTGATCCACCCACCTCAGCCTCCCAAAGTGCTGGGATTACAGGCATGAGCCACCGTGCCCGGCCACCAAAGGCTTTTAATAACAGACATTGCACAAAGCTAAAGTAAATCTCTCTCTCTCTCTTTCTTTTTTTTTTTTTTTTTTTGAGATGGAGTTTTGCTCTTGTTGCCCAAGCTAGAGTGCAATGGCACAATCTTGGCTCACTGCAACCTCCACCTCCCAGGTTCAAGTGATTCTCCTGCCTCAGCCTCCCAAGTAGCTGGGATTACAGGCATCAGCCACCATGCCTGCCTAATTTTTTGTATTTAGTAGAAAAAGGGTATCACCATGTTGGTCAATCTGGTATCAAACTCCTGACCTCAGGTGATCCACCTGCATCAGTCTCCCAAAGTGCTCGTATTACAAGTGTGAGCCACCGTGCCCGGCCCTAAAGTAAATCCTAATAACAACTTCATCCAAGTGTTTGGTGTCTGTAGTAACTAATGCAACTAAGCCAGGACCCTTTAAAAGCAAAGTTCCCTCCCTCTGCGAGCCAGGTCTACAGTTCCTTGGTTCCACTGGAATGACTGTTTCAGAGATTTTTTTTTTAAATATGCTATTCAATTTATGTTAAAATTACCATTTTATCATCAAAATTCCAACTGTGGCTGTCATGTATTTTTCTCTATTTAGTACATGTATTTAACTAAGATGATGGCTTTCCTGTTATTTTAAACACCTAGGCAAAAGTATCTGAGAGTCATGTGCCTACCTGTGTCATCCTATCATATTTATAATAGCCAACAATTTGTTGGGTACTTACGGCGAGCCAGGCATCCTGCTAAGTCCTTTACTGGCATAAAAGTATGCTTATCTCATGTTTTTCCTGCAAGAGCCACATTTAGAAGGGTCTCTTATTATTCCTATTTTACAGAGGAGAATCCTGATGCTTAGGGGATTAATTGCACAGGATCACACAGCTTGATACTGAAATCCAGGTTTCCTAATTTCCAAGCCTCTGCTCTTAACCACTAACCTCTCTTATTACTATGACATCACACTCCACTAATTCCTATACATGAAAAGAATGTTTCCCTGGGAACTTTGTTTTGAGATTTAATTTTTTTAATTTTTTTTTTTTTTATGAGATGGAGTCTCACTATGTCGCCCAGGCTGGAGTGCAGTGGTGAGATCTTGGCTCACTGCAAGCTCCTCCCGGGTTCACGCCATTCTCCTGCCTCAGCCTCCTGAGTAGCTGGGACTACAGGCGCCCGCCACCACACCCAGCTAATTTTTTTTTATTTTTAGTAGAGACGGGTTTCACCGTGTTAGCCAGGATGGTCTCGATCTCCTGACCTCGTGATCCCCCCGCCTTGGCCTCCCAAAGTGCTGGGATTACAGGCTTGAGCCATCGCACCCGGCCTAATTTTTTTTTTTTTTTTGAGATGGAGTCTCACTCTGTCACCCAGGCTGGAGTGCAGTGGTGCCGTCTTGGCTCACTGCAACCTCCACCTCCCGGGTTCAAGCAGTTCTCCTGCCTAGCCTCCTGAGTAGCTGGGACTATAGGTGCACGCCACCACACCTGGCTACTTTTTTGTATTTTTAGTAGAGATAGGGTTTCACCATGTTGGCCAGGCTGGTCTTGAACTCCTGACCTTAGGTGATCCACCCGCCTTGGCCTCCCAAAGTGGCGTGAGCCACTGCACCTGGCCATTGAGTTTTAATTTAATTATACATGATTTGTTTAAAGAGCATCAAAAGGGAGGGCATCTCTTTTCTTTTTTTGAGACAGAGTCTCACTCTGTCGCCCAGGCTGGAGTGCAGAGGCACACTTTCAGCTCACTGCAACCTCCATCTCCCGGGTTCAAGCAATTCTCCTGCCTCAGCCTCCTGAGTAGCTAGGATTACAGGTGCATGCCACCACACCCAGCTAATTTTTTATATTTTTGGTAGAGACGGGGTTTCATCATGTTGGCCAGGCTGGTCTCAAACTCCTGACCTCAGATGATCCACCCACCTCGGCCTCCCAAAGTGCTGGGATTACAGGCGTGAGCCACCATGCCTGGGGGAGGGCATCTCTTTTCTACCCAATAATAATTAATTCCCAGTCCTCATCTTACTTGGCCTATCCATGACATATGACCCATGTTTCATAATCTCCTCCTTAGAATGATTGGCTTCCAGGGTACCACACTAACCTAGATTTTCTCCTATTGTGCTGGATGCCCCTACTCAGTCTCCTTTGCTGGTTCCTCCTCAATTTTCCTGGCACTTAATATTGAAGTACTAAAGCTCAGTCCTCGAACTTCTCCCCTCCTCTCTCTCTTATAATCTGCATTTGCTTCTCTGGTGATCTCCTTTAGTCTCAGAGCTTTAAATGTCATCTATCTGCTGACAACTCCCAAACTTATGTCTCCTGCTGCAGCCACTTTCATTAACTCCAGGCTCACATATTCACCTGGCACCTGGCATCTCCACTTGAGTGTCTAATAAACATCTCAAGCCTAAAATGTCCAAGCAGATTGTCCCCTCCCAAACCTATTCCCACGGTCTTCCCCATCTCAGAAAATGGCAACTCCATTCTTCCACTTGCTCAGGCCAAAAACCTTGGCGTCATCCTTGATTCTTCTCTCTCATACTCCACCTTCAATTGGCCGGCAAGTCCTGTCCACTCTACCTTCAAATGATATTTAAAAATGAATAAATTGGCCGGGAGCGGTGGCTCACGCCTGTAATCCCAGCTCTTTGGGAGGCCGAGGCAGGTGGATCACGAAGTCAGATCGAGACCATCCTGGCTAACATGGTGAAATCCCCTCTCTACTAAAAAAATACAAAAAAATTAGCCAGGCGTGGTGGCAGGCGCCTGTAGTCCCAGCTACTCGGGAGGCTGAGGCAGGAGAATGGCGTGAACCCGGGGGGCGGAGCTTGCAGTGAGCCGAGATCCCGCTACTGCACTCCAGCCTGGGCGGCAGAGCGAGACTCCGTCTTAAATAAATAAATAAATAAATAAATAAATAAATAAATAAATTCCCTACATCCAGCTTATAGGAAAAAGAAGATAAAGGAACAAGTTAAACAACACTATGGGGATGTAAATGGCAAAATCCAGAATCTGCCAATTTCATCCACAAATACAGTAATTGCAAGGGAAGAAAAAGAGGAAGTGGGAACTTATTGATGAAAAGAGACTTAGGATATATGAAGTACCCAGAGTTGTCAAATTCGCAAAGACAGAAGGTAGAATAGTGGTTGCCAGGGATTTGGGGGAGGGGGAAATTAGGAGTTTAATTTAATGGGTACAGAGTTTTAATTTGGTAAGATAGAAGTAGTTCTGGAGACGGATGGTGTGATGGTTCCACACAGTGTAAATGTGCTTAATGCCACTAAGCTGTATACTTTAAAATGCTTAAAATTGTCAATTTCTCATGTATATTTTACTACAATATAAAGAGGGAGAGAGAGAGAGAGACAGGAGACACATCAACCAAATGCAGTGCACTTTGGGTTCTGATGTCAAAAAAAATCAACAAATTAATTTTTAAAAAAATTGTGGCCGGGCGTGGTGGCTCACGCCTACAATCCCAGCACTTTGGGAGGCAAGGCAGGTGGATCCCCTGAGGTCAGGAGTTCGAGAGCAGCCTGGCCAACATGTTGAAACCCCATCTCTACTAAAAATACAAAAATTAGCTAGGCGTGGTGGTGCGCGCCTGTAATCCCAGCTACTTGGGAGGCTGAGGCAGAAGAATCGCTTGAACCCAGAAGTCGGAGGTTGCAGTGAGCCGAAATCACACCATTGCACTCCAGCCTGGGTGACAAGAGCAAGACTCTGTCTTTAAAAAAAAAAAAATTATTTATATATGAAAACATTTTGAATATGGACTGGATACTTAAGATTGTTAATGTTTTATTTGTGATTCTATTTGTGTAGTAAGGTTTTTAAAAAGTACTTTTCTTTTAGAGATACATCCTGAAATAGTCGCAACTGAAATTATTATGTATCTGGGATTAAAAAAAAAAAATCTAATAGGCCAGGTGTGGTGGCTCAAGACTGTAATCCCAGCACTTTGGAAGCCCAAGGCAGGTGGATCACTTGAGGTCAGGAGTTCGAGACCAGCCTATCCAACATGGTGAAACCCCGTCTCTACTAAAAATACAAAAAAAATTTAGCCGGGCATGGTGGTGCATGCCTGTAATCCCAGCTACTCCGGAGGCTGAGGGAGGAGAATCACTTGAATCCAGGAGGCGGAGCTTGTGGTAAGCCGGCATCGTGCCATTGCATTCCAGCCTAGGCAACAAGAGCAAAACTATATCAAGGAAGGAAGGAAGGAAGGAAGAGAGAGAGAGAGAGAGAGAGAGAGAGAGAGAGAGAGAGAGAGAGAAAGAAAGAGAAAGAAAGAAAGAAAGAAAGGAAGGAAGGAAGAAAGAGAGAAAGGAATCACCTTCTATATAATGCAAAATGGTAATAATAATATAACAACATAAGGTAACCTATAATATAGCATAATAATTTGATATGCTATGCTGTAGACATTTTACATAACTATCTTGGTTATTGTCTGCCCTCCCCAAAATAATGGACACTCATCAGGGCAGGAACTTCTGTCTTTATGTTTACTACTGTATCCTCAGCACCAAGAACAGCATTGCTGAAGGAGGCAAGAAGGAACATCAATGCAATTTACAAGCTGATGATCTTGGGACAGCATTCATTCACTCAAAAATTACTTGTGGGCTGGGAGCATTGGCTCACGACTGTAATCCCGTACTTTGGGAGGCTGAGGTGGGAGGGTCGCTTGAGCCCAGGCATTCAAGACCAGCCTAGGCAACATAATAAGACTCTATCTCTACAAAAAAATTAAAAAAAAAACTTAGGTGGGCATGGTGGTGCCCGCCTGTAGTCCCAGCTACTACTTGGGAGGCTGAGGTGTAAGGATCACTTGAGCCCGGGATTTCAAAGCTGCAGTGAACCGTGATCACACCCCTACACTCCAGCCTGGGTGACAAAGTGAGACCCTGTCTCTCAGAAAAAAAAAAAAAAAAAAAAAAAAAAGTTACTTATGGAGCCCTTGCTGTGTGCAGGCCACTATTCTAGTTGCCACAGGATAATAATTTATAGAACTCACCACCCTCCTTCCACCTCTGCCATAATTTTCAGTATGAGATGATTGATGGAAAAGCCACCATCAAACCATATTCAGAACATCCCATTTAAAATAAACCATCAGTCCACCTCAGAGGACCTCTCCACAGTTGGAGTTTATCAGCAAAACCCTAGAAGTCTCAACAAGATTAGGTTCCATGATTACGTGGTGAATCTTTAAATGCTGGCAATTCAGATACAGTGCATTTCTGGAATGGGTTGGAGGAATACTCTGTTCTAGTTAAATCTGTTGGCCTTACATGGACTTTCCTCCCCCTGCCTGCTCCTCGTACCATCATTCATGGTTACAGTTATCCCTAGCCAGCCAAGTTCTGCTCATTCTACCACCTAAATATCTTTCTAATCCTTCTGCTGCTCCCCAGCCCTACAGCCAGTGTCTTGGTCTCCCCACCCCTCATTCCCCACACCCCACCTTGATGATTAGTCCTAGCCACAGTGTCTTCTCCACCTTCAGTCTTGTCCCCATCATATCCTTCCTCTGCGTGGCTGCCCGCAAGTCCTTCTGTGACATTTCTGCCTCATGCGGTTCCCAAAATCTGCATCCATTCAGCACACACACTCAACACCTGTTCCAGGCCAATAAATCACGGTGGGAGGAGCCAGGACTCCAAAGGAGAACAAAACAAAACAAGCTTCCTGCCATCTCAGTGTGGTTGGAAGAGAGGAGAGACACGCAAATCAACATGCAAATTCCTGAGCATGGCACAGGAGTTGGCCCTTCATTAGTCTGTGTCTCCCGCTGCTTTCCCCAAAGCGAAGTGCACCGTGAAGCCACATCACCTGTGGGCCACCCTTCCTGGGCTGACTTATCTCTACCCCTCATTCAGCAATGGGCTTGCTGGGCCAGGTGCTTCCAGAACATTCTGTCCTCCTATCATTGCACTTGGGCTGCATGGTATTTATTCCTCAGAGCAGCTGCAGAATGTCTCTTACAGAGGACTTCAAAGGGCAGAGACTGGATAGAGAAAGAATTTGAAGCTGGGTTGACCAAGTACTTCACATGAGATCATGAAAACTCTAACTATATCAAGAAATAGCTGTGGCTGGGAGGCTGGGAGGAGGGAATAACTAAAGTTCCCCCAAGCTACCCTGTGATACCACCACTGTTTTACCTACAAGATTGTGAACTTGTGAAGGGCAGCCTGTGTCTAATTCACCTTGTGTCCCTGGGGCCCAGCTAAGTGCCTAGGAGAATTATGTAAATAGCCTACAGCAAAACATCAATCACCAATTATATACTGAAAATAATTCTAGGCCGGGCATGGTGGCACATGCCTGCTATCCCAGCACTTTGGGAGGCCAAGGCAGTTGGATCTCCTGAGGTCAGGAGTTCAAAACCAGCCTGGCCAACATGGAGAAACCCTGTCTCTACTAAAAATACAAAATTAGCCAGGCGTGGTGGTCCACGCCTGTAATCCCAGACACTCGGGAGGCTGAGGCAGGAGAATCGCTTGAATGTGGGAGGTGGAGTTTGCATTGAGCCAAGATCGCGCCGTTGCACTCCGAGCTGGGCAACAGAGTGAAACTCCGTCTCAAAAACAAAACAAACAAACTAAAAGTAAAAAAATTAGCTGGGTGTAGTGGTGCGCACCTGTAATCCCATCCACTCGGGAGGCTGAGGCAGGAGAATCGCTTGAACCTGGAAGGTGGAGACTGAAGTGAGCCAAGATCGCACCACTGCACCCCATCCTGGGGGACAGAGCAAGGCTCTGTCTGAAAAGAAAAGAAAAGGAAAAAAAGAAAAGGAAAACGTTCTAGTTATTTTAACTTTCTGGTTGTTTGAATTTTGCACTGAAATTTAGACTTTAGGGCCATTTCCCTAGATCTAATTTCCCTAATATTCAAACTTTTTGCTTGAGTCACACACAAACTGTGTTACATTTTAAAAGTGATTGTAATACTCAGTCACCTATTTGTAAGACCATCTGTGGTCTAGTCACTCAAAACAACCAAATATGCAGACAACATAAAGATGAAATGAATGTTGGTTTCTTTTATTGTAGTTGTGATGGATGGGAAGGTGGCCTCCAAACCACCTGTGGTGGGTCACTGGAAGACAAACCTGAAGGGTTTGTTGCACCTAATGCAGTCCAGTCAGGATCAGTCTGTGCCTCAAAAGGTGCCTGAACGGGCACCACTGAAATCCTAGGCAAGCAGAGTACGAAGCCAGGCTCTTTTTTTCTCCTTTTTTTGAGACGAAGTCTCACTCTGTTGCCCAGGCTGGAGTATAGTGGCATGATCTCGGCTCATTGCAACCTCCACCTCCTGGGTTCAAGTGATTCTCTTGCCTCAGCCTTCTGAGTACCTGGGATTACAGACACGTGCCACCATTCCTGGCTAATTTTTGTATTTTTAGTAGAGACAGGGTTTCACCATGTTGTCCAAGCTGGTCTCCAACTCCTGGTCTCAAGCGATCCATCCACCTCTGCCTCTCAAAGTGCTGGAATTTCAGACATTAGCCACCACACCCAGCCCCGGGAAGCCAGGATTTTGCCAGGCTTTTTTTTTTTTTTTATCATACAGACCTAAATTGGAGTCTTACTTCTTGCATTCATTAGCTTGTGATTTTGAGTAAGTTACTGAACTTCTTTGAGGTTCCATCTTCTTTATAAAATGAGAACTATAGGCTAGGCATGGTAGCTCATACCTGTAATCTGAACACTTTGGGAGGCCAAAGCAAAAGGATTGCTTGAGGCCAGGAGTTTGAGACCAGTTTGGGCAACATAGCAAGACCCTGTCTTTACAAAAAAACAAAAAAAGCAATTCACCAGGCGTGGTGGCACATACCTGTAGTCCCAGCTACTCTGGAGGTGATTAAAAGCCAACCAGTTTGAGCCCAGGAGTTCAAGGCTGGAGTGAGCTATGATGGCACCACTGTACTCCAGCCTGCATGACAGAGCCAGACCCTGCCTCTAAAATAAAATCGAAACTATTATAATACCTATGTGGCATGATAGCTCTGAAGATATAAAATAAAAGCAAACAATCAGCATGGTAAGTGGCACACAGTAGACACTCAAGAAACGAATGTTTTCTGCCTTTCCCTGTTGGCTGTGTTCTACAAACGTCTCCTGTGAAAAACTCCAAAAACTTATAGGATTTGGCGTTATTGCTGATATGGTAGGAGGGCAGGGAAATGCTGGGTAGAAAAGACAGGGTCCCTGGCGAGGGCTCCACCCTCAGGCCTGTGCCCACAGGCCTAGATGAGGACAGGCATTCTGTTTTCACGCCCAAAAGGTTGCCTTTTGGCCCACCACGCCTCCCAATCCTGTGCCCATAAAAACCCAGGACCATAGTGCGCACACACACAAGTGGCTGGACATCAAGAGGAACAGAGGAGCATACCAACAGACACCAGCAGACACCAGCAGGCCAGTGACAGCAGAACGACATGGACACCAAGGGGAATTCGGCCAGGGGCAGTCGGAGGAGAGTCCGCTGGGCGGCCTGGCTTCAGGGGAAAACAACCTTCACACTCTGGCTTCCCATCCATCTTCCCCCTTCTGGCTTCCCACCCATCTCGCTGGGAGCTACCTCCACCACCCAATAAAATCTTGCACTCATCCTCCAAGGCCCCGTGTGATCCGATTTTTCCAGTACATTAGAGCAAGGACCTGGGATACAGAAAGCCCTCTGTCCTTGGGATAAGGAAAGAGTCTAACTGAGCTGATTAACACAAGCCACCTACAGACAGCAAAGCTGAAAGAGCGCACTGTAACGCGCGCCAACTAGGGCTTGAGGAGCTGTAAACACTCAACCCTGGATGCTGCTGTAGGATCGAGCCCAAAAAACATTCCCCATGATCTGCCCATTTGCATGCTCCCCCTAGGGCTTTGAGCAGTGGGACACCAAAGAAGCAAGCCACATCCCTGTCCCACGCCCTGAGAGGGGGATAAGGGAGCTTCTCCTACTTCATTACCCCCATTTTGGCAAGTGAGGAAATTGAGGCCTCAAGTCTAAACGGTGACAAAACATTTTGCTCCTAAAAAAGGGTTCCGCAATTACTTGGTTGATTTAATCTCTAAACATTAACAACCGAGATACCACATGTTTTCCTTTATACAAAATGAGGCCAGGTGCGTTGACTGACACCTGTAATCCTGGCACTTTGGGAGGCCAAGGCAGGTGGATCACCTGAGTCCAGGAGTTCAAGACAAGCCTGGCCAACATGGTGAAACCCGGTTTCTACTAAAAATACAAAAAGTAGTCAGGAATGGTGGTGGGCACCTGTAGTCCCAGCTACTCAGGAGGCTGAGACAGGAGAATTGCTTGAACCCGAGAGGCAGAGGTTGCAGTGAGCCAAGATCATACCATTTTACACTCCAGCCTGGGCACCAGAGCAAGACTCTGTCTCAAAAAAAAAAAAAAAAAAAAGCAAAACTATAAATTGCTTTCAATTTTTTCTGAGTCCCACAGTGTTGAGAAATCCTACACATTAGTCCCTGTAAAGAAACTTCATCTAGTTTATAATTTTCTTAGGGCCTGGCTTTGTCTTCCAATACAAGAACAATTTTCTCTGCCATTTTAATTTTTTCCCCCCAGTGACTAAGAGTTGGTTAAACACACGGTTACTACTGGTTCTTGCCTAAAGAATAGTGGGTTTTTAAAAAAAGTAATACATACATAATTTTTTCCCCCAAAATATACAAAAGAGGCCGAGCGTGGTGGCTCACGCCTGTAATCCCAACACTTTGGGAGGCCGAGGCATGCAGATCACTTCGAGACCAGCTTGGCCAACATGGTGAAACCCCGTCTCTACTAAAAATACAAAAATTAGCTGGGCATGCTGGCACATGCCTGTAATCACACTACTTGGGAGGCTGGGGCATGAGTATCACTTGAACCCCAGAGGCGGAGGCTGCAGTAAGCCAAGATTGTGCCACTGCACTCCAGCCTGGGCAACAGAGCAAGACTCTGTCAAACACACACACACACACACGAGTTTACACTAAAAAATCTCTCTCTTCCACCTTACCCCATGCCCCAAATTCCTCTACCTGGAGGCAACTACTGTTAGCATGTTCTTATGGATCTTTCTAGAGAGAATCTTTACATTTACAATCAGAAGACAGCTTTAAGATGAAAATTAGGATGCTTTTCTTGTGTCATGCAAATGAGGATTTAGTTTCAATGATATAACAAATCAGTCAGCTTCTAGGGGTGAAAATCAGATTAGCCTAAAAAAACACTGAGGATTAAGAATGACTAAAGGACAACCAGCTTGGGGACAAATTTGATTTTTATTTTATTAAAATGGGCTTTCCACTCTGAGTTTCTGGAGCTAGGTGTCCTATGGAAAGATACTCCTGTGACTGGATTCTATATTAAAAACAATATTGTCTGCTATCTGAAAAACAGTCCTGAGAAATCTTTATCTACACAGCAATAAAAGGAAAAAGATGGGACATAAGAGTGTTCACAATTTAATGATGCTCTTACAAAGAAAGCAATTTAAGAAATGAATCAACTCAATCGAGGAATAAGTTGACTCTAGAATTTTCAATGTGGTATTTAAATTTGATTCATCTAATGAAGAACATGGTGTGCACCGAGTGAGAACAAATCTAATTCCATACAATAGCATGTATTTTACCTTCGGTTGACTCTAGAATCCATTTATTTAGCAGATATTTATTGAGCATTTACGATGTCCCATGCCTCCCTCATGCCAGGGATGGGGAAAAGGAGTCAAGCAACTATACAATTATTATTCCTGCTTCACTCTTTATCTGTTTTTCCAGCCATTTTGTATTTATTATTTCACATGTGTCTCCCAGAAACCCCATGAGGTCCAGAGAGGTGAAATGACTTGCCTAAAGACATGCAGAGGACACATGGCAGAGTGGGAACTTTTTTTTTTTTTTTGAGTCAGAGTCCCACTCTTGCCCAGGCTGGAGCATAATGGTGAGATCCAGCTTACTCCAACCTCCGCCTTCCTGGTTCAAGTAATTCTCCAGCCTCAGCCTCCTGAGTAGCTGGGATTACAGGCATGCACCACCACCCCTGTCTAATTTTTGTATTTTTAGTAGAGACAGTGTTTTACCATATTGGTCAGGCTGGTCTTGAACTCCTGACCTCGTGATCCACCCGCTTCAGCCTCCTGAGGTGCTGGGATTACAGGCGTGAGCCACCGCACCCTGGCCCATGCATGTTTATAGCAGCATAATTTGCAATTGCAAAAACATTTCAACCAGCCCAAATGCCCATCAATCAATGAGTGGATAAAGAAAATTACACACACACACACACACACACACACACACACACACACACACCCCCATGGAATATTACTCAGCCATAAAAAGGAATGAAATAATGGCATTCACCTGGATGGAGCTGGAGACCATTATTCTAAGTGAAGTCACTCAGGAATGGAAAACCAAACATCATATGTTCTCACTTATAAGTGGGAGCTAAGCTATGAGGACACAAAGGCAATCGACTTTGGAGACTTGGAGAAAGGGTGGGAGTGGGGTGAGGGATAAAAGACTATATATTGGCTACAGCGCACACTGCTCAACTGTTGGATGCACCAAAATCTCAGAAATCACCACTGAAGAACTTATCCATGTAACCAAACACTACCTGTTTCCCAAAAACCTATTAAAAGAAAGAAAAGATTATCACCACAGATATCCCAGAACTCAAAACTGAAGCTGTGATAATCCCTGGAGCCACAGAGAAGTGAAAAACTGTGAGCAGAAGGTAGGAGAAACAGATTTCTTTCTCTGTGATGCCCATTTCTGCAAACAGCCAGGCACCATGTGGAAAAGTTATCCTGGACTCAAGGCTTCTACACTGGGAAAACTGAGATTTCAGTGGACACTCTGCTTCCCCATTATCTTGGATTCCTATGCACAAAAGCCATTCCTGCCTCAATCCAGGGGAAGCATTGCAAGTGCCTATAGAGAGAAGGACCCTTGAGGGCAGTTGGGGACACAGTGAAACCCAGTGTGTGAAACGGGGGCTGGTCTCCATTCAGACAAAGCAGATACTGAATCAGAGACGTATTTCAGGAGCATGATGCTGTAGGAGGTGTGAGCCATAGGTCCTCTGGGCATGAACCCCTAGCCAGCCTCCCCAGACAGCTGGGGCATTCTCTTTGGGACCCTCCCCCTGAATTCAGGACAGGCAGCACTTCAAACTTTCATGAGAACTGCAGCAAATCTAGGCTTATGGTGCCATCTAGTGCCAAAAAGGAGGCAGTGATCTAGGGCTAAGGGAATCAACAGGCAGCCTGCACAAAACCTCTAAAAACACGTATGCTAGAAACACTAACCTAGACAGCAAAATAAACAATCCATCATTGGAAAGACCTAGACATATATGCATAAAAACAACAGCAAACAGGGAACCATGACCTCCCAAATGGATGAAGCAAGAAGTAACCAGTGATTAACCCCAATAAGATGGCAATATGTGAACTTTCAGATCAGAAATTCAAAATAGCAACCTTGAGAAAACTCAGCAAACTCCAAGATAACACAGAGGAACAATTTGAATTTTTTTTTTTTTTTTTTTGAGACAGAGTCTCACTCTGTTGCCCAGGCTGGAGTGCAGTGGTGCCGTCTCAGCTCACTGCAACCTCTGCCTCCTGGGTTCAATTGATTCTCTTGCCTCAGCCTCCTGAGTAGCTGGGACTACAGGCGCGTGCCACCACGCCTGGCTAATTTTTTTGTATTTTTAGTAGAGACGGGGTTTTGCCATGTTGATCAGGCTGGTCTCGATCTCCTGACCTCGTGATCCACCCACCTTGGCCTCCCAAAGTGCTGGGATTACAGACGTGAGCCACCGTGCCTGGCCCACAATTTAGAAATTTATCAGAGAAATTTAAGAAAGAGATTTAAATAATAAAAACAAATCAAACAGAAATCCTGGAACTGAGACACACATTTGCTGAACTGAAAAATGCACCGGAGTCTCAACAGCAGAATCGATCATGAAGAAGAAAAAAATAAATGAGCTTTAAAAATACGCAATCAGAGGAGAAAAAAAATTAAAAAGATAAAGAACAACTACAGGATCTAGAAAATAACCTCAAAAGAGCAAATCTAAGTGTCATTGGTTTTCAAGAGGGAGTTGAGAAAGAGCAAGACATAGAAAGCTCCCACAAAATAATAACAGAAAACTTTCCAAACTTAGTGAAAAATATAAATACCCATATACAGGAAGGCCAAAGATCAACAAACATATTCAACCCAAATAAGACTGCTCCAAGGCATATAATAATCAAACTTTCAAAAGTCATGGACAAAAAGTGGATCCAAAAAGTAGCAAGAGAAAGAAGCAAATAACATACACATAAAGGAGCTTCAATTTATCTGGCAACAGACTTCTCAGCAAAGACCATACCAGCCAGGAGAGAGTGAGATGACATACACAAAGTGCTGAAGGAGGAAAAAAAACCAAAAAACGAAAAAACCCCTGCCAACTGAGAATGTGATACCCAGCAAAACTATCCTTCAAACACGAAGGAAAGATAAAGACTTTTTTAGGCAAACAGAAGCTCAGGAAATTCATCACCACCAGACCTGTCTTACAAGAAATGCTAAAAGGAGTCCTTCCATCTGAGAGAAAAGGATCCTAACATGCAACAAGAAAATCATCTGAAGGTATTATGTTGGTGCAAAAGTAATCACAGTTTTTGCCATTAATTTTTTTTTTTTTTTTTTTTTGGATAGAGTCTCACTGTGTCACCCATGCTGGAGAGCAATCTCAGCTCACTGCAACCTCCGCCTCCTGGGTTCAAGCAATTATCCTGCCTCAGCCTCCCGAGTAGTTGGGATTACAGGTGACTGCCACTATGCCTGGTTAATTTTTGTATTTTTAGTAAAGATGGGGTTTCACCATGTTAGTCAGGCTGGTCTTGAACTCCTGACTTCAGGTGATCCGCCTGCCTCAGCCTCCCAAAGTGCTGGGATTACAGGTGTGAGCCACCATGCCCAGCCATTACTTTCAATGGCCAAAACTGCAATTAATTTTGCACAAAGCTAATATAAAATTCACTGGTAAAATTCAGTATGCAGACAAATTTAGAATATTGTAATACTGTAATTGTGGTATATAAATCACTCATAGCTCTAGTATGAAGACTGAAAGACAAATATTACACAAATAACTATAATAATTTATTAGGAGATAGGAAATATAAAAAGATATAAATTGAGACAACAAAAAGTCAGAATGTGGAGAGGAGAATTGGAGTTTGAGTTTAAAACTTTTCAAGTTTTTTTTCTGTATGTGTGTGTAACAGGGTCTCAGTTTATCACCCAGGCTGGAGTGTAGTGGCATGATCTCGGCTCACTGCAGCCTCGACCCCCTGGGCTCAAGTAATCCTCCCATCTCAGCCCCCTGAGTAGCTGGGACTACAAGCATACACCACCACACCCGGCTAATTTTTGTGTGTGTGTGTGTGTGGAGATGCCATGTTACCCAGGCTGGTCTTGAGCTCCTGAGCTTAAGTGATCTGCCCACCTTGCCCTCCCAAAGTACTGGGATTAAAGATTTGAGCCACTACACCTGGCCTTAAAGTACTTTTGTTTGTTTGTTTTCTTTTCTTTTTTCTTTAAACTTTTTCTTTTTATTTATTTATTTTTTTGATGGAGTCTTGCTCTGTTGCTAGGCTGGAGTGCAGTGGCGCGATCTCGGCTCACTGCAACCTCCAACTCCTGGGTTCAAGCGATTCTCCTGCCTCAGCCTCCTGAGTAGCTGGGACTACTGGTGCATGCCACCATGCGCAGCTAATTTTTGTATTTTTAGTAGAGACGGGGTTTCACCATGTTGGCCAGGCTGGTCTCGATCTCTTGACCTCGTGATCTGCCTTCCTCGGCCTCCCAAAGTGCTGGGATTACAGGCGTGAGCCCCCACGCCTGGCCTTCTTTTTGATTTTTCAGGTACATAGTAGGTATATATATTTATAGACATACATTAGATGCTCTGATATAGGCATGCAATATATAATATCTCAGCATGGAAAATGGGGTATCCATAGCTTCAAGCATTTATCCTTTATGTTACAAACTATCCAGTTAAACTCTCTTAGTTATTTTAAAATATACAATCAAGTTATTATTGACTATAGTCGTCCTATTGTGCTACCAAATAGTAGGTCTTATTTATTCTTTCTATTTTTTTAAACCCATTAACAATCCCCACCTCCCCATCTTTTCATTTTGATCAAAGTTAAGTTGTCATCTGTTCAAAGTAACTTGTTATATGTATTAGATGTTTTGGTAAGCCTCATGGTAACCCAACGTATAAATCTATAATAAATACATTAAAAATAAAAAGCAAAGAATTAAAACATACTACTAGAGAAAATCACCTAACCACAAAGGAAGACAGTAAGAACGAAAGACGGGAGTTACAAAACAACCAGAAAACAAGTAATAAAATGGCAGCAGCAAGTTCTTACCTATCAATAGTCACACTGAATGCAAAACTGGACTAAATTCTTCAATTAAAAGGCATAGAGTGGCTGAATAGATTTTTTTTAAGAAAACAAGACTATCTGCTACCTACAATAACTAATTTTGTCAGGCTTGGTGTGGCAAACCTGTAGTATTATCCACTTGTGACGCTGAGGTGGGATGATTGCTTGAGCCCAGGAGTTTGAGACCTGGGAAACATAGGAAGACTTCATTTCAAATAAAAAGAAAGAAAGAAAAAAAAAAGAGAGAGAGATGGAAAGAAGGAAGGAAGTAAAGAAGGAAGGGAGGGAGGAAGCAAGGAAGGAAGGGAGGAAGGAAGGAAGGAAGACTTTACCTGTAAAGACAAAATAGACTGGAAGTGAAGGCATGCAAACAGATATTACATGCAAATGAAAATCAAAAAGGAGCAAGAGTCAGCCTACTTATATCTGATAAAATAGACTTCAAGACTAAAACTATTTAAAAAGACAAAAAAGTCGTTATATAATGATAAAGGGGTCAATTTAGCAGGAGGATATAATAACTGTAAATACGTATGTACCCAACATTGGAGGAGCAAAATATATAAAGCAAATATTAATAGAACTAAAGGGAGAGATAGACTGCAATACAATGAGTAAGGGATTTCAACATCCCAGTTCCAGTAGTTAACAGATTATCGAGGCAGAAAATGAGCCAAGAAACACTGGAGTTAAACCAAACTCTAGACCAAATGTCCCTAACTGATGTTTAGAGAGCACTGTATCCAACTCTTGCAGAATACACTTTTTTTTTCATTAACACATGGAACATTCTGCAGGGCAGATCATATGTTGGATCACAAAACAAGTCTCAACAAATTCAAAAGTATAAAAATCATATCAAGGATCTTTTCTGACCAAAATGAATAAAACTAGAAGTCAATAACAAGAGGCACATTGGAAACTGCATAAGTGCATGGAAATTAAACAATATGCTCCTAAACAACCAACAGGTCAATGAAGAAATTAAGAATGACATTTTAAAATTTATTGAAAATAATGAAAATGGAAACACAACATACCAAAACCTATGGGATACAGCATAAACAGTGCTAAGAGAAAAGTTTATAGCAATAAATGCTTTGTCAAAAAAATAAAAAGACTTCAAATAAATAACCTAATGTTGAAACTCAAAGAACTGAAAAAGCAAGGACCAACCAAACCCAAAATAAGTAGAAGGAAAAAAAAAAGATTGGAGCCAAAATAAATGAAATTGAGACTAAAAAACTATTTGAAAGATTAAATAAACGAAAGATTGTTTTTTAAAAAACATAAACACAATTGACAAACCTTTAACTAGACTATGAAAAAGAGAGAAGGCCCAAATAAATAAAATCAGAAATGAAAAAAAGACATTACGACAGATATCACAGAAATACAAAGGATTATTAGAGACTATGATGAACAACTATACACCAACAAATTGCAAAATCTAGAAGAAATGAATAAATTACTGGACACATACAACTTAGCCAGATTGAACCATGAAGAAATAGAAAGCCTGAACAGACCAATAACAAGCAATAATATCAAGCAGAAACCGCTCAGGACTGGATGGCTTTATTGCTGAATTATACCAAACATTTAAAGAAAAACTAACATCGGTTCTCTCAAACTACTTCAAAAAATGTAAGAGGAGGAAATACTTCCAAACTCATTCTATAAGGCTAGTGTTACCTTGATACCAAAACCAGACAAGAACACAACAATAAAATAAAACTACAAGCCAATATCCCTAATGAACATACGTGCAAAAATTCTCAATAAAATACACCAAATTCAATAACACATTATAAAGATCATTCACCATGATTAAGTGGTATTCATCCCTGACATGCAAGGGTGGTTCAACATATGAATTGACCACAAATCAATAAATGTTATATATCACATTTATGACATAACAGAACCAAGGACGAAAACCATATGATCATTTTAGTAGATTCTGGAAAAGTATTTGACAAAATCCAACGTGCCTCCATGATAAAACTCTCAACAAATTTGGTATAGAAGGAACATACTGCAAAACAACAAAGGCCATAAAACACAAACCCACAGCTAATGTCACACTGAACAGGGAAAAATTGAAAGCCTTTCCTCTAAGATCTGGAACAACACAAGGATGCCCACTTTCACCATTTTTATTCTGAGCAATTAGGCAAGAGGAAGAAATAAAGGGCATCCAAATTGGAAAGGAAGAAGTGAAATTATCCTTGTTAGCAGACAACATGATCTAGTATTTAGAGAAACCTAAAGATGCCACCAAAAAACTGTTAGAATTGATAAATGAATTCAGAAAAGTTTCAGGACACAAAATCAACATAGAAAAATCAGTAACACTTTTATACACTGATGGCAAATAATCAGAAAAATAAATCAAGAAAGCAATCCCATTTACAATACCTACAAAATAAATAAGATATCTAGGAATAAATTTAACCAAAGAGGTGAAAGAGCTCTACAAAGAAATCTGTACAACACTCATAAAAGAAATTGAAGAGTTATTTCAAAAACATTAAAAAATCCCATGCTCATGGATTGAAAGAAATAATATTGTTAAAATGTCCATGTTGGCCAGGCACGGTGGCTCATGCCTGTAATCCCAGCACTTTGGGAGGCTGAGGCAGGCGGATCATGAGGTCAGGAGATTGAGACCATCCTGGCTAACATGGTGAAACCCCACCTCTACTAACAAAAATACAAAAAATTAGTCGGGCGTGGTGGTGAGTGCCTGTAGTCCCAGCTACTCAGGAGGCTGAGGCAGGAGAATGGTGGGAACCCAGGAGGCAGAGCTTGCAGTGAACTGAGATCACACCACTGCACTCCAGCCTGGGCAACAGAGCAAGACTCTGTCTCAAAAAAAAAAAAAAAAAAGTCCATGTTACCTAATCTAAAGATTCAGTGCAATCCCTATCAAAATACCGATGACATTCTTTACACAAATATTAAAAAAAATCCTAAAATTTGTATAGAACCACAAAAGACCCCACATAGCCAAAGGAATCCTGAACAAGAAACAAAACTGGAGGCATCACACTACCTGACTTTAAAATATACTACAAAGCCATACTAACCAAAACAACATAGTACTGGCATAAAAGCAGACACATAGACCAGTGGAACAGAAAAGAGAACCCAGAAATAAATCCACACATCTTCAGCAAACTCATTTTTGACAAAGGCACCAAGAACTTATTTGGAGAAAGAACAGTATCTTCAATAAATGGTGCTGGGAAAACTGGATAATCATATGCATAACAATGAAGCTAGACCCCTATTTCTCACCATATACAAGAATCAAATCAAAATGGATTAAATACTTAAATGTAAAACCTGAAAGTACTAGAAAAAACATTGAGAAAATGCTTTAGGACATTGGTCTGAGCAAAGATTTTGGGGTAAGACCTCAAAAACACAGGCAACAAAAGCAAAAATGACAAACAGGATTATATCAAGCTAAAATGCTTCTGCATAGCAAGAGGAACATCAACAGAGTGAAGAGACAACCTACAGAACGGGAGAAAATAACTGTAAACTATTCATCATACAAGGGGTTAATAACTAAAATATATAAGGAACTCAAACAACTCAAAAACAAAAAAACCCAAATAATCAAATTTTAAAAAGGGCAAATGATCTGAGTAGACATTTCTCAAAAGAAGACATACAAATTGCCAATAGGTATATGAGAAAATATTCAACATTACTAATCAGGAAAATGTAAATCAAAACCACAATGAGATATCATCTCACCCCAGTTAGAATGACTATTGTCAAAAAGACAAAAGATAAGTGTTGATGAGGATGTGGAGAAAGGGGGACTCTTATACATTGTTGCTGGGAATGTAAATTAGTACAGTCATTATGGAAAATAGGATGGAGGTTCTAAAAACTAAAAATAGACCTACCATATGATCCAGCAATCCAACTGCTGGGTAAATATCCAAAAGAAAGGAAATCACTATATTGAAGAGATATCTGCACTTCCATGTTTATTGCAGCACTATTCACAATAACCAAGATACGGGATCAACCAAAGTGTCCATCAGTGGATGAATGGATTTTAAAAAATGTGGTATATATGTACAGTGGAATACTATTCAGCCATAAAAATGAGTGAAATTCTGTCATTTGCAGTAACATGGATAGACTGGAGGACATTAAGTGCAATAAGCCAGGCACAGAAAGACAAATATTGCATGTTCTCACTCACATGTGGGAGCTGTAAAAAGTTGATCTCATGGAGGTAGAGAGTAGAATGGTGGTTACCAGAGGCTGAGAAGGTAGAGGGTAGAGGAGGATGAAAAGAGGTTGGTTAATAGGTACAAAAATAGTTAGAAGAGCCAGGCACAGTGGCTCACACCTGTGATCCCATCACTTTGGGGGGCCAAGGCGGGCGGATCACTTGAGATCAGGAGTTGAGACCAGCCTGGCCAACATGGTGAAACCCTGTCTCTACTAAAAATACAAAAATATTAGCCGGGTGTGGTGGTGGGTGCCTGTAATACCAGCTACTCGGGAGGATGAGGCAAGAAAATCGCTTGTACCCGGGAGGTGCGGAGGTTGCAGTGAGCCAAGATTGTACCATTGCACTCTAGCCTGGACAAAAAAAGTGAGACTCCGTCTTAAAAAAAAAAAAAGTTAGAAGAAATAACTTCTAATATTCGGTAATACAATAGGGTGACTACAGATGACAATAATTTATTGTATATTTCAAAATAGCCAGAAGAAAAGATTTGGAATGTTCCCAATACAAAGAAATAATAAATATTTGAGGTGATGGATATCCCAATTACCCTGATTTGATCATTACATGTTGTATGCATATATCAAAATACCACATGTGCTCCAGAAATGTGTACAATCATTATATATCAATTTTTAAACATTATGTTCCTAGAAATAAGCTCTAGTTTCTCATAAAATTAAAAAAAAATTTGTGGAATGTGGTACAAATTTAATATTGAATACCTTCTTTTTATATTTTATTTTTTCATTTAATTAATTAATGTAAAAAATACAAAAAAAATTTTTCACCCATTTAGACACTCTCAACTCCCATTTGGTTTATCCTATAGAAAATATAATCTTTTATATGAAAGCATGTCCTCAATAAATTTGGGAGTGAATGGATCTATCCCACTCCACTTGTTCCTCCTCCAGACATCTGTGTTTTCCAGCCCCTGTACCTTATCCCATTGTAGCTCCTTAAAGCCTCAACAACCTTCAAGGCCCTGCTCACATCTCTTAGTCATTCAGATTTATCAGCCGGAGTCATCTCTCCAACATTCTTTTTAATATTATTAACCATTTATTGGCTGGGCGTGGTGGCTCACGCCTGTAATCCCAGCACTTTGGGAGGCCAAGGCGGGTGGATCACCTGAGGTCAGGAGTTCAAGACTAGTCTCACCAACATGGTAAAACCCCGTCTCTACTGAAAATACAAAAATTAGCTGGGCATGGTGGTGCGTGCCTGTAATCCCAGCTACTGGGGAGGCGGAGGCAAGAGAATTGCTTGAACCCGGGAGGTGGAGGTTGCAGTGAGCTGAGATCACACCATTGCACTCTAGCCTGAGCAACAAGAGCAAAACTCTGTCTCAAAATAATAATAATAATAATAATAGTAACTATTTATTTATTTATTTACTTACTTACTTACTTACTTACTTAGATAAAGTCTCGCTCTGTCGCCCAGGCTGGAGTGCAGTAGTGCAATCTCAGCTCACGGTGACCTCCACCTCCCAGGTTCAAGCGATTCTGTGCCTCAGCTTCCCAAGTAGCTGGGATCATAGGTGCACGCCCCCAAATCCAGCTAATTTTTGTATTTTTAGTACAGATGGGTTTTTGTCATGTTGGCCAGGTTGGTCTCAAACTCTTGGCCTCAAGTGATCTGTCTGCCTCAACCTCCCAAAGTGCTGGGATTACAGGCATGAGCTAAGGCGTCTGGCCTCCAACATTTTTTCTAGCCTCCCCTGAGCCCCTGCTGTAGCCCTGAGCCCAGCCCTAATCTGTATTGTAGCAGCAACACTTGAGTATGTGTCCATCTCCTCAAAGGAATTATGAACCTGTGGAAGAAAGGGGCCTTTATATCTCTCTAGAGAATTGTATAGAGGCTCAGGATGTGTTTACTGAAATAGAATTAGAGTATAAGGTGGCTCTGTGGCACAAACTTTAAGAACAGTGGGGAAGACAAGTTTCAGATCAGAATCATATGTCTTTTGTTTTTCCTGCTGGTGAAATTTTTGCTAAGGCAATGCTGATAAGAATAATATATTTTTTAAAAAGAATGGTAATAACAGTCTCAATACATACTTCCTTTCTAAGATATATAAGGTGAGGCAAGGCTAGGTATGGTGGCTCACACCTATAATCCCAGCATTTTGGGAGGCTGAGGTGGGCATATGACTTGAGCCCAGACATTCAAGACAAGCCTGGGCAACACGGCGGAACCCTATCTCTACAAAAAATACAAAAATTAGCCAGGCATGGTGGCACACATCTGTAGTCTCAGCTACTCAGGAGGGTGAGGTGGGAGGATCACCTGAGCCTGGGAGGGTGAGGCTGCAGTGAGCCATGATTGTGCTACTGCACTCCAGCCTGGGCAATAGACTGAGACTTTGTCTCAAAAAAAAAAAAAAGCGAGTTATAAAAAAAGAGAACACTTCAAAAATGTATTATTTTGTATCCCTATTTGTGTTAATTTAATGTGTCGACATGGAGGGTGTTTTTAGATGAGATTAACATTTAAGCCAGGCTCAGTGGCTCAGGCCTGTAATCCCAGCACTTTGGGAGTCCAAGGCAAGTGGATCACTTGTGGTCAGGAGTTCGAGACCAGCCTGATCAACATGGTGAAACCCTGTCTCTACAAAAATACAAAAAAATTAGCTGGGTGTGGTGGCACACGCCTGTAATCCCAGCTACTCAGGAGGCTGAGACAGGAGAATCACTTGAACCCAGGAGGCAGCGGTTGTAGTGAGCCGAGATTGTGCCATTGCAATCCAGCCTGGGTGACAGAGCGAGATTTCATCTCAAAAAACAAAAACAAAAACAGAAACAAAACAAAACAACAACATTTAAATTGGTGTATTTTGACTAAAGCAGATTGACCTCCAAAATGTGGGTGGGCCTCACCCAATCAGTTGAAGGACTGAATAGAACAAACAGATAAGCCTCCTCAAGCAAGAGGGGGTTTTCCTGCAGACTACTTTTGCTTTTTTGTTTGTTTGTTTATTTATTTATTTTGTGAGACAGGGTCTTGCTCTGTTGCCCAGGCTGGAGTGCAGTGGGATAATTATAGCTCACTGCAGCCTCAATCTCCCAGGCTTAAGTGATCCTCTCACCTCAGCCTCCCAAGTAGCTGGGACTACAGGTGTGCACCACCACATCTGGCTAATTTTTAAATTATTGGTAGAGGCAGGGCCTCCCTGTGTTACTCAGGCTGGTCTTCAACTTCTGGGCTGAAGCAAACCTCCCACCCCAGCCTCCAAAAGTGCTGGGATTACAGATGTGAGCTACTGTGCCCAGCCCAGACTGCCTTTGGACTTCATCTGCCAAAGGGTCTCCTCGGTCTCCACTTGCCAACTCACACTGCAAATTTTGGACTTGTCAGACCCCATGATCATGTAAGCCAATTCCTCATACAAGAATGTAAGCCAATTCCTCATACATTCTTTAAATCTCTTTCTATATCTATTTATCTACATAGCCTATTGGCTCTGCTTCTCTGTAGAGCTCTGACTAATACAACATTATGTATGAATGTGCATTCAAAGCCAATCTGGAAGATTGGTTGTAATTTTAGAAATGCTTAGTATGCCACCCTAGCATGCCACCCACCACCTATAAATCCTGTAGGCTAATTTATCCCAGCCCCTTTGTGGCACAACAGAATGAAGGCTGAAATGGCAGGATGGTGTGTTACTTCATTTCCACAAGGCAAAAAGAAACAAAATAAACACAAGATTATTGATGTGTCCCCATGTGCATACTAAATGTTCATACATAATCAGGTTACTGAATAATACATTCTTGAAAGCATTCAGTTCTTCTTTAATCACTCTGTATTGCTAAATATTTTTTAAAAGCCACATGTGGCTGGGCACAATGGCTCACGCCTGTAATTCCAATGCTTTGGGAGGCTGAGGTGGGCAGATCACCTGAGGTCAGGAGTTCAAGACCAGCCTAGACAATATGATGAAACCCCGTCTCTACTAAAAGTACAAAAATTAGCTGGGTGGTGGGTGCCTGTAATCCCAGCTACTCGGGAGGTTGAGGCAGGAGAATTGCTTGAATCCAGGTGGCAGAGGTTTTAGTGAGCCAGGATCACACCACTGCATTCCAGCCTGGGTGACAGAGCAAGACTCTGTCTTAAAAAAAAAAAAAAAGACATGTGCACTGCAGTATGGACATATGAATATGGTATAATATTTGCGTAAAAAAAGATAGGGGAGGCTGGGCATGGTGGTTCATGCCTGTAATCCCAGCACTTTGGGAGGCGGAGGTGGGCAGATCACCTGAGGTCAGGTGTTTGAGACCAGCCTGGCTAACATGGTGAAACCCTGTCTCTACTGAAAGAAAAAAAAAAGAAAGAAATACAAAAAATTAGCCAGGGATGGTGGTGGGTTCCTGTAATCCCAGCTACTCGGGAGGCTGAGGCAGGAGAATCACTTGAACTCAGGAGGCGGAGGTTGCAGTGACCCGAGATTGTACCATTGCACTCCAGCCTGGGTGACAAGAGTGAAACTCCATCTCAAAAAAAAAAAAGAAAAAGAAAAAAGATAGGGGAAAATATATTGATATTTGCTTGCATATCTATGAAGTTTCTCTGGAAATTTACAAAAGAAACTGATGACATTGGTCGTCTTCAGGGAGGGGGACACTTGAATGGTAGGGGAAACAGGGTGGATATTCTATTTTTTTTCCATCTATCCTTGTGTAACTTTTGCATTTTGAATGATTTTTATATTTTGAACCACAGTATAGTATCTATTCAAAAAGAAATTTCAAAGGAAAACAAATAATTTTTGCCTTTATTTCCTCTAAACTTTTTGGGGGCTGGGCACTTTAACTTAGGATACAACAAATAAGTCCCTGAAGAAAAATATTCAAGAAGTATTACCTAGAGCCTACTGGGTACTGGGAACACAGCAGTGAACAAAACAAAGACAATCCCTGCTCACATGAAATTTAAATTCTAGCGTGGGAAGACAGTAAAGAAAAAACAAGTAATAATAAATAGGTAAAATATATTGTAAGTTAGTGTTAAAAGCTATAAATGAAAATAATTGAGTGAGATTTAATAATTAATTTAATGTGCCAATATGGAAGGTGTTTTTAGATGGGATTAACATTTAAATTTGTGAATTTTGAGTAAAGTAGATTGACCTCCAAAATGTAAGTGGGCCTCATCCAATCAGTTGAAGGCCTGAATAAAACAAAAAGATTTGAACAAAGATGGAACAAAAAGGGGGTTTGAGATTGCTAATGGGGATTTGGGAGTGATAAAGGAGTAAAATTTTTTTTTTTTTTTGAGACGGAGTCTTGCTCTGTTGCCCAGGCTGGAGTGCAGTGGTGCCATCTCGGCTCACTGCAAGCTCTGCCTCCCGGATTCACACCATTCTCCTGCCTCAGCCTCCCGAGTAGCTGGGAATACAGGCACCCACCACTACGCCCGGCTAATTTTTTGCATATTTAATAGAGACGGGGTTTCACCGTGTTAGCCAGGATGGTCTCCATCTCCTGACCTCGTGATCCACCCGCCTCGGCCTCCCAAAGTGCTGGGATTACAGGCGTGAGCCAGGGCGCCTGGCCAGGAGTAAAATTTTAACTAGATCATTAGAGCAGGCCTCAATGAGAAGGTGACATTTGAACCAACACTTTTGTGAAATTGAAGGTGAGTCTACTCTTTTTCTATGATAATGTTTCACCATTCTGCTTCGTTATATGAAATTATTGGATCTTACTGATACAGAACGGCTGGGCTCCTGGCTAAACCTCACCCTTAGGCCTGGAACTGTGGCCCTAAGTGAAAACAGCTGACCCAGTTTTTCCAACCAAATATTGATTTTTTGGCCTGCCACTCCACCTATCTTGTGCCCGTAAAAAGACTTCAGCTGGCAGAGCATTGTAAGTGGTGAGCAGACAAGTGACTGATCGTCAGGGATACAAGTGGCTGAGCACTGGGGACTGCGGATAGACACTGCAAACTTCAGACAGTGCGGCTTCAGGGAAAGATCACCTCTTTCCTGCACCATCCCCTTTCCAACTCCCCATTCCAAGGAGAGCCACATCCATCGCCCAGTAAAATCCTCCGCATACACTACCCTTCAATACATTCGTGTGACCTGATTCTTCCTGGATGCTGGACAAGAACCCGGGTGCCAAGAGGGCAAGAGCTCGAATGCTGCTGCGGGGCCCGCACAGAGCCTGCTCCCGCCAGAGAGGAGTGACCGGCCAGTTCCAGCCTTCATTCCCTCCTGTTCCCTCACTCACTTGCTTGCACACTCTCTCTTGTGAGGAGTGGCCAGCCGCAGGCTGAGCGAAATGAGCCACTCCAGTTCCCGCCCACGAAGGGGGTCAAGGTCAAGGGAACAATCCTGTCTCACTACTTACTCCACATTGTTTTTCTAAACTATTTGTGGAAATACCAGGAATATCAAATAGGTTGTAAAAGAGTTTATAGGTAATTGTTGAGTGCAATGTTTTAAAATTTAATGTAGCAAGGAAGTTCCCAGAATCATCAATTTCTTTGTGGTGGGCCTTTACTTTCAGTGGAACTGGTATCATTTAAGGGCACACCAGAACATTGAAAATTCCTCAATCTCTCTTTCTAATCTACTTTCAGTGGCCCAAATTTCTTTAACAGAGGTTAATGCTTTTCAATCCACAATAAGAGACAAGAAAAAATGTAAAAACTCCTTTCAAATGTACTTCCTGTATAAGAGAGTAGCTCTGGCCAAGCATGGTGGCTCATGCCTGCAGTCCCAGTGCTTTAGGAGGCTGAAGTGGGAGGACTGCTTGAGGCCAAGGGTTCAAGACCAGCCCGGGCAACATAGTGAGACCTTGTCTCTACGGAAAAAAAATAAAAAATAAAAAAATGTAGCTGGGTCTGATGGCACACGCCTGTAGTTGTAGCTACTCAGGAGGCAAAGGAGGGAGGATTGCTTGAGCCCAGGAGGTTGAGGCTGCAGTGAGCTGTGATCGAGCCACTGTACTCCAGCCTGGGTGACAGAGTGAGGCCTTGTCTCAAAAAAAAAAAAAAAAAAAAAAAGAGAGAGCGAGAGAGTGGGGGAGTGGCTCTATCGTCAAATTGTCTGAAACCAGATTCATTCTTTCTAGCTACGTCAACCTGGTCATTTTCTTTTTTTTTCTTTTCTTTTTTTTTTGAAATGGAGTCTCGCTCTTGTCGTCCAGGCTGGAGTGCAGTGGTGCAATCTCGGCTCACTGCAACCTCCACCTCCCGAGTTCAAGCAATTCTCCTGCCTCTGCGTCCCGAGTAGCTGGGATCACAGGCCTGCGCCACCACGCCTGGCTAATTTTTGTATTTTTAGTAGAGATGAGGTTTCACCATGTTGGCTAGGCTACTCTTGAACTCCTGGCCTCTGGTGACTGGCCCGCTTCAGCCTCCCAAAGTGCTGGGATTACAGGCGTGAGCCACCACACCTGGCCTCTTTTTCTTTTCTTTCTTTCTTTTTTTCTTTAGAGATGAGGTCTCATTCTGTCATGAGACCAGCCTCCAGACTCCCGGGCTAGAGTGCAGTGGCATGATCATAACTCATTGCAGCCTTGAACTCCTGGGTTCAAGTGATCCTCCTGCCTTAACCTCTCAAATAGCTGGGACTACAGGTGGGCATCGCCATGCCCAGTGGAAGTGTATTTCTTTTTTTATAAAACAGAAGATTGGAAATAATCTAAAAGTCCAGTGAGAGAGGACTGGTTAGATAAATTATGACACATTCATAAAATGGACGCTGAGCCTCTGTAAAAGGAATGAGCAAGCTCTTATGCACTGATATGCACAATCTCCAAAATAATTTTTAAATAAAATAAACCAGAACAAGTTACATAGCTGTGTGAATAGCATACTACCATTTGTTTAAAATAAAAAAGAAGAAAAGAGAAGAAGGATTTATATACATACTTGCTTATAAGTACAATAATATCTCTGGAAGGATTTATAAACAAACTACTAACATTCACTGCCTCCAGTGAGGTTTTTAGGGAGCTGGAAATAGAGGTGGAAGTGACTTTTGCTGCATATATCCTTTTGAACCTTTTAAATTTTGAACCATACAAATGCATTACCTATTTAAAAATAGGACAAAACTTTAGAAAAATGTAGCCAGGGTAAAGTCATGATGAAAGGAGGCAGAGATAGGAGAAAGGAAACAGAAAATCAACTGTTGTAGAAATTTGGCATTATTATTGATATCTTGGGAGAAATATGAGCCAAAAAAGTGTATATGAATGTGTGGGTGTGTAGGTCTGAAAAAATTTGCAAATACAAGAGAATCACCTTTCGTTTACCATTATGGGCCTTACACTAGAGATGTGTTTGGACTGGCAGGTGAGTGTGGCCTGGAGTCAGGAAGAAGAAGCCACCCCTCTGTGTTTCAGGCATCACAGAGCACATGGAACTCCTAGAGGGATTTAGGAAAAGGAGAGACTGTGAGAACTAATCTTGGCAGACCAGGTGGAAGAAGGTTTATTTCTAAAAGATGTGTGTAAAAAGGTTGGAGTCAGGAGTAGGGAGGGAAAACAAATTAGAAAAAGAACAGAAAGAAGAAATATTAAAACTCTAGAAAACTGATTCTGTGCCAGGTAAAGTACTTACCGTGGGATCTGTGGGTTTTGCCAACATCCAGGTCCCTTTCTGATAACAGCACTCTAATTTTCCTTAAGCACCCCTTTTCTTCATCTGCATCAGGGTTTTGCAACCTTGACACTATTAACATTTGGGATCAGGCAATTCTTTGTTGTGGGGGACTGTCATGTGCTTTGTAGGATAAATGGCAGCACCCCTGGCCTCTACCCATGAAATGCTGGTAACATCCCTATCCCCCAGTTTTATGACAACTAAGAATTACTCTAGATATTGCCAAATGTCTCCTAAGGTTCAAAATCACCCCCCTTCCTCTTGAAAACTACTGTTCTATATGGTTTATGCCAAACCAATACAAGTCTCCAGGTTTAAGAAAGGGCACATAACTCAGACCTGGACAACCAGAGCATTTGCACCCTCTGACTACAGTGTAGTTCAAAGATGGGCATCAGCTCAAGTTGGCCCACAGTCAATCCCATAATGGTAATCAGGAAAGACATGCCTTTCTAACAGGGTTGGTGAGAGAATAAGCACTGTGCCTCAAGTGCACCCAAGTAGGCAAGATGAAGCTGCTGGAATAATGCCCCTCCCCCACCAATTCTGAGCCCCTGGATCCAGCCATGCCTGAAGTCAGCCTGTGGTGGGAAGAATTCTAAGATGGCCCTCCCAAGATTCTCAGTTCCTGGTTTACACACACCTTCTAGCCGTTATTCAAACACTAAAACTCTAAGTGCTGCTGTGGAGAGATTTTACTGATGCTATTGATATGAACAGGAGGCAGGGAAATACGAGGTAGAAAAGGGTGGGGTCCCTGGTGAGGGTTCCACCCTCAAGCCTGGACCTGAGGCCCTAAATGAGAACTTCATATCTCTGTTTTCCTGCCCAAATGTTGCCCCCCACACCCCCATCATATGCCCATAAAAACTCCAAGCTCCACTGGCAGAGGAGCAGAGCAGCACGGCAGAGAAGGACAAGGACAGAAGCATCTGAACGTGGAGAGAAGAAGAAGCAGCTGGACATTGGAGACTCTGGTTGGAGAGGAGTTTGGATGGGATGGTGGAGAGAAGTTCGGGTGGGACGGTGGAGAGGAGTTCCGCCATTAGGGAAGACCACCTTCCCACTCCATCCCCTTCCCAGCTCCCATCCTGCTGAGAGCTACCTCCACTGCTCAGTAAAATCTCTACATTTGCCATCCTTCAAGTCTGGGTGACCTCATTCCTCTTGGGCATGGGACAAGAATTTGGGATGCACTGGGTGCAGGATCCCAAAAAGGCTGTCACACCGGCCCTTTGCCCTTGCTGGCAGAGGGCAGCCACCCCACACAATGAGACAAAAGGCCCACTGAGCTGGTAACATGCCTTCTGGGGCTCAGGGGTATAACAGGCACCCCCCTCACCAGGACAGCAGAGCTAAAAGAGCATTGTAACACTCTTGGGATGCTGCCGCAGGGCCCACACAGGGCTTGCTCCCATGGGAGAGAAGCTGCTGGAGGTTCCAGCATTCTTTTGCTCTGGTTCCCGTACCCATCCTGCTCATGTGCTCCCTTCCATAAAGGGTTGAGCGTGACAGCAGAGTAAATTAGCCACCCCTGTTGCAAGTCCTGCAAAGGGGTCAAGGAAACTCTCCAGTTTCATTATGAAGGCCTAAAATCAGTTGTGGGTAGGATTGGGAGATGATCTGGGTGCCTCATCATCTGAGGTGAGAAGAGGAAGTCAGAGAGAGACGCTCTAATTAATCTGGAAGAAAACAAACATTCATGCTGTGATCTGCCTGTGGCAGGGACATGGGAAGGAACCATGGGTAACCTCTAGGAACTGAGAGCAGCACAGCTGGGGAGGAAATGGGACTTCAGTCCTACAACTGCGAGCAACTGAATGCTGCCAACAAGAAGAATGGGGTTGAAAGCAGATTATCCACAGAGCCTCCAGATGAGAACTCAGCCCAGCTGACCCCAAGATTTCAGTCTTGAACTGTGAGACAATACGTGGGTGGTGGTGTGAGCTGCTAAATTGGTGCTACGGCAATTTGGTATGCAGCAATAGAGAACAAACACACAGACCTACCTCTAGGTTTTCCAGTTCTGTGAGCCTGTGCATTCCATTTTTTACTTAACCTGGTTTGTGTTTTGTGTTTAGGTCACTTGTTTCCAAAATATTCCTGACTGACACAGCATTGTGCAAGCATTATCTCATGTCTGCCTCCTGGCAACCCCATGGGGTAATTTTTCTCCTGTGTTTTTTTTAAGATAAAATTTACAGCGAGATGCACAAATCAATACAATGATCCAATTCAATAAGGCTATGAGGTAATGTTTTGCTTAGGACATTTCCAGTTGCAAACAACAGGAACCTATTTGAAGTGGCTTAATGGGGGGACGGGTGGGAAAATTATTGTAAAGATATAGATATATCTCATGGAATTTGCAGTGGAGAGTGCAGCTGGGCCTGAGGAGGACATGCCATGAGCAGCCAGCTGGTGTTGATGCCACCTTTGACCTGCATGGCATCTACCTGCATACATTTCGCTAGAAAGCAATTCACTAGAATCATTTACTCATTGAATGGCTTATGTCTGCAGGGAACTGTGATAGATAACTAGGAATCAGAAATAAAAGACATTGTTCCTTCCAACCAAACTTGTGGCTGGAGTTGCCCCCAAAGCAGTGGCAGGGAAGTTCCCACAAGAGAGAGCCCCAAATGGTCTTGAGATGGGGCTGGATGGGATTCTAGAGAAAGAAGCACTAAACACAAGGATGATCAGTCCAAAGTGTTTATTAGTGGGACAGACTTACAGAGTGGGCTGCCATGTATCCCCCAGTGGTCAAGAGAGAAAGCAATGTTCTACCTAGGTGTGTCCACCATGACGGGGTCAGAATGTGGAGTTTACATGAGGGTTTAAAGAATTTGGCTCAGGTCAGTGTCTTGAGCAACAACCTAAACCAAACTAGGCAACTTCATCAGTGCCTGGGAATGTTCAAGGCCTTGGCTTGGGTTCAAGCCTGCAGGGAAAACATGCAGCTGGCTGGGTCGCAGAGAGGCCAAAGGCACTCTCAGGCAGGCTGAGAAAGAAAGCGGGTAGGGAGACGCTGGAGGACCCTACATATCCTGTCCTCAACAAGCCACTAATCTACAGAGAAGGGTGGATAAGTAAAACAATTATAGACAACAGTGATCGGCCTGGCTCAGTGGCTCACGCCTATAATCCCAGCACTTTGGGAGGCCAAGGCAGGCGATTGCCTGAGGTCGGGAGTTCAAGACCAGCCTGGCCAATATGGTAAAACCCCGTCTCTACTAAAAATACAAAAATTAGCTAGGCATGGTGGCAGGCACCTGTAATCCCAGCTACTTGGGAGGCTGAGGCAGGAGAATCGCTTGAACCCAGGAAGAGGAGGTTTCAGTGAGCCAAGATCGTGCCACTGCACTCCAGGCTGTATGACAAGAGCGAGATTTCCTCTCAAAAAAAAAAAAAAAAAACTGATTATAAGTACTAAAGTAGACCTATAGTAGACTGGGTACCAGGGAGGACTTCCTGGAGGTGATACCCATGCTGAGTGGAAGTTGGCCAGGCAATGAAATGAAAGCCAAGGGCACTTCAAAAGTGTGGAAAGTGCTGGGAAGGGTTGCTTCTCAATGCAGACTGCACTGAAGAGCCTGTGTTGGGAAGAAAGTAAATTTGTAAAGGGAGTCAGGGGACAGATGCTAACTGGCTTTGCACGTTGCATCCAGGAATACAGATTTAATCCAGAGGGAATGAGGAGCCATGGAAGATTTTTAAGCAGGAGAGTGACATCATCTGATTGAGTTGTGTTGTTTTTGTCGTTGGTGGAGGCAGTGTGGAGAACGGTTTGGAGAGGTTCCAGGATTAACTCCTGTAGGCCTGGAATTGGCCTGAGATGAGCCACTGAAGTGAAACACGTACCTGCCAGCACTGATCTCTGATCCCTGGTCAAGACATGAAACCTTCTGACTAATAATGTTACTTTGTAATCATGGATTCAAGGCAAGTTTCAGGACAGTTTGCTGAAAATTGTGAGACTTTAATGATAACTGTGAGATTGGTAATTTGCACTTGGTCTCAGTGAGACCCCTGGGGAGCTCTGCCACTGGGGCAGTTACATAGCAAGAATATACCTATGTGACCAGCAGGGGATAAGAAATTCAGCCTGTCCTCCCTTTCGGACACCCTGGTTGCAAGGTGTTCAGTGCACACGTTAGTGATTCCTGATCTAAAAGAGAAAGTGCATCCATTCAGCCTTGCAGAAAGAGTAGGATTGGAGCCTGCATCTGGCCTCTCCAGATCCTTTGCTGTGATGCAGTCTTTGGCTACTTCCTATTCATTGCCTTACTTTATGCTGTTGTGTGATTGTATCCTTTCCCTGCAAGATTGTCATTTTGGGTCCTATGAGTCTTCTTTAAGAATCAAACCCTGTCTAACTGCCGCCATTACTGCAGGGCAGGGATGACTGGTTCAATGGTATCCCAGTGCCTAATATAGGGCTTAGCAAAAAATATGCATTATCGGGAATATTTGTTGAATGGTTCATCCTAGCAATGGTGAAGAGTGGAGAGCTGAGGCAGGCATCTTGCAATCTAGCTTCACTGATGCCCTTCAATGTCTAACCCTTGAGAGCTGCTCAGTAACTGTGTCTCAAATGCATAAGTAAATGAAAGAAGGAATGCATGTTCTATTTACCCAGACTTGGCAGTGATCTCAAGGAGCCACAGGGCAAAAGAAAGGAAGGCCAACGAGACAGCTACATACAGCTCATCTTTCGTCAGGACTCCCGGACACCCCCATTTAAGGACAGCTTCTCGTGGATCCTTTAGAGAAATTGTTCTGAAGTGAGAGGATCCAGCTGATTTTATTTTTGCAGATATTTTACCCACGCTCCTCTCTCTACATCACCCCAGGAGTTCATCAACTTTTTAAAACTGCCAATGATGATTTAAAAGCAGCTTTTTTTGTACTCTTTTATTCTTATCAAGTCTGCCTCTTCTACAATTTCCCTTTCCAAAAATGACCTCTAATTTTGCTTTGCCCTAAAAACTTCTAAATAGAGGAATTCCCCTCTTAAAAAAAAAAAAAGTAGTTAGAAGTCCTGTATATAGAGAGATCTTAAAGTCCTATCATGTATTGGGCTTCTCTCTTTTCATCTTCTTAAGCACAAAGTGGCCCCCCAAAATGTGTGAGGCCTTTCTCGAGTTCCATATTATTTCTATTCAGTAGCCATGAAACTACTTTTGTGCCAGAGATAGGCTTTGACAGAGGGTCTAGGAGTAAGTATTCTATTTCAGGTTCTTCTGAGCATTAATGAGAATGAACTCAATGGTTCATTGAAATCAGTGGAGGAAAAAAAAGTGGATTTGCCGTTGACTTTAGTACCCAGAAAATGAGCCCTGGGTTCACTAACTGATATAGTTTGGATATTTGTCCCCAACCAAATCTCATGTTGAAAGGTAATCCTCAATGTTATAGGTGGGCCTGTGGGGAGGAATTTGGAACATGGGGGCCTCATGAATGGCTTCGGCCATCCCCTTGGTGATGAGTGACCTCTCGCTCTGAGTTGACACGCGATCTGGTGGTTTAAAAGTGTGTGGCACCTCTCCACCCCTTGCTCCTGCTTTCGCCGTGGGACATGCCTGCTCCCACTTTGCCTTCCATCTTGAGTAAAATCTTCTTAGCGCATCCCGAGAGGCAGATGCCACTATGCTTCCTGTACAGCCTGAAGAACTCTGAGCCAATTAAACCTGTTTTCTTATAAATTGCCCAGTCTCAGGTATTTATAGCAATGCAAGAATGGCCTAACACATTTTTATATCTAACCCACACCCTCTCTGAGTAAAGTGGAGATCATAATGAAGTATTTTTATTTTAAAAGTATAGGCTGGGCATGGTGGCTCACGTCTGTAATCCCAGCACTTTGGGAAGCTGAGGCAGGTGGATCACTTGAGGTCAGGAGTTCAAAACCAGCCTGGCCAACATGGTGAAACACTGTCTCTACTAAAAAAATAAAAATTAGCCAGGCATGGTGGCGTGAACCTGTAATCCCAGCTATTTGAGAGGCTGAGGCAGGAGAGTCACTTGAACCCAGGAGGCGGAAGTTGCAGTGAGCCAAGATAGCACCACTGCACTCCAGCTTGGGTGACAGAGCAAGACTCCGTCTCAAAAAAAAAAAAAAAGTATAGTAGCTGGAGACTCTGAGGTACAACTGGCAGAAACTAACTAGAATAAATGAAAAGAGAATTTATTGGCTCATATAAAGGAAAGTCAGTTGCCTTCAGGCACAGCTTGATCTAGGAGCTCAAATGATGTTGTCAAATCACATTCCCTTTCTCTTAAGCAGGTTTTCTTTACTAGGGATTATAACGATCACTAGCAGCCCAAACTTACTAGTTAAGCATCTTCAAGGGAAGGAGAGTATCTTCCCAAATCCCCCTGGCAAGAAAATCTATGGAGGATTTTAAATGACCTTATTCAGGTCATGTGCCCAGTCCTGAATCATTTATTATGTTCAAGGGCATGGGGTCCTTTGGTAGGGGCAGTCTGGGTCTATGGCAGGGTGGATATAATCAAACCCACTCAAAATACATGGGGCAAGTTTTCCCATAGGAAAGAAGAGTGCTGTTTCCAGAAAAGGGAAGGACTGTCAGGCAGACAAGCACAACAGATGTTCCCCATAAAAGGCCTTTCAAAGTAACTAGTCAATGGAAGAGAGAAGCAGAAGAAAATAAGAAGTTGGGGTAGGGTGGCATAGACTTCATTTTTTTTTTTCATTTTCAATTTCTTCTTTTCTTCCTTCATCTCTTCTAGTAAGTCTCCTTGGTGCTGGAAACCATAGCAGCAGAGGCTGAGACTGCGGACTTATGGCATGAAGTGATGAGAGCTTTAGTAGAGATACGAATAACCCAGGCTGGGCAGGCCTCCCTTCCTGAGAGCATAATTTCAAGTCAGGTCAGATGGATGATGAGAAGGAGAATTTCAAGGTGAAGGAGGGGAGGCAAAGCCAGGCCAGGCAAAAGGCATAGCTGGCACCAAATGCTGGCATTCTGGCTGTCAGACGCATTCACTGAATGCCAGAAGGTTCTCTGTGGCTGGAACCCAGGCTGGGAGGAAGTGGGCTGGGTAATTAGAGAGGAGCTGGGAGAGGGACCTCCCGGCAGATTGTGAAATGCCTTGAACCTCACGCCAAAATGTTTGGACTTGATCTTATCTCTGGGTTTTGAAGAGCAGGGGAGTCTTTAGACTCTAGAGTCAATTTTTCAAATATCTTAACGATACTATCTCTGGCAGTTGAGGGGAACATGGGGGTGGAATTGGGCAAGACTGCTGGCAAGCAGCCCAGTGAGGAGGTCAGGGTGGGAATCCTGGCAAGAAACTTCGAAGGCCACCAGGGCTGTAACAGGAGGGTGGGATTCTGGAGGCAAAACCCAGGGAGAGTCCATGGGGTTTGGCCACTGCCAACAGATCAGGGCAGAAATGATAAACAGAAGAGGCACAGGGAGGCAGGAGCTTGAAACAAGGAGCTACTGCCCTCCCCCGGCCAATTGGCCACAGAATGAATCATCCATTAAGATACAGGAAAGTTCACCACATTCTCAGAACAGAAGATGCTGGCTGCTGGAAAACAATGTCAGGAGGTCTTGTTGCGTAAGTGTAGCTTTTATTTCGTTCACTTTTCAACAGATATTTATTAGGCTCCTGTGATGTGCCAAGTCCTGAGTTAGATGCTGGGTATAAACTGTGAAGTGGAACAGACACCATTCATTTCACCATGCAGCTTTCTATATACTGTATAGGAGACAGACAACAAACAAATGTATATCTAAGTAAAATGAATGAACTGTATTAAGTGTATGAAGGCAATTGATTCTGGGTGCAATGAAAAGAAGTGATGGGATAGGGGGCAGGGAACTTCCTAAAATGAGTGGTCAAGGTAAGGTTGGGTTCTGAGGGGGACTTCACATCACTTTTCACCTGGGGAGGGCACTGAGGGCACTTGCCAGTCAACTATATGTTACTTGACACTGAAGACCACCTCATTCTGCAACTACCTGTATCTCTTGGAAAACACCCAAACTTAAATCCACTAATTAATGATAGTTCCCCAAGTTTACAGTTTTGTTACCAAGAATCTTTTTTCAGCTTTTAAAGTGACATTAAGATATTGGGCTTTGATTCATATTTAAGTAGTTAAGACCCAAGATTACATATAATTGTATGAATAAGGAGAACTAAACTGATCATTTTCAAAATAACTGCATAATCTCATAATCCACCCTCATAACTTGCTGGGAAATATGTTGTTCTATCATTTCAACCAACAGAGTTGAAAGAAACTAAAAGAACAATTTGCTCAACCTGTTAAAAATAAATTATTGTGACTTTCTGTAATGTGCTTACAGAAAAGGAACAGAAAAAACCATTTTTTTCCATTTCTTCAAAATATGAACACAATAAACCTAAAGTTGTGTAATCTAACACATTTCAGACTTTTTATAGATAGAAAATAATTTTTTCCCAGGACGCAAGAGAAACCCACATCTCTTTAATGTTTTTTGTGTTTTCCTTTTTCCAGCCTGAGAATCACTTTAAATTTCTTAATAATAAAGACTTGAAGATGTTATGTTATGGGCCCACGACTACAGATTATAAATCTTAGTGATGGAATTGAATACTGTTCTGCCAAGTTCCACTCTTTTGACATCCCTAACTGGAAAAACTACTATTATACAAATAATATATGCTCATAAAAATCCAAATTATGGCCAGGCACGGTGGCTCATGCCTGTAATCCTAGCACTTTGGGAGACCGAGGCGGGTGGATCACCTGAGGTCAGGAGTTCAAGACCAGTCTGACCAACATGGTGAAACCCCGACTCTACTGAAAATACAAAAATTAGCTGGTCTTGGTGGCGCGTGCCTGTAATCCCAGCTACTCAGGAGGCTGAGGTGGGAGAATCACTTGAACCAGGGTGGCGGGGGTTGCAGTGAGCCGAGATTGTGCCATTGCACTCCAGCCTGGGCGACAGAGCAAGACTCTGTCTAAAAAATAAAAATAAAAAATAAAAAATCCAAATTATACAGAAACATACAGGTTCAAAAGGTCCCTCCATCACTGTAGTAGGCCCTGTTGCTTACTTACCTGACATTCATCCACCACTTCCGTATTCCTAACAGAACCCAGGTTTTTTGCAGTTTCCCACCTTCCCCTCAACAGCCACAACAGCCACATGCTTCTGGGGAGGTGGGCACTAGCTGAGACTGAAAGTGTGGTCCTGTGGTCCTGATTGGTCTCACTTCCCCTTGCTAGTAATTGGTTTAAATCAGGATATGTGACAAATAGGGGGCGTTAGCTAGGGCAATTGTTCTTAAAAAACAAGAATGCAATGGCCGGGCGCAGGGACTCACGCCTGTAATCCCAGCCCTTTGGGAGGCCGAGGCAGGTGGATCACGAGGTGAGGAATTCAAGACCAGCCTGGCCAATATGGCGAAACCCCATCTCTACTAAAAATACAAAAAAATTAGCTGGGCGTGGTGGCGTGTCCCTGTAATCCCAGCTACTTGGGAGGCTGGGGCAGAGAATTGCTTGAACCTGGGAGGCAGAGGTTGCAGTGAGCTGAGATCGCGCCACTGCACTCCCCCAGCCCCGGCGACAGAGCAAGATTCCTTCTCAAAAAAAAAAAAAAAAAAAGAATGCCCATGAACGCCATGAGAATGTCCTCTCAGATCTCCAGCTGCTGGGAGCACTGCTGATGGATGGCTGCTGTAGTGTCTGAACATCTGAGGCCACAATTCTCAGCGGCTGCTTCCAGCCAGTGACAGAGTGTGTCAGGGATATTAAGACAGCTTGTTTCTGAGAGATGTGGGACTCCTCTGACAGGTGACTTTGGCTAGAGAACTCAGCAACAGCATTGCTGAATTTTCCTTAGAAGTACATGGCTAAGACACTTTCCTCCAACCTTCCACCCTAACTTCCTCCTCTCCTCTTGTGTTCAGACCTTCATCAATCTCTGATGGCTCTCCCAGCCTCCATCACCTCCCTCCTCAATTTCTCTTAAAGGCATTTCCCCTAATAAATTTCTAGCACATTTAATCCTGTTTTGGTGTCTGCTTTTCATAGGACCTAGATTAGCACAATGCTTTCTCTGCTATGAATGCTGTTAGGTTTGGAGGTGACTCCTGAAACCTCTGCACCTACCCCTCACAACAGGAGCCACCTGAGAACAAAGCCTCATTACTGAGCAGATATGGGACTCCTTTGACAGGTGACTTTGGCTAGAGGACTCCACAACAGCATTGCTGAACTTTGCGTAGAAGTACATGGAAAGCAGAAAGATGGAAAGAAGAGCTGCTGTGTTCACCAACCCCAGGGTCCCTGTTTCCATGGACTTCTTATTTTGCAAGATAAGACACTTTCTTATTGTATATTAAACCCCGGCTGAGTGGGTTTTTTTGTTTTGTTTTGTTTTGTTTTACTGGCAACAGAAAGCTTTGTCACTGATATAGTTACTCTCCAACCCCACTTCCCAGAAGAAACCTCTGATAACATTTACTATGAAATTTTCCAACACATTTACAAACATTCATACTTTGCAACTTCATTTACTTTGTAGTCATCAATATATTATGTATTAATACATTTTTCCATATCAGTACATATAGATCTACCTCAGTCTTTTTCATGGCCACATAGCATTCTATAGAGGGATGTGCCCTAATCTTTGTGCCTCTATCAATGATCATTTATTTTATTATTATTATTTTTGGTATAGAACAGTTGGTACATATCAGTGACCACTTATGTTGTGCCCTTTGTCTACCTTAAGAGACATGAGGAGAGAACCACTGAAAAAGGCTTCCCTCAAGGGAAAATTACTATGTTCTTCCTTTCTCCATCCCTAAAATGGGGCCTCCCTTAATGCTGGGACAATATATATATATATATATATATATTTTTTTTTTTTTTTTTTTTTTTTTTGAGACAGAGTCTCACTTTGTTGCCCAGGCTGGAGTGCAGTGGTGTGATCTCGGCTCACGGCAACCTCCACCTCCCGGGTTCAAGCGATACTCCTGCCTCAGCCTCCCTAGTAGCTGGGACTACAGGCACGTGCCACCACTTCTGACTAATTTTTTTGTATTTTTAGTAGAGATGGGGTTTCACGGCGTTAGCCAGGATGGTCTCGATCTCTTGACCTCGTGATCTGCCCACCTTGGCCTCCCAAAGTGCTGGGATTACAGGCATGAGTCACCCCTCCCAGCCTGGGGCAATATACTTTTAAATAAACATCAAAAGCAAGTAAATCAAAAAAATTGTACATAATTTGGCTTACAGTCATCCACTGTCATTCTCCAAGACCTATCTGTCTTTTGTGCAGATCAAACAGGAGTTTAATGGGAGTGTGGTGGGAATCACCACTTCTGCATCTTTCAAGTCCTTGATGGTGACACTAATATCTGCAATCTCTCCAGGAATTGTTTTTGCTTTTGGTTTACAATTTTCCTAGTCAGAGGCAGTTCTAATGGCTTCCACTTGGCCTTTCCCACCTAGTAGCCCTCTCCACAGTTCAGGAAAGCAATGTGAGGACTCTGCCAGCTGCTGCTTAGTATGTCTATTCCAATTATGTATTCTTATTTATTTATTTATTTATTTTTGCCACAGAGTGTTGCTCTGTCTCCCAGGCTTGAGTGCAATGGTGCAATCTTGGCTCACTGCAACCTCCACCTCCCGGGTTCAAGCGATTCTCCTGCCTCAGCCTCCTGAGTAGCTGGGATTACAGGTGCCTGCCACTGCACCCAGCTAATTTTTGTATTTTTTAGTAGAGACAGGGTTTCGCCACGTTGGCAAGGCTGGTCTCGAACTCCTGACCTCAGGTGATCCACCCGCCTCGGCCTCCCAAAGTGCTGGAATAACAGGCATGAGCCACTGTGCCCGGCCCCAATTATGTATTCTTAAACTGGGGAAATAACTGCAGGTGGTTTTGGAGACCCACTGGGCCCACTGTGAGTTAAAACTTCATTGAGCACCTGACCTCCATAAGCCCCTACTCTGGTGGACCACAGTGATGTTTTAGGTCTCCTGAAACCAACATCAGTTTAGAGCAAATGTCAAGAAGTCCCGAAAGGAATTGTAGAGTTATCTCTTCCCCAGTGTACAGTTATACTGGTAAAAGGCTGTAGGTCCCTCCCCTAGACTGGGAGAAAGATTAACAGTATACGTATTTCCAGTGGTGTATCCAGGTCCTTCCTCAAGGGGATCTGACCTTTCCTTTATTCAAGGGGTTCAAGGTCTGTACACAGGCTCAAGTCTGAAAATTGGTTGAGCACCATGATTCTACTTTTTATGATTCAGCTTAGGCTTTTGTTCACTTGACCTAGAAGTTTTCTGCTTATGCAGATCCAGGAAGAATTTAGTAGGCTTCCCATCTATTTCACTTGTAGGAACACCATCAGCAATCAGCCAACGCCCTAGGTTTGCATCTGTCAAGCTATTCTGATTGCAGCTTTGACTCTGCTGTTCTGTATGATAACCACGCCCACCTTGCCTTGTTGCGGGGAGGGGTTGAGTGCTGCCATCCCGGGATCCAATTACCCCTAATGCATCTAGGCTTCCTAAGTTAATTTAATTCCCAATTACAGCAAATTAATCAGACTTAGTAACAAGGCACGGCACACATTTTGTAGAAGACAAGATCTCCCAGAGAGGCCTGGTTGCAGAGGAGCAGCCTAAGAGTACGTGTGGAAGAAGACCGAGTATTCCAGCCTATTCCACCCACTGGGCCTCCTCTGGCCCTTCCCTTCTGCCTTCCTTACTCTTCCACTCCATGGCGTCGCCTCCTTCTTGGCTGGGGTTATGGAGACCGTGAGGGAAGGAAGAACAAGTTGACTTGGTTGGAGGGATCTTTTTGCTGCAGAAAGAGTCTCTGCTGCGCTGGTTGGGCTCAGGTGACTGGGGAGACCTGCAGGTCCACCGCCGCACCCCAGCCGGCCAGCCTCCAGCCCTTGGGCCCCGCCCCCTTTCCACAGGCCCCGCCCTTCCCCCCTAGCTCCGCCCTCCGCCTGCCCTGTCCCCGCCCCCTGCTCCCCTCCAGGAGCACTGACCTCTGGCTCTTGCAGGCCCCGTCTCCAGGACTAGAAGTCACTCGCCTTCCTTACTCTGCAAGGGGTTATTATGAGTGTAAAGAGACAAAACGAGGCTGAAGTGTTCATTCTAAGGCGCCGTTATTGTTAGAGCCAAACGACCAATGTGGTTCACCTGACGCAAGCCTTACCTTCTGAGAAAGGGACGGGGCCTCGAATCCGGAAGCCCATCGCAGAGGTCTGGTGTTGAAGACTCAACTCTGAACCCTGATGCTCACAGCAACGACTTCTGGCAAAACTGCCTAGCTTCGCCATTCCAGGAAGCACCCACTTGAGCCAGCTGATTGCAATCACTTATTGACCTTAAACTGGCCCAGTTTGGAGAGGGATTTTGTCTGGGTCGGAAGATAAAAGCAGCTTGCTTGGCTTTTTCGGAGCTTTTTCAGCTTGCCTACCTATTGTAGCAAACATTAAAATAGCACCGGCTATATTACACATCAACTGTAACTGCTGGGATTACAGGCATGAGCCACTGCGCCCAGCCTCTCTTTGCATCTTTATTTTTACATCTGTATTTGCTTGAAATTTTCATTGATAAAATATAAGAAATTCTTTGGAAAGAGTATAATTTTGCTTTTAAAATTACTTATGTTTGAATAACTCATTTAATTTGGTTATGATTTCTTACATATCAGTTCATGTTTTGGAATCTTTCCAAGTGAGAAAATAATAACAACAATTAGTACACGTCTAGTACAGAGAATGTGCCATGCACTGTTCCAAGTCTTTTGCCCATTTAATCCTCTTAAAAATCTATGAGGTTAGTGGCTGGGTGTGGTGGCTCATGCCTGTAATCCCAGCACTTTGGGAGGCCAAGGCGGGTGGATCACCTAAGGTCAGGAGTTGGGAGACCAGCCTGACCAATATGGTGAAACCCTGTCACTACTAAAAATACAGAAATTAGCTGGCGTGGTGGTGGGCGCCTGTAGTCCCAGCTACTTGGGAGGCTAAGACAGGAGCATCACTTGAACCCAGCAGGCAGAGGTTGCAGTGAGCCGAGATCATGCCATTGCACTCCAGTCTGGGTGACAGAGCGAGACTCTGTCTCAAAAAAAATAAAAAAATCTATGAGGTTAGTGATATAATTTATTTATGGGATTAGAAAGAATGAGGACACTGAAGCTCAGAGATGTTGAGTAACTTGCTGCAAGTTACACAGTAAAGAGTGGAGCCAGAATTTGGACACAGGCAATTTGGCTTCACAGTTCATGCCCTTCACCAGTATGCTAATTTGCAATTTATTTCCCAATATAAGGAAATTTTTATGAATGCAATATTGAACAATTAATGAAGTTGACAAGAATGAAGTGCTTTATACACACTTGTTTCACATTTATTAACTTATATTTTGAAATTTTCTCTTTATATTTTATTAATTTTTTTTTTTTTGAGACAGCTCTGTCACCCAGGCTAGAGGGCAGTGGTGTGATCTCAGCTCACTGCAACCTCTGCCTCCCAGACCAGCAATCCTTCCACCTCAGCCTCCTGAGTAGCTGGGACAAGTGCAAGCTACCACGCCCAGCTAATTTTTGTACTTTTTGTAGAGATGGTGGTTTTTGCCATGTTGCCCAGGCTGGTCTTGAGCTGTATTTTAGAGCAATACTGTTTTTCAAGGTCCCAGATATTTTTACAGGCTCCAAATATTTCACAAGCCCTGGGCCTTTCCTGCCCTGAGATCTAAAGCAGAAAATTGATGAGCTCTCTGGCAATACTTAAGTCTGATTCTCTTTGCCTCTGCCCTCTTTTACCAACCTTGCTGAGGTTTTGGATTCTGACATATCCTGCAGATCTCCAGGGTTTGCCACTTTCCATGTCTGTGATGGTTAATGTTAGGTGTCAACTTGACTGGGCTAAGGGATGCCCAGGTAGCTGGTAAACGTTATTCCTGGGTGTGTTTGTGAGGGTGTTTCTGGAAGAGATTAGCATTTGACTCAGTAGACTGAGTAAAGCAGATCCACTCTCCCCTGTGTGGGTGGCATCATCCAATGTTTTGAGGGCCAAATAGAACAAGAAAAGTGGAGGAAGGGCAAATTCTCTCTCTCTGTCTCCCTCACTTTCTTTCTCCCTCTCTCTTCTTCAGCTGGGATATCCATCTTCTCCTGCCCTCAGATATCAGAATTCCTGGTTCTCAGGCCTTCATACTGGGACTGAATTACATCATCAGCTTTGCTGTTTCTCCAGCTTGCAGATGGCATATTGTGGGACTTCTTCTTTCTTCTTCTTTTTTTTTTTTTTTTTTGAGATAGAGTCTTCCTCTGTCACCCAAGCTGGAGTGCAGTGGTACGATCTTGGCTCACTGCAACCTCTGCCTCCTGGGTTCAAGCAATTCTCCTTGAATTGCTCAGCCTCCCTGAGTAACTGGGACTACAGGCGCATGCTACCACGCCCAGCTAATTTTTTTTTTTTTTTTTTTTTTTTGTATTTTTAGTAGAGACAAGGTTTCACCATGTTGGCCAGGCTGGTCTGGAACTCTTGAACTCAGGTGATCCGCCCGCCTTGGCCTCCCAAAGTGCTGGGATTACAGGTGTGAGCCACCGCGCCCGGCCGATATTGTGGGACTTCTTGAAGGCCTCCATAATTGTGTGAGCCAATTTTCATAATAAATCTCCTCATTTCGAACACTTGGACACAGGGTGGGGAACATCACGTACCAGGGCCTGTTGTGGGGTCGGGGGAAGAGGGGAGGGAGAGCATTAGGAGATATACCTAATGTAAATGACGAGTTGATGGGTGCAGTACACCAACATGGCACATGTATACATATGTAACAAACCTGCACGTTGTGCACATGTACCCTAGAACTTAAAGTATAAAATAAATAAATAATAAATAAATAAATCCAATATATGAAAAAATAAAAATAAAAAATGATTTTAATACATAAGTTCAAGAAGGTATAGGAAGCATTTAAAATGTTTCAGTAGTGACATAGAAGTGGAAAAGATCAAAATAAAACTTATAAAAAATAAAAATTAAAAAATTAAAAAAAACTCCTCATTTCTCTCTATCTCCTATTGGTTCTGCTTCTCAGGAAAACGCTAATACCATACCCCCACTGATCGTTTCTGTCTGCTGTCTTCAGTACCTCCACAGCCCATCTTCTTGAGTGGACCCTGGTCCATTTTGACCCTTAGTTCTTCTACCTTGAGCAACTGGTATCTGTTTGCCCTAGGGAATGTCTCAGCTTTCCCAGTTTCCCCCAGCTCCAAGTTTGGTTGGCCACACTTTGGTCAGAACCGACAGGATCTGGCCTACAGAAATTCCATGAGATGGGCAGGGCGAGTCTCACCTCAAATTTTTTTTCTCAACCTCCACTTTATCAGTTCAGCCTGTCCTGAGGACTTGGAAACATTCTCTCCAATGGTATTTCTGGTTTTTGTTTGTTTGTTTGTTTGTTTTTTGAGACCAAGCGTCAATCTGTTGCCCAGGCTGGAGTGCAGTGGCGTGATCTCAGCTCATTGCAACCTCTGCCTCTGGGTTTGAGTGATTCTCATGCCTCAGCCTCCTGAGTAGCTGGGACTACAGGCGTGAGCCACCACACCTGACTAATTTTTGTGTTTTTAGTAGAGATGGGGTTTCACCATGTACTTAGATTTATCATGCCTTGAAAATGGACCATTTAAAATGTTTTCTCACATGGCTCTACAACTTACTTGTCTTGGGCCATTTTTTAATTCCCTAAACTAGAGGTTCCCAGCCTTTTTGCACCAGTGATCGGTTCTGTGGAAGATAATTCTTCCACAGATGGGAGCAGGATGGGGGGATGGTTTCATCAGTCATTAGATTCTCCTAAGGAGCATGCAACTTAGATGCAGCCCAGATCCCTCACATGCACAGTTCACAATAAAGTTCATATTCCTATGAGAATCTAATGCCACTGCTGATCCGACAGGAGGCAGAGCTCAGGTGGTAATGTGTGCATTAGGGAGCAGTTGTAAATACAGGTGAGCTTTGCTCACTTGCCTGCTGTACACCTCCTGCTGTGCTGCTCGGCTCCTGCTGTGCTTCTCGGTTCCTAACAGGCTGTGAACCAGTACTGGTCCATGGCCCAGTGGTTGGGGTCCCCTGCCCTAAGCTGTATTGGACTGAACAGACTCTTGAATTCCAGAGACCTCCAAGAACTCAGAGGCACTCCAGGAACCAATAGAGGCAATTCAACAAGTGGTACTTTATTCACTAAGGAAGGATGGAACCCATGCCAGCAGACCTAAGCCTTCAGAGTTGGTGATAAGCTTACATATGAGATCACAAAATCAAAATCCTTCAGGCTTGTTACCAGTAAAGATTTTTAAACATATGTTTTGGAGGAAAAACTGATTTGGAAGTTGACAGTTCATCTGCCCTTTTGATCTTTGTGTCAGTCTATGCTTATCTTTTTATTTCTTGGTACATTACAGAGTTCTCATTAAGTCACGCTTGGAATGCATGCTTACCCTGTGCTCACAGTTATCTTTAGGGAGGGTTTGTGGCTAGTAGTCCTCCCCAGCAGGTGAGGGCCCAGGGCAAAATACATTCTGTCCCTTCCTTCCAACTCTAAATGTTTAAGGCAAGATAAGTCATATTAAAATTACCACAAAGAACAGCCTCAAGTGGAAAATAAGACACACAATAAGATGACTTAGGAACATAAGGGAACCCAGTATCCTATAACCTGTCTGCCTCTGGTGTTGCAGGAATTTGTGGGCTGACTGTGTGTGAGTCTTTCCATTATTTTCTATTGCTCACTAACTGAGCTATTGTCACACCCAGTTGGTCACCACACAGAAGCTGGATCCAGAAATACCACTGGAGGCCGGGCATGGTGGCTCACGCCTGTAATCCCAGCACTTTGGGAGGCTGAGGCAGGTGGATCACCTGAGGTCAGGAGCTCGAGACCAGCCTGGCCAACATGGTGAAACCCCATCTCTACTAAAAATACAAAAATTAGCTGGGCGTGGTGACAGGTGCCTGTAATCACAGCTACTCGGGTGGGTGAGGCAGGAGAATTGCTTGAACCGGGAGGCAGAGGTTGCAGTGAGCCAAGATTGTGCCACTGCACTCACTCCAGCCTGGGTGACAAGAGTGAAACTCCATCTCAAAAAAAAAAAAAAAAAAAAGTCTCACTTTTGCTGTTCTTCGTGCCTGTAAGTCCATTCTTTGGGACTGGATGGGTGAGTGTCTTTCTCACAGGCAGAAACACAACTTGATATCACGGAGAAAGGAAACAAGAAGAAAATGAAGCCATGCTGTATTTTAGCTTGTGGATATTAATGTTGCTATTTGCATCATTTCCCACAGTTGTTTTGACATGAATAGTCCAGGAGCGTGCTAGGCAAGGGTTTTCTGAGCATGGTGGTGGTCGTACGGGGTGGTGGTGGGGATAAAGTGGAGAGAGAGAATATGACAGGTGTATAAACTGGCCTGAGCCACCATGTTGCACAGCTGCAGGGGGTGCTATTCACTATAGTCTAAGTGAATGGTGCTCCCTGGAGTCATGCACGGCATCATCTGAGCCTTGGAGGTTTAAGAGAATAAAGTAATCATCTCACTAGTCCAGCTGAGAAATGTCCTGGCCGACAGACAAGCAGTCCTCTCCCAGCAGCCTAAACCACTTTGTCTACTCAGTGGTTTTTCTCTCTACTCACACCACTTAATACTTCACTTCTGACACCAGATGTGTGTGGGTTTTTCTCCATACACCAAGGAATTCTCGTCAGGCACCAGCTTTGCATCCTATAATTCCATTCGATTCTGACACTATCTAGAGATAGCATCAGATCCCATGGGTTGAGGACCCAGTCCCATAAGACTGCTTTAGATGCCAGTTGCAAGCCCAAGGTTGTGATTAGTGCTTCCAGCCAATCAGCTATTGAGAAGGAACAGAGGTCCCTGCTAGGCACCCTCAAGCATGGAAATAAAGGCAAATCTTGAGTTCATTTAAGGGAAATCCTGGGAACCTAGCTAGCCCTGAGAAGTAAATGAGCAACTTAATAAGCAAAAAGGTAATAGTAGCTTAAAACAATAGCCAAGGAAGTTAGAGTCATGAGATGTTTGGTTCTCTATAGAAACTAAAGATAACATGTTAACAAATAGCCCTGAGTTGTTCTTTAGAAATCCAGACCCCTGCCAAATGGATCCACTGGCACACGGACCTCAGATAAGGGGAGAACACTGAGGACTGAACTCTGGCTGCCATTCTTTGTTCTAAATTTCTTCCTCAGGGGCCAGGAGGAAGTCACGCCCATGGGCCAGACCTAACATTGTTTTCTGATGACCCCAAGTCTTTAGATGAAGCTTTCCTTCCCTAACCAATTGCAAATCAGAAAATCTTTTAATTGACCCATGACCTGTAAGCCCTTGGTTGAGGATATCCTGCCTTTTTAGGCCAAACTGATGTTTAACCTCCAAGTATTGGTTTACAATTTTGCCTGTAACTTCTGCTTTCCTGAAATTTACCTGTACCTTTAAAAACCCTTGGCTTGCAGAGGTCAGATCTTGAGCATGAACTGCCAGATTCTCCTTGCATGGCACACTGCAAATAAATGCCCTCCTTTCTCTCACTGCAAAATCTCAGCATGGATGTTTGGCCTTACTGTGCCAGGCAAGCAGGCCCCAGCTCAGTTTGGCAACACTATAAACTGGAGTTACCATGACCTCCTCCTTGGGTTCAACTAAATTGCTAGGACAGCTCATAGAACTCAGGGAAACACTTTACTTATGTTTATCCATTTCTTATAAAAGATATAATGAACAGATGGATGGAAGAGATGCATCAGAAGGCTTATGAGAAAGGGCACGGAGCTTCCATGCCCTCTCTGGGTGCTCTACCATCCAGGTACCTCCATGTGTTTGGCTATCAAGAAGCTCTTCAGGCCAGGTACGGTGGCTCACCCTTGTAATTCCAGCACTTTGGGAGGCTGAGGCGGGCGGATCACTTGAGCCCAGGAGTTTGAGACCAGTCCGGGCAACATGGCAAAACCCTGTCTCTACAAAACATACAAAATTAGCCGGGCCTGGTGGCGGGCACCTGTAGTCCCAGCTACTCAGGAGGCTGAGGTGGGAGAATCACTTGAGCCCAGGAGGTAGAGGCTGTAGTGAGACGTGATTGTATCACTGCAATCCAGCCTGGGTGACAGTGAGACCCTGTCTAAAAAAAAAATATTTTCAAACCCAGTCCTTTGGTGTTTTTATGGAGGCTTCATTACATAGGTACAATTGATTAAATCATTGGCCACTGATGATCAACTCAACATTTGGCTTCTTTCTTCTCCCTAGAGGTTGGTGGGGTGGGACTAAAAGTTCCAACCTCTACTTACATGATTGCTTCCCCTGGCAACCAGCCTTGGTCCTGAGACTGCTTAGGAAGCCCTAGCCTTCAGTCATCTCATTAGCATATAAATAGACATTTATCCTTTCAGAGGTTCCAAGGTTCCAAGAGCTATGTGCCAGGAACTAGGGGCAAAGACCAAATATATGTTTCTTATTATATCGCAAGAAATAGGCTTTATATCCCAGAGCCTAAAACATTTACTATCTGGCCCTTTACAGAAGAAATTTGATGATCCTTTCTTTATAGCAAGGGCTATATCTTACTTCTCTCTATACTTCGAGCCTCCTGCAACATCAATGTTGGGTAAGCAGAACCGAAAGGGAATTTGTAATTTATGATTAGACTTTGATAAGATTTCTGAAACCCTTACAATGTTCTCACTTTTGTGATTCTGTTACCCCTAGTCAGCTCAGAAGAAAAGAGGAAAGCTAGCCAAATGATTGGGGGCCTTTGGGAAAACATGACAGAGACCTAGACCTGAAAAGCAAGCCCACAACCTTAGCTGGGAGTAGGCTCTTCTGTGCTTCCTCACATCCAGCAGGAAATCATGCTAGTGAGAAAGAAAATAAAACTTTTTTTTTTTTTTTTTAGATGGAGTTTTGCTCTTACTGCCCAGGCTGGAGGGCAATGGTGCGATCTAGGCTCATGGCAACCTCCGCCTCCCAGGTTCAAGTAATTCTCCTGCCTCAGCCTTCCAAGTAGCTGGGATTACAGGCATTTGCCACCATGCCCAGCTAATATTGCATTATTAGTAGAGATAGGGTTTCTCCATGTTGGTCAGGCTGGTCTCGAACCCCTGACCTCAGGTGATCCACCCGCCTCAGCCTCCCAAAATGCTGGGATTACACGCATGAGCCACTGCGCCCAGCCAAAAAGAAAACTTTTTATCTGAGGAAGGTGATCAGGCCCAGAGAGGCATAGGAGTGAGGCAGCAGTCAAGTCCCATTTCCCCACCTCCAGCTGAGTAACTGAGTAATCATCTCTTGAATCCTCCTGTTATGTATAGACTCTAGACTGAGTGTCACCATAAATGGCTATAAATTAACCTAACGATGCCACAGGCTGGACACCATAACTCATACCCTATATATAGTCCAGTAATATACAGCCAATCACTAACCAATGTTATTTCTCTAAACCAATGAGAATTCCTGACAAATAACTTTTGTAATTGCCCCCTCTCCTGATTCATCCTTTTTTCTTTAAAACCTCGAGCCACTTTTTTATTCTCCAGAGCACTTCCCAAGGTAATTTGGAAGTGTTTCCCAGGCTGCAGTCCTCAACCTTGGCCCATATAAATATTTACCTGTTTTTGCCTCAGTTTATTTCTTTATGTCAACAACAGGCTGAAGGTAAAAAAAAAGAGTAGGAACAAATATGGCTGGGGAAAACAGTTTAACTTGAAATACGAAATAATTCTAACATACAAAAATTGTATCCTTCATCAGGCTTTTTGGCATTCTCCATATTCAATACTTTTTTAGAGATTCCTGATGTGGTTGGCTGTGTCCCCACCCAAATCTCATCTTGAATTGTAGCTCCCATAATTCCCATGTGTTGTAGGAAGGAGCCAGTGAGAGATAATTGAATCATAGGGGCGGTTTTCCCCATGCTGTTCTTGTGGCAGTGAACAAGTCTCACGAGATCTGATGGTTTTATAAGGGGTTTCCCCTTTCACTTGGCTGTCATTCTCTCTTGCCTGCCATGATGTAAGACATGCCTTTCACCTTCTGCCATAATTGTAAGGCCTCCCCAGCCATGTGGGACTGTGAATCCATTAAACCTCTTTTTCTTTATAAATTACCCAGACTCGGGTATGGCTTTATCAACAGTGTAAAAATGGACTAATACAGTTCCTTTAATTTTGTTTACTGACATAGCATTATCAATCAACTTGGCCTAATTGCCATTTATACAACATTCCACCCAACAAGAGCAGAATGCAAATTCTTTTCAAGTGCACACAGAACATTTACCAAGATAGAGCATATTCTGGGCCATAAAACAAGTCTCAACAAATTTAAAAGAATTCACTTCCTACAAAGTGCATTTTCTGAACACATGAAATTAAATTAGCAATCAATATCAATATTTGGAAACTAAATAAAGCACCCTTACCCTTGGATCAAAGAATAAATCAAAATGGAAATAGGAAAGTATTTCAAACTAAATAAAAATGAAAATGCAACATATCAAAGTTTGTATAGTGCAGCAGAATTTAGAAGGAATTTTGGAATAATAAATATTTACATTATAAAAGAAGAAAGGTGTGAAATCAATGACTCAGTTTTCATATTAAGAAACTAGAAAAAGAAAAGCAAATTAAACCTTGAGTAAGTAGAAGCAAATTAAACCTTGAGTAAGTAGAAGGATCCATAAAGATCAAAGCCAAAATCGGTAAAATGGAAAACAGGAAAACAATAAACATTAATACAATCAAAAGCTGATTCCTTGAGAAAAGCCATAACATTAATACATCTCTAGCTGAATGATCAGGAAGAAAAGTAATAAAATAATTTTTTTTTTCGAGACAGGGTCTCACTCTGTCACCCAGGCAGGAGTGCAGTGGCATGATCTCAGTTCACTACAACCTCAGCCTCCTGGGCTCAAGCAGTCCTCCTGCCTCAGCCTCCCAATTAGCTGGGACCACAGGTGGGCACCACCATGCCTGGCTAATTTTTGTATTTTTTGTAGAGACGGGATTTCGCCATGTTGCCCAGACTGGTCTTGAACCCCTGGCTCAAGCAATCCTCCTGCCTTGGCCTCCCAAAGTGCTGAGATTGTAGGCACGAGGCACTGCACCCAGCCTAAAACAAATTATTAGTATTAAGAATAATAGAGGTAGGGATGGGCGCGGTTGGCTCACACCTGTAATCCCAGCACTTTGGGAGGCCCAGGCAGGCAGATCACCTGAGGTCTTGAGTTTGAGACCAGCCTGACCAACACGGAGAAACCCCATCCCTACAAAAAATACAAAGTTAGCCAGGCATGGTGGCGGATGCCTGTAATCCCAGCTATTTGGGAGGCTGAGGCAGGAGAATTGCTTGAACCCAGGAGGCGGAAGTTGCGGTGAGCTGAGATTGTACCATTGTACTCCAGCATGGGCAACAAGAGCAAAACTCCATCTCAAAATAGTAATAATAATAATAATAATAATAATAATAATAATAATAATAGAGGTAACATCATGATATTTATTAAAAGGATAAGGGAATATTATTATCAACTTTATGCCAATAAATTCAACAATTTAGGTGAAATAGACAAATTCCTTGAAAGCACAAACTACCAAAGATATGATGAATCTGACAGATTCATGATTAAAAAAAAAAAAATTAGCCAGGCGCGGTGGCTTATGCCTGTCATCCCAGCACTTTGGGAGGCTGAGGTGGGCGGATCACAAGGTCAGGAGACCGAGACCATCCTGGCTAACACAGTGAACCCCTGTCTCTACTAAAAATACAAAAAAATTAGCCGGGCGTGGTGGCGGGCGCCTGTAGTCCCAGCTACTCGGGAGGTTGAGGAAGGAGAATGGCATGAACCCGGGAGGTGGAGGTTGCAGTGAGCCGAGATCATGCCATTGCACTCCAGCGTGGGCAACAGAGCAAGACTCTGTCTCAAAAAAAAAAAAAAAAAAAAAATTCTAGGCTGGACACAGTAGCTCAATTCTGTAATCCCAGCACTTTGGGAGGCTGAGGCAGGCAGATTGCTTGAGCCCAGGAGTTTGAGACTGGCCACGGCAACATGGCAAGACCTCATCTCTATAAAAAATACAAAAATTAGCTGGGTGTGGTGGTGTGAACCTGTAGTCAGCTACCCTGGAGGCTGAGGTGGGAGGACTGCTTCAGCCTGGAAGGTGGAGGCTGCAGTGAACTGTAATTGTGCCAAGGCATTCCAGCCTGGGTAAGGGAGGTTCCTGTCTAAAAATAAAAACAAAAACAAAATCTCCCCAAAGTAGGAGTAGAAGGGAACTTCTCAACTTGCTCTAGGGTGTTTATCAAAAACCTACAGGTAACATCAAACTTAATGGCTACCAACTAAATGTTTTCCCCCTAAGATTAGTTATAAGGGGAGAATGTCTGCTCTTACCACTTCTACTTAACATTATACTGAAGACTCTAGCCAAGGAAAAGAAATAAAAGGTATTTATATCAAAAAGGATGAAGTAAAATTGTGTTGATTCACAGATAACATGATCATTCTTGTAGAAAACCCAATGGCGTCTACAAAAAAAGCTACTAAAATAAGTGAAATTGCAGGATACAAGCTATTTCTACAAAAATTCCTATGTACTAGCAATGAACAATCAGACACTAAAATTAGAAAAACAATACCATTTTCAATAGATTAAAAAATTATGAAAATTTAAGTCTTCTGGACTTTCAAATCTCAGGACAGCCCAAGACCCTGGTAATTTTCTGTGATCCTAATGGCTGAAGCAAAATAAGTTACAGTAAAACAAACAAACAAATGAACAAAAAACCCAAGACAACAACAACAAAAACTTTACAAAGAATGAGTGATATTACTAATCTTTTTTTTTTTTTGAGACAGAGTTTCGCTCTTGCTGCCCAGGTTGGAGTGCAATGGCATGACCTCGGCTCACCACAACCTCCACCTCCCAGGCTCAAGCAATTCTCCTGCCTCAGCCTCCTAAATAGCTGGGATTACAGGCATCTGCCACCACACCCAGCTGATTTTGTATTTTTAGAGACAGGGTTTCTCCATGTCGGTCAGGCTGGTCTCGAACTCCAGACCTCAGGTGACCCGCCCGCCTGAGCCTCTGAAAGTGCTGGGATTACAGTCGTGAGCCACCATGCCCGGCCACTGCTATTCTAAACTCACTCAATTAAGTAAAAACAGATAGCTACAATTTTCACATTAAACATTCGGTCTTGTAATCCCACTCTCCTGTATACCTAATTTAAATACATTTAAAATGTTTTATTTAGAAGAATGGTAGTATGTTAATATTTAATCCTCTCATGTATAAAATTTGAGTGAGCAAAGAAAAATATTACATTCATCAAGAAATACAGTCTTCTTAAGCTAAGGAACCATAATTCCAGTTATTCATGTGTAAAATGCAGCAGCAATGTTCATGGAAAAAAATGGAATTTTTAACCATGTGAGCTGCTTTTGCACTTTGAGAAAATGAACAATTTTGTTGTAGATGTCATTGTCCTTCCTTGCATTCAGAATGTGAATGTTCATATACTTTGCAAAATAAGACCTACAGTTGCCCTTGAATCTGTATTTAATCAAAAAAAATTTTTGTTTTGAGACAGGGTATTTTTGTATTCTTTTTAGTAGAGACAGAGTTTTGCCATGTTGGCCAGGCTGTTCTCAAACTCCTGATCTCAAGTGATCTGCCCATCTCGGCCTCCCAAAGTGCTGGGATTACAGGCATGAGCCACTGTGCCTGGCCTGTATTTAAATTTTTGATATAAGAGGAAAATATAAAAATAAATGTGCCTACCAAATAGAAATGTTCTTCACCTACTTCAAAATTAAAATGATCATTCCAGCTAGTTCTCCTTATAAACTCCAATTATTTTTTTAATTATGAAAATCTGACAAAGAATTGCAAGACCTAAACAGTGAAAACTATAAAACATTGCTGAGATAAAGATGATTTTAACAAATGGAGAGATATACTATGTTCATAGGTCAGAAGGCTCAGTATTATTAAGATGTCAATTCTCTCCAAATTGCTGTTAATTTAATGCTAATGAAAATTAGTGCAGGCTATTTGTAAAGAAAAAAAAAAGACAAAGTGATTCTAAAATTCATGCAGAGGCCTGGCGTGGTGGCTCACACCTGCAATCTGAGTACTTTGGGAGGTTGAGGCGGGTGGTTCACTTGAGGCCAGTAGTTAAGACCAGCCTGGCCAACATGGTGAAACCCTGTCTCTACTAAAAGTACAAAAATTAACTGGGCCTGGTGGCACATGCCTGTAGTCCTAGCTACTCGAGAGGCTGAGGCAGGAGAATCGCTTGAACCCAGAAGGTGGAGGTTGCAGTGAGCCAAAATCACACCACTGCACTCCAGCCTGGGTGATGGAGCAAGACTCTCTCAAACAAACAAACAAACAAAAAAGATGGGAACAATAGACGCTGATGTCTACTAGAGAGGGGAGAAAAGGAAAGGGGTAAGGGCTGAAAAATTACTTGTAGGGTACTATGCTTGTTACCTGTGTGATGGGTTCAATCATACCCCAAACCTTAGTATCATGAACTGTACCTTTGTAACAAATGTGCACATGTACCTTCTGATTCTAAAATAAAAGTTGAAGAAGAAGGCTGGGTGTGGTCACTCATGCCTGTAATCCTAGCACTTTGGGAGGCTGAGGCAGGAGGATCACTTGAGCCCAGGAGTTCGAGACCAGCCTGGGCAACATGGCAGAACCCCATCTCTACAAAAAATACAAAAAAATTAGCTGGGTATGGTGGTGTGCACCTATATTCCCAGCTACCCTGGAGGCTAAGGTAGGAGGATTGCTTGAGCCCAGGAAGCTGAGGCTGCAGTGAGCTGTGATTTTGCCACTGTACTCCAGCCTGGATGACAAAGTGAGACCCTGTCTCAATAAAAGAAAAGAAAAGTTAAAAGAAAAAAGACAGTGTGGTATCAGCATAAAGACAGAAAAATACTGCAATAGAACAGAATAGAGAGTCCAGAAACAGACCCACACATATAAGAATAACTGATTTTTTTACCTTGTCAATGCTACTTGCAAGATGAGGCTATAAAATACGTCTTGGTTACTCTGTCTCATGCCAGCTGCACTGTGAGAAACCCTTTGGAGAGCCCCCTGTGTCAAGGTACTGAGAAGGTACTGTCATGGTACTGGGAAGATCCCAACAATCATGCGAGAAAACTTGGAAGTGAATCCCCCAGCCTCACTCAAGCCTTCAGATGACTGCATCCTCGGCAAACAGTTTGACCAAAACCTCATGACAGAGTTGGAACCAGAACCTCTCAGCAAAGTTGCTATTAGATTCTTGCCCCTGAGAAACTGTGTGAGATAATAAATGTTTGCTGTTTTTTTTGTTGTTGTTGTTTTTGTTTTTGAGATGGAGTTTCACTCTTGTTGCCCAGGCTGGAGTGCAGTGGAGCATTCTTGGCTCACTGCAACCTCCACCTCCCGGGTTCAAGCGATTCTCCTGCCTCAGCCTCCAGAGTAGCTGGGATTACAGGCACCCGCCACCACAACCAGCTAATTTTTTGTATTTTTAGTAGAGATGGGGTTTCTCAATATTGGTCAGGCTGGTCTCAAACTCCTGACCTTAGGTGATCCACCCGTCTCGGCCTCCTGAAGTGCTGGGATTACAGGCATGAGCCACGGCACCCAGCCAATGTTTGCTGTTTTAAGGCACTAAGTTTTGGGAGTAATACTTTACACAACAATTGATAACTAATAGAGGGACTATTACACAGATGTGACCAGGTTTAGGAAAACCAGTAAGAGCCAGTGTAGTTCCTTACGGTAACAACAGCCAGAAACCACTTGACACCCAAGTGTGAGAAAGCAAAGGGAAGGATGCATTTCAGAGTCTATGGAGAGTAGGGGAGTTGGGGGTGGCCCCACCAGGGCTACAGGCTTGGGTAGGGGGAGGCAGCAGCCCAGCAGGAAGAAGCCAGGGAAATAAACACCCAACCTTGATTTCTTCTCTTCTTTGTTCTGTTGGTACCTCTCCTCACTGGCCAAACTCAAGAGTAGGTAGGGCTTGAGTTCTGCAGCTGGAAGAAGGAGGAGGCCACAGGGCTGGGCAGAGGTGAATAGATGCCTTAGGGCAGGGTTCCCAAATACCTGGGCCACTGGCTGGTACCAGCCTGTGGCCTGTTAGGAACTATCTGAGCTCCACCTCCTGTCAGATCAGCGGGGCTGTAGATTCTCTCAGAAGCACAAACCCTGTTGTGAACTACGCATGTGAGGGATCCAGGTTGTGGGCTCCTTATGAGAATCTAATGTCTGATGATCAGTCACTGTCTCCCATCATCCCCAGATGTGACCACCTAGTTTCAGGAAAACAAGGTCAGGACTCCCACTGATTTTACATTATGGTGAGTTGTATAATTATTTCATCATATATTATAATGTAATCATAATAGAAATAAAGAGCACAATATCTGTAATGCACTTGAATCATCACAAAACCATCCCTCCCATCCCTTGTCCATGGAAAAAATGGTCTTTCATGAAACTGGTCCCTGGTGCCATAAAGGTTAGGGACCACCGCCTTAGGGAGTAGGAGGCAGAGGTAAGATTTACACCTGGGCTATGGACATGGAAAAAGAAAAATGGAGGTGAGTAGCAGGGCAACAGCAAGAAACATCGGGTGGGGAACAAGAAGGACTGTGATTTGGACCACGATAAGGTTGCTCACTGAGCAGCAGAAAGTTCTCTGATGGGCAGATCCAAGGGGCGGTTCAGCTTGGAAGGGCTTCTAGGAACAGAAGTGGCTTAAAGACTGTTGTGCTGGCTCTCCACTTCCTTATATTTCAATTGTTGCCCTAGACCAGAGGGCAGCAAACCTTTTCTGTCAGGGGCAGATAGTAAATATTGTAAACTTTGCATTGCAACAACTCTGCTGCCATTGTAGCAGGAAAGCAGCAAAGACAATACATAAATGAAAGATGTAGCTGTGTTCCAATACCACTTTCTTTACAAAAACAGGCAGCGGGGCTGCAGGCCGTAGTTTGCCAACCCCTGCCCTAGACAGGTAAGAATTTTTTCATTGTTTTGCCTTCAGGTACACTTAAAAAATTTTTTTTAAATTTTAATTGTTGTGGGTGCATAGTAGGTGTATACATCTTCAGATAGACTTTTGAATGGGCCTTTTCCCAGGTCTGGCTCCTGCCAGATAAATTATCTGAACTTCTTTCAGAGTACCAGGAATGAATGAGTCAGTAGATTCTGCTGTAATTCCTACGGATGTCTCCGAATGAATGCATGTGTAGTTAACTAACTATTAATGAGGGATATGGAGCAGGAATTTCCAGTTCCAACATTAGATTTAAGGTATTTTCTGAAAATATATTAGATTAAAGGATAGTTTTCCTTTCATACCAGGAACATATTTTAGCCTGGTGAAATGTTTAAGAAATCAGACATGTCCGAATTCACAACCTGTCATTTTCTAGCTGTTTGGTTTGCTGAGCCAGTTTTCTCTCCTGTAAAATAGAGATAATACCCACCTCATAGGTAATGACAGGCCATTATTATTATAAGGGATAACAAATACACTCTTTCTTACTTAAAACTTTTTCTCTCTTCTACTGTCCTCTTGAAAATGACTGGTTCTTGAAGTTTGTTCCCAAACTGCAGGCTTTTCATTCCCGAAATGCTCTTCAAGCAAAACCAAAATAGATCCCAGACAATTTATATATTCACTGAGACTCTGATTGCAAGCAACAGAAACTGAATTCAAACTTACAGAAGGGAAGAAAAAGAAAGATAAGAGTGACTTATTGGATACTAGAGTAGTTCTCAGAATTGAAGCTCAACAATTCAGCCTTAGGTAAAGAGGAACTAGAGAAGCTCAGGGATATTCAGGGATTAAGTGCCCCTTCCTCAACTCCCCCCACCTCCCCCTTTCCCCCTGCCATCATTTCTCTCAATTACCTTTCCTATGTAGACAAGTATTTTCTATATCTCAAGGGAGGTATCTGTTGGGAATTCTGGGTCACATCATGACTTTGTCACCTAGGAGCAAAGTAAATGTTTGCTTTTTCTTCCACTAGATCTAGATTTTAAAACCCAATAGAATGATCCTATTTGGCCTGATTTGGCCCACTCCTCAAGCTAATCCCTGTGGCTGGGGGAGGTGAGGTACTGTAATCAGCCTGGCTTGTGTCAAGTACCGTGTAATAGGATTGGCTGCACCCTCTAGGATCATGTAGTTGGAGGTGGGGGAAAAGCAATTATCCCCAAAGAAGGAGAGCAATGTCACCGAAAGAAGAGTGAAAAGGCATGCTGGGCAGACAGGTGTGTGCTGTATTCACAAGAGAATTCTACTCTATTGACTATATTGACAATTATTTTTATAAGTGCCTGCTATGATTACAGTGCTAAGATCCTTAAACAAACATGGCCACTGACTTCTGCCACTGTTGGAGGTAGTGGAGGCAGCTGTCAGGCAAGAGGGCCATGAATAGGGCATTTGGAATCAATTTAGTGTAAGATGTGGGAATACAGGTGCACACCACCATGCCCAGAGTTGTCGCAATGCAAAGTTTACAGTATTTACTATCTGCCCCTGAAAGAAGGTTTGCTGCCCTCTGGTCTAGAGCAACAATTGAAATATGAGGAAGTGGAGAGCCAGCACAACAGTCTTTAGGCCACTTCTGCTCATAGAAGCCCTTCCAAGCTGAACCGCCCCTTGGATCTGCCCATTAGAGAACTTTCCGCTGCTCAGTGAGCAACCTTATCGTGGTCCAAATCACAGTCCTTCTTGTTCCCCACCCAGCATTTCCTGCTCTTGCCCTGCTACTCACCTTCATTTTTCTTTCATTTTTCATATTAGGTAGGGTTTCTACATAATAGTTTTCTTTCTTTTTTTTTTTGAGACAGTTTCCCTCTGTCACCAGTGGCGTGATCTCAGCTCACTGCAACCTCCATCTCCCAGGCTCAAGAGATTCCTGTGCCTCAGCCTCCCGAGTAGCTGGGACTACAAACATGTGCCATCACACCCACCTAATTTTTGTATTTTTAGTAGAGATGGAGTTTCACTGTGTTGGCCAGGCTGGTCTTGAACTCCTGGCCTCATTTGATCTGCCTGCCTCAACCTCCCAAAGTGCTGGGATTACAGGCATGAGCCACCACACCTGGCCTTTTTTGATTTTTTTGAGACAGGGTCTCACTCTGGTTGCCAAGGCTGGAGTGCAGTGGCACAATCTTGGCTCACTGTGGCCTCGACCTCTTGGGCTCAAGAAATCCTCCCACCATGGCCTCCCAAAGTGCTGGGATTACAGGCATGAGCTACCATGCCCCACCTACCTAATAGTTTTCTAAATGATCAGGTGTCCTGTAAAAGCTCTATTTTAGTGCCATAAAATGTAAAAAACCATTTTTTTTAGCTGAATATCTTAAAAATGTAAAGCCTAGTTCAGAAGTGTCTCCCCTTTTTGAAGTCCTCTTTTGTGTCCCTCAAGTTCTGCGTACTTCTCATCCTGGGTTCTCTCTGGGATCCTAGGCTTGTGTCACTAACTATAAGCCTTGCAATAATTTATTTTGCACTGCATATTATCTAAGAGGTGATATGTGTTTGTTTGTTTGTTTTTTTTGAAACGGAGTCTCGCTCTGTCACCCAGACTGAAGTGCAGTTGCACGATCTCGGCTCGCTGCAACCTCCATCTCCCAGGTTCAAGCAATTCTCCTGCCTCAGCCTCCACTGGGATTACAGGAGTGTGCCACCACACCTGGCTAATTTTTGTATTTTTATTAGAGATGGGGTTTCACATGTTGGCCAGGCTGGTCTCGAACTCTTGACCTCAGGTGATCCACCCACCTCAGCCTCCCAAAGTGCTGAGATTGCAGGTGTGAGCCACTGCACCCGGCCAGAGGTGATATATGTTAACTCAGATGACAGGAGATGTCAAGCAGTATCACAATGAATGAAACTAACTTCTCTTTTAGTTATTATGTCTGGGACCATACCTGACATGGGATACAACCAGTACTAGCTTAGACAAAATGGAGAACTAGAGATTGAATTCTGCAGAGTCTCTCCTCTGTTTCTCCTTTCTGCTATTCTCTTAGTGTTTTGGCTTTTTCCCCAGGACTGGTGGCAAGTCAAGCAACAGCCACCAGGGCAGCTCCACCCAGCTTTGATACCAGAAAGGGACTGACTCTTGCTCTCCCTGGGGTCAAGTTTACAAACCCTGGGTAAGGGTTCTGGCCTGGTTCAAAGACTGTATCCAGTGGGGCAGTAGAGGCTCATGTCTGCCCTGGCTTGAATCAGGTGCCCAATCCTACACCAATCACCAGGGGCCAAGGGGATGGGATCTGTCAGAAGAGAGTGGTCTGCTCTCTGTTCCCATGGGAACCTCACAATTAGAGTCAGGGAAATGTACATTTCCCAGAAGAAGGGGGAAGCCTATTCTGGATGAAAAACAGCAGCAGGCCTCTTCAGAGTTTACTGTCTCTGCACCTGTGATGTGGGCACCAGTAACAACATGAAAAACGGAAGGGAAAGGCAGGAAAAGGCAAGGTGGGGCTGGGAATAGAGATGGGTCTCCCAGAGGAGGTCTGGGACTTGAACTGGGCTTGGAAGGCAAGGACATCCCTACATGAGACAGCTGGGGAAGGAATTTTTGGAATGGGTTGGAGGTTGAACCCGCCTCAGTGGCCAAAACTCAGATCTGTCATCAGAGGCCAGGTTGGTAACATAAACTGAGAAATAGCCTGGTAGAAGCCAGGGGTTGGTGGTGGGGCTTGGGGGAAAGGAAAGAAGCCATGGCTTTCCCCAAAATACATTTAAATCCCTCTCAAAGTTTGGGGTAGAAACCCCCCAGACTTGTATAGGTGAAATAAAAATAAGTATGCTGCCTACAAAGGCAACTGGATAGGAGTTTGTAACCTTTGAGCTAGATGGTCTCAAGAATTTTTTAGCAATTCCTGCTGGGTGCAGTGGTTCACGCCTGTAATCCCAGCACTTTGGGAGGCCAAGGTGGGCAGATCACTTGAGGTCAGGAGTTTGAGACCAGCCTGGCCAACGTGGTGAAACCCCGTCTCTACTAAAAACATAAAAATTAGCCGGACATGGTGGCGGACACCTGTAATCCCAGCTACTCAGGAGGCTGATGCATGAGAATTGTTTGAGCCCGGGAGGCGGAGGTTGCAGTGAGCTGAGATCATGCCAGTGCACTCCAGCCTGAGCGACAGAGTGAGACTCCATCTCAAAAAAATAATAATAATAATAATTTCTTAGCAATTCTGTTGTTGAATCTGTGACTGATTATAGGCAAACAAAGTGGGGGGAGCATTTCCAGCCAGGAAAACCCTATTTGGGAAAGTGATTAAGACAGGATTGTGCCAAGTTGGGAAGACGCAGTTTGCAGAAAATCCTTTACTTAATAGTTCATAAAACTCAGAGACCCCCTCAGAGTGAGGTCGTAAATGCTTTGTTTTTTCAACTTTATCACCTAGGCTCAGAAAATTCAGTTGTGGAAATTCTGTCTGTGCTTATAATTTTTTATCCTTTGAATGGGTTCTCATTAAACTCAATCAGTGTGGAACTGGAGGCATACAGGTGGGAAGATCTCTGATTTTGAGGCAGCAGAAGTGTAAGGGCTCTGGAGACAGGTGGGAGTGACCTACACCGAGCCTGTGGGATAACTCTGTCTAGGTGTTTGTTGGAGGTGAAGGAATCAGGGGAGGTGGGGTGGAGTGGGATTACTCTTTCAATGATTTATTCATTTAGTACACTTTTATTCAGCTTTGAGCCAGGCACTGTTCTAGGCACAGGGGGTGCAAGGATGAAAAAGACAGATATGGTCTGGCTCTCCACAAATTTACATTCCAGGCCAGGCACAGTGACTCACACCTGTAATCCCAGCATTTTGGGAAGGCAAGGTGGAAGGATCACTTGAGTCCACGAGTTCAAGACCAGCTTGGGGAATATAGGGAGACTCTGTCTCTACAAAAAATAATTAAAAAAAAATTAACCAGGCATGGTGGTACATGCCTGTAGTGCCAGCTACTCTGGAGGCTGAGGTGAGAGGATCACTTGAGCCTGCAGTGAACCATGATCGTACTACTAGACTCCAACCTGGGAGACAGAGAGAGACCCTGTCTCAAAAAAAAAAAAGAATTTAATTTCACAGGGAAATGTGCTTTAGTGCAGCAGTCCCCAACCTTTTTGGCACCAGAGACCAGGTTCATGGAAGACAATTTTTCCACGGATGGTGGTGGTTGGGGAGGGGAGTTGGTTTCAGGATGATTCAAATGCATTACAGTTATTGTACACTTTATTTCTATTATTGTTACATTGTAATATATAACGAAATAATTATCACCATAATGTAGAATCAGTGGGAGCCCTGAGCTTGTTTTCCTGCAACTAGGCAGTCTCATCTGGGGGTGATGGGAGATAGTGACAGATCATCAGGTATTAGGTTCTCATAAGGAGCATACAACTTAGATCCTTCGCATAAGCAGTTCCAATAGGATTCACGCTCCTATGAGAATTTAATGCTGCTGCTGATCTGACAGAAGGCGAGGCTCAGGCAGTAATGTGAACGACGGGGAGCAGCTGTAAATACAGATGAAGCTTCGCTTGCTTACCTACTCGCTACTCACCTCCTGCAGTGCAGCCTGGTTCCTAGCAGGCCATGGACCGCTAACAGTCCATGGCCTAGGGGTTGGGGACCCCTGCTTTAGTGAGACAGATGGAGATAACTACAAGACCTTGTCTTGGAGGATCAGGGAAGGCTTCCTGGATGAGGTGATAGCTAAGCTAAATTATCTGAGGGGTGTATAGGAGTCAGCCAAGCAAATGGCAAGGGCTGAGGAGTCAGTTGCCACAACTTTCTGGGTGGGATTACAGATTAAGCAAACCAAGAATGTGCTTGGGGATCAGCAAAGCAAGGAATTTTTTTAAAAAAGAATTTGATATTGAGAAACATAGAAAATTGTCCATCATGAGAAAAGCCAGAGCTTTGTGGGACTTCTATCCACATACTCTACAGTGAAGCATCCTTTTTATTTTGAATTACATAGGGGTAGATATGGCATCGTCACCTTTTCAGTGCTTGGAGCCACTGAACAGCCTGAGGAGTCACCCTGGCTTCAGAGGTGGAAGGGATGTCTCTGGCCCCCCATTTTCTCTCCTCCACTTCCCTCTGCAGTTTCTTCCCCTCCAGGCTCAGCCTGCCTCAGCACCCTTTCCTTCTAGGGTATTTCCTACAGTCCTTATTAAAATTTACTGCTCTTTTATTCCTTCCTTTGGGCACCTCTAATCCACAGTGTTAATTATCACATAGTATATCAATTACTCCCATAACTGCTAAACTAGGTAAACTTTAATAGGTGGCATGATTCTACTGTAATAGAGAAAAATTAATAACTACACTTTTTAAATACTCACATTCTTAATTTTGATTTCTTTTTTAGTAATCCTCATCTCAACAGTTGTAAAGCAATAATAATAATGGCTAATAATCTTAGCTATTTTTCAATGTGCGAGGCTCTCTTTGAAGATCTTTATACTAACTCATGCCTCTCAACAACTCTGTGAATTACCTTGTTATCTGCAAAGTGGATGAGGAAGGTCATCAATTTGCAGAGGAAATTGAGGCACACAAATTATGTAGCCTGTGGACCCAAGATCACTCAGCTGGTAATTAGTAGCAGCAGGATTTTAATTTATCAACCTAAATAACAAACAGAGAGGGGCCCTCTAAAAGAAGATGATGTTTGGGAATAGAGCACTGCAATGGGAAAACACATGCCATTGTAAACTATGTGAGTGTTCAGGGAGGTAAAGGAAGACAAAGGTTTCTAAAGAAAAAAATGAGAAGGATTACAAAATTGTTTTGAAATAATTGTCTTTGGCTACAAAGATCAATAACAAGGGTGATACTGGTCCAAGGTTGGACAGGCAGCTGCTGGACAGATGATCTTGCAGAAACACTTTTTGGGCAAGGTTGTAGTTTTTGTGGAGTCTTTTTTGTTATCAGGTACACAAGCAGGAGATCCTTTCTTCATGGACTTTGCCATGAAGAAAGAGATAACTTCTTAGGGTTTTCTTAAAATTAGTGACTCCATTTTGATTTTGACAACTTTCACAAAACCAAACAGTCTACTCCACAGCCCATCCTATCATCCACTCAAATTACCCAAACCAACCACCTAAGAGTAAACCCCATTTCTTCACTATTCCCTTTTTGGTTGTTGTTGTTGTTGTTGTTTGTTTGTTTTTTTGTTGAGATAAAGTCTTGCTCTTTTGCCCAGGCTGATGTGAACATGGCTCACTGCAGCCTCAACCTCCCAGGCTCAAGTGATCCTTCCACCTCAGCCTCCTAAGTAGCTGGGACTACTGGCACGTGCCACTATGCCCAGCTAATTTTTAAATTTTTCGTAGAGACAGGGTCTTGCCATATTGCCCAGGCTGGTCTTGAACTTCTGGGCTTAAGCGATCTGCCTGTCTCAGCCTCCCCAAATGCTGGGGTTACAGGTGTGAGCCACCTGGCCTTATTCCTTTTTTGCACCAAAATGTTCTACCCCTGAAATGTATCATCAATCCATTCACTGCACTCCATCTTTCCACCTCCATCCCCACTGCTATAGAAGAAACCATCAGGAGAGCTCACCAAGAAGTAAGTTCCATGAGTGCAGGGACTTGGTTTTTTGTCTCCGTTGTCTCCCCAGGGCCTGGCTGACACACTGCAGATTTTCAATAAAAATGGACCAAATGAATGAGTTCTTAACTGAAATCAACAAGAATGCATTGAGCACCTATTCTGTTTTACAGAGAAAACTGTTGACCTTCAACATATTTGCTTGCAGTTTTTCTCTGTAAGTATTCCTATATATATGAATTGGGATCATATTGTATCTCTTTATAGTTTGCTTTATTCTCAACATCTTCCCATGTTTTAAAAAATTCTTTGAAAATATTTTTATAGCAGGACAATATTCTATTTTATGACATGTTTTCTAATCATTTCAAATTGTTAGACAATGAAGTTGTATTTGTTATTTATTGCTGTGTAACAAATTACCCCAAAACTCAATGGCTTAAAACACCAAACATTTAGTAATACTATCTCAGTTTCAGCGGGCCAAGAATTTGGGAGTGGCTCTGGCTCAGGGATTTTTAGTGCTGCAATCAAGCTATCAGCTGGGCTGTGGCTATCTCAACACTCAGGCAGAGGAAGACCCACTTCCAAGCTCGCTCACTTGGCTGTTGGCAGAATTCAGCTTCTTGCTGGCTGTTGGCTGGAGACATCAGTTCCTTATTCTATTTATCTATATCTATACATATCTATATCCCTCTATATGACTATAGATATAAATATATAAATATATAGATCTATCTACAGATAGATCAATAGATATAGAGATACACACACACACACACACACACACACACACACACACACAGTGAGACAGAATGAGAGAGAGAGAAAGGTGACCCAAGATGGAATTCATGGTTATTTTGTAATCTAATATTAGAAGTGACCTCCCATTTTGCCTGCTGAATTTCATTCACTAGGAGTGAGTTGCCCTGGCACTCCTCTCTCTCCCCAGCCCGACACCCTGTGCCCTCAAGCTGCCAGGCCCCCTCCTGTCAGGGAGGACAGTGTCCAATAAACTCCTCCACCCACAGGCTTCCTGAGCTTCGACAACCCGGCCAGCGTGCAGACCGCCATCCAGGCCATGAACGGCTTCCAGGTCAGCATGAAGAGGCTCCAGGTGCAGCTGAAGCGGCCCAAAGGCACCAGTTGCCTGGACTGAGCACCCGTGGGAGCATCTCCCGCGGGAGAGCAGGACTCGAACAGGGCAGGATGCTGAACGGGCTCCCTTTAAAAACCTGCACATGTATATCGGAACTTCAAACCAAATTAAATAAATAAACAAATCTCTCTCTATTTATAAATGAGAACTGTTGGATGACACCCTTGACATATTAGCCGATATCAATCAAGCTGAAGACTCCAGACACTGTCTGTGTGACTCTAACATTTCTTCAAGAAAAAGAGCATTTATGGAGTTAAGAGGTCACATATTTGGGGGAATATGTATGACATAAATAAGAAGATGAAGAAAAATGAAAAAAAACCCACACGCACACACACATAGCAACTTTAAAACAAAATAACACGAGACCAGACGTGAGGCTGAAGGGCTGGGAACTGGTAGGAGAGGCTGCTTTTCCAGCCTACAAGCACCTGAAGCAGGCCTGGTCCACAGGGGATAGCTGGGAGGCCACTGAGCATCTCTATCTGTCGTTCTTTCAGCTATTTAGGGACCAAAGGACCAGACTTTTTATGGCAGCTCTATGTGTAGCCCTGTGTCAAATGGAGGGGGAATGGAGGACAACCTCCTTCCTGTCTCGTGGCTGTTCTTGACACAGCTTAGAGCGATTCTACAAAAAAAGTAATAAAAAAATTTAAAAAAAGGAAAAACAACCTGTCACTGCCTTTCAAACAGCAAGATAATAGTTCTTTGATAATTTGAGAGGCGCTTTGATGAACTTTGAGAGGTGCTGTGACACTTTCCTATGGTTTTTTGTATTCTATGTCTGGATGGAGCTGTTAAGATGAACAAATTGGTGGATATTTGGGGAAAGCAACACAAATCTTAAAACTCATTAACTGCAAAGTGTGAGAAAACAAGGAGGGGAAAAAAGGGACTTACCAGGCAGGGTCATTGTTGTGAAAAGTCTGTAAATGCTTCTAACTCTTCCCCTTCTTAAAATCATAATAGTTGTAGAGAATTTTAAAAAGGAAAAGCCTAAAATACCTATATAATAGAAGAAAAATAGAGAAAAGCAAAATAAATAAATAGATAAAAATGGAAAAAAAAAAAGATGTGAGTCGATAAGTCCAGCCCATACCCCAGGGGAGGACAATACACAAAGGTGTGAATACTAGGAGGTGCAGAGCCTTCGGGCCATTTTAGTTTGCTTACCACATAGTTTTCCCCCAATTGTTTCTATTGTTAACAGCGTTGTTATGAATATCTTATTACTTATTACCTGTATTACAAATGATTTCCTGTGATAGATTTTTTTGACTAGGTGTGTAAGAACACTGATAGGGTTTGGCTGTGTCCCCACCCAAATCTCATCTTGAATTGTAGCTCCCATAATTCCCATGTGTCATGGGAGGGACCCAGTGGGAGGTCATTGAATCATAGGGGTGGGGCTTTCCTGTGTTGCTCTCATGATAGTGAATAAGTCTCACGAGATCTGATGGTTTTTTAAAGGGGAGTTCCCCTGCACATGCTCTCTCACCTCCCGCCAAGTAAGACGAGACTTTGTTCATTTGCCTTGTGCCACGATTGTGAGGCATCCCCAGCCATGTGGAACTGTAAGTCCATTAAACCTCTTTCCTTTATAAATTACCCAGTCTTCAGTATGTCTTTATCAGCAGCGTGAGAACAGACGAATATAAATGCCTTAAAAGCTGCCAAAGCACACACTGCTTTCTAGAAAGCTCTCCCATTATCAGCATATAAGAGCACCTATCTCAGGCTGGGTGAAGTGGCTCATGCCTGTAATCCCAGAACTTTGGGAAGCTGAGAAAGGAGGATTGCTTAAGTCCAGGAGTTCAAGACCAGCCTGGGCAACATGGTGAAACCTCATGCCTACAAAAAAAAAAAAAAAAGAACATCCATCTTATCACATCTTCATCTTCATCTCTGCTGTAAAATTATTTGCTTATGTGTTAGGTTTCCCCATTTTAATTTGTCTTTGAGGTGAACCTTTTTCCCTGCCCACATGTTCATTAGCCATTTGTATTTTTTCTTTTATGAGTTTTCTATTTTATGTGCTTTGCTCATTTTTCTATTGGGAATTTAGTGTTTTGCTTAGAATTTAGTGTTTTGCTTATCAATTTGTGTGTGCTTCACATATAAAAAGATATGAACATATACGAAAAGGTAGGATCCTTTTGGTAAAAGCTTTATTGAAATATAATTTACATACCACACAATTTTCAAATTTAAAGTGTACAATTTACTGTTTTTTAGTATACTCGCAGATTTGTGCAACCATCCTCACAATTTTTTAAAAATTTTCTTATTATTTTTTGAGATGGAGTCTCATTCTGTTGCCCAGGCTGGAGTGCAGTGGTGCAATCTTGGCTCACTGCAACCTCCACCTCCCAGGCTCAAGCAATTCTCCTGACTTAGCCTCCTAAGTAGCTGGGATTACAGGCACCTGCTGCCATACCCGTCTAATCTGTGTATTTTTAGTAGAGATCAGATTTCACCATGTTGGCCAGGCTGGTCTCGAACTCCTGACCTCAAGTGATCTGCCTGCCTCAGCCTCCCAAAATGTTGGCATTACAGGTGTGAGCCATTGTGCCCGGCCCTCACAATTTTAGAACATTTTCATCACCTCACAGAGAAACTCTATACCTTTTAGCTATCACACCTCGGGCTCTCCCATCTCCTCCCTTAGCCCCCCACCAAAGAATAATCTGCCTTCTCTCTCTATGGATTTGACTATTCTAGATATTTAATATAAATGAAATCATATAATCTGTGGTCCTTTGTGTCTGACTCCTTTTACTTAGATAATGATTTCAAGGTTAATCCATGTTGTAGCATATATTAGAGCTTCATTTGTTTTTATGGCCAAATGATATTCCATTGCATTGATATATCATATTTGCCCAGCTACTTGGGAGGCTGAGGCAGGTGAATCACTTGAAGCTGTGAGGTGGAGGTTGCAGTGAGCTGAGACCGTGCCATTGCACTTCAGCCTAGGCAACAAGAGCGAAACTCTGTCTCGAAATAAATAAATAAATAAAAATAAAAGAAGAAAGCTGCCATAAATGTATATGTTTTTGTATGGATATATATTTTCATTTATCTTGGGCATACACCAGGAGTGGAATTGCTGGGTCAAATGGTAACTTTTATGTTTAGCTATTTGAGGAACAACCAGACTGTTTTCCACAGTGGCTGTACCACTTTACATTCCCACCAGCAGTGTGTGAAGGTTCCAGTTTCACCATATCCTTGACAACACTTGTTACTATCGATCTTTCTGATTCTGGCCATCTAGGTGGGTGTGCAGTGATATCTCACTGTGGTTTGATTTGAATTTCCCTTATGACTAATGATGTTGAACATCTTGGCATATGCTTGTTGGCCATCTGTGTATCTTCTTTAGAGAAAAGTCTATGGGGACCCTTTGAATAAATAGTTTTTTTTTTTTTTTATAAGAGGGACTGGGGCCAGGTTTGAGGCTTGGTTTCCAGCTGTGTGACTTCTTGGTTTCTTAAACTATGAGCTTGTTTTCATGTCTTTTGAGTTGGGCAAATAACACCTATTTCATAAGGTCATTGTGTGGCTGAAATGAGAAAACATGCAGGTAGCATTTAGCAGAGTTCCTGATATGTAGTAACTATATAATAGATGAGAGCTGTTTTCATGATTTTTTTAAAAGGTAACAACACAATAAGAACTATGTTTTCTATGACCTGGCATTCATATGTAGGATTAAGAAAACAAGTTTTCAGGAAGATTAATATGGCCATGTTATATTAAATGGACAGGGACACCAGTTTGGAAATGACCCAAGAGTTTAAGCAAAAAAATAAAGGAAATGAGAAAAGAATGTTCTCTGCCCTTCTTTCCTATCAGAGACAAGGATTTCCTCCTGTCCTCAGCCTCAGCAGCCCTAGAAACGAGAGTGATCTTGCTGCTTTTTCAAGCTGATCAAGGATTTTTTAGTCATCTTTGTATATTAACTTACCCAATACCTGGGGAAATAGTGATGAATATGTTTTGGATTTTTTGATTAACACATCATAATAATGTGAGGAATTTTAAATGTGTTCATTAACTGTGTTTCTGTGGAGGAAGATGGCACATAAGGCTTTGGTAATCTCAGGGTCATTTATATTATCAATTAAAACAATTTTATACCATACCTGTGCATGCATTCATTTAGTACATACTTATGAAGCCCCTACTATGTGCCAGGCACTGTTTTAGGCTCTGAGAATACAATGGTGAACACAAGGTCTTTGCACTAAAGGAGTTTATATTCTAAAAAGGTGAAACATTCAAAGTCCATTCATTCAACAAATATTGAGTACCAACTGAATGCTGGACACTATTTTAGATGTGTGGGATGCATTGGTAAACAAAACAAGCCAAATTCCTTGTCCTCATAGGGCTTACATTTTAGTGGGAAGAGACAGACAATAAATCATAAACATAACAAATAAGGAAACTATATAATATGTTAGAGGGTTATAGCTGAGTGGGGGTAGGGAGTTGGAATTGCAATTTTTAGATAAGTGATCAGGGCTGGCCCCATTAAGACATGGAAGGAGGTGAGGGAGTGAGCTATGTGGCTATCTGAGGGAGAATGTACTAGGCAGATGGAACAGCCAGTGCAGAGCCCCTGAGGCAGGAGCATTCCTGGCAGAAATAAGGACTGCAAGGAGTGCAATTAGCAAAGGAAAAGGTAGGAGGAGATGAGGGTAGAGGGGGAGCGGAAAGGGAATAGATCAAAGATCCCATAGGTTGTTGCCCAGTGAAGAGGCCACCATTCACGTCTGCAACAATTAAGTGCTGAACATATTTCTTGCTAACCAGAGGACAGCAGTACTTGTAAGACAGTGTCTCTGAACAAAGGAATCTGTGAATCTTATACAGTGTTTTGGGAAGCATGGGGTTCGGAGGTTGGGGAACTCTTAGAAGCTGGACTGTTTAGAGATGAGTTGAACTTTAGATGTGGAAGAAGGATTACTAGAGTGTGGCTGTTGCTGATTGGCTAATTTTCAGAAGCAAGTCACTGATCAGGAGATTGTTATTGATTGATTAAAACAGATTCTGGTTGTTTCTTGTCACTATGACCAAAGAACAATCAGTATCTTTTTGTTGCTCAATTTGGAATGAAGGAACTTGCCACTCTGTCTTACAAGGCCACTGGAAAGTCTTTGTCTTTTACTTTGAGAGAAATGAGGAGTTAATAGGGGATTTTTGAGCAGTGGAGTGACAGGATTTGACTTATATTTTCAGAGGATCTGAAATCTTGGCTGCTGTGTACCAGAGTGGAAGAGGGGAGACAAGTCACTGCAGTCACCCTGATGAGAGATGTATTAGGTTGTTGTTGCATTCCTGTAAAGAAATACCTGAGACTATGTAATTTATACAAAAAGAGGTTTAATTGGCTCACGGTTCTCCAGGCTGTATAGGAACCATAAGGCTGGCATCTGCTTCTGGGGAGGCCTCAGGAAGCTTCCAATCATGGTGGAAGGCAGAATGGGAGCAGGAACTTCACAAGGCAAAATCAGGAGCAAGAGGGAGAGGGGGAGGTGCTACACACTTTTAAACCACCACATCCCAAGAGAACTCACTCAGTATCTCGAGGACAGCATCCAGGGGATGATGCTCAACCATTCATGAGAAAGCTACCCCCATGATCCAATTATCTCCCACCAGGCCACACCTCCAACACCGGGGATTACATTTCAACATGAGATTTGGCTAGAACATCCAAATCCTTTCAGGAGATGTGACTTGAACCATGGTGGTAGTAGTATGGGCAATGAGAAGTGTTTTCTCCCTTTTTTTTTTTTGAGACAGAGTCTTGCTCTGTCACTCAGGCTGGAGTGCAGTGATGCAATCTCAGCTCACTGCAGCGTCCACTTCCCGGGTTCAAGTGATTCTCCCATCTCAGCCTCCTGAGTAGCTGGGACTACCAGCATGCAGCACCATGCCCAGATAATTTTTGTACTTTTTGTAGAGACAGGGTTTCACCATGTTGGCCAGGCGGGTCTCAAACTCCTGAGCTCAAGCAGTCCACCCTCCTCAGCCTCCCAAAATGCTTGGATTACAGGCATAAGCCACTGAGCCTGGCCTGTTTCCATTTTAGATATATGTACTTATAGCCAACAAATAAACAAGATAATCCAGTTAGGCTAAGGGTATTGGAGCAAATATCATATTTACTTTTACATAGAATAATATAGCTGGATGACAGGATAGAGAGTAACTGGGCGGGGCTACTTAAGAAGAAGGGATCAGGGAAGTCCCTCATTGAAGGGGCAAGACCTCAGTGATGAAAAGAAGCCAGTGAGGATCTTAAGGCTGGTGCGTGTGTGAGGAGCAATGCATAGGCCAGTGGGTCTAGAAGGTGGTGAGGTCAGGGTTGAGGAAGAGCCACAAGCCGGGTGGGAGAGGGAAGCTGAAGCCAGATCCTTCTAGGCCTCAGTGCATAGAATGGATTGAGAAGAGTGGAGCAAGAGAAGAATCAGGAAGGTGGAAGTGGAGACAATATTCTACTAGACCCTGTCCTCATGGGAATTTTACGAGACCTCATTGAAGTGATGAAGTAAAAACTGTGAAGTCTTCATGGGGCCAGGGATTCTGTTTCATTGTTTGCTTAATTATGACGCCTAGAGAAATGGCGATATGAACTAACTGGCAGCTGTGGTGTACAGACTCGAAATAAAGACACTCAATTACCTGTCTCTGACTTTGAATGCAAAGACTAGGTTAGCTGCAGTGTTTTTTCCAAGACTAAATTATGATCTTGGCCTTCCTCTTTCACCAAGTCATCAGAAAAGTGGTTAACATTTATTGGGGGCTTCCTGAAATAGATACAGAAGAAACAGAGAACACAGGTTGGTTGTTAAGGCAGGATGACCTAGGATCCAACTGCAGAGGGGATGTGGACCGGGTTCCATTTCTCCTAGAGTTCTGGCTCCTCAGGGTAAGGAGAGTGATTCATTCACCTTTGTAGCCCTTGGGCTCCTAGTACAATGCCTGCAGAATGTAGGAGCTGATATTACCTTTTAGTGGAATTTGAATTAAGCACATAGTTTAGATCCACAGTACTGAAATGATAAACTATTAACTCAGAAAAGTAGTCATCTTCGCATCTTTTGGTTCACCATCCAGAATTGGGAGAAGGATTAGTCATCTTTCTCCCAATTCTTTTTTTTTTTTTTTTTTCCTTTTTTGAGACAGAGTTTCATTCTTGTCGCCCAGGCTGGAGTGCAATGGCGCGATCTCAGCTCACCGCAACCTCCGCCTCCTGGGTTCAAGTGATTCTCCTGTCTCAGCCTCTCGAGTAGCTGGGATTACAGGCATGCGCCACCACGCCCGGCTAATTTTGTATTTTTTAGTACAGACGGGGTTTCTCCATGTTGGTCAGGCTGGTCTCGAATTCCTGACCTCAGGTGATCGGCCTGCCTTGGCTTCCCAAAGTGCTGGGATTACAGGCGTGAGCCACCATGCCCAGCCCCTTCTCCCAATTCTATTACTTTATATTTCCTGCCTTTGAACCTTTGAACACATCATTTCACTCCTTAATCTCCACTTTATGGGTAAGCATAGAGAAAGGGAGAAATTAAACTCAGGCCAATTTTTCCTTTTTTTTTTCTAAGCAAATAACACCTTTTAAATGTTTGATGGAGATTGAAGAAATTCATGCTATATAAAGATCTTAGGATAACTTTTTTTTTTTTTTTTTTTGAGATGGAGTCTTGCTCTGTCGCCTAGGCTGGAGTGCAATGGTGTGATCTCGGCTCACTGCAACCTCTGCCTCCCGGGTTCAAGCGATTCTCCTGCCTCAGCCTCCTGAGTAGTTGGGATTACAGGCGCCCACCACCACGCCCGGCTAATTTTTGTATTTTTAGTAGAGACGGGGTTTCGCCATGTTGGTCAGGCTGGTCTCGAACTCCTGACCTCAGGTGATCGGCCTGCTTCGGCCTCCCAAAGTGCTGGGATAACTTTTTTTTTTTAAAGGGCTTTCTATGTATACATTATCCCAAACAACCCTGAGAAGCAGACATTTGGCCAAGATCACAAGCCTGTAAGAAGGGGAGTTGGAATTCAAGTCAGGTTGTCTGATGACAGTGGCATTGCTACTTACTCCTCTTGTCACAATTTGGGGCTTTCATTTGTCTTTTCTTCCATACTTGCCGCAGAAATGTTTAAATACTCTGAGAAACAGTAGGAACTCTATAAATAAAAGATCTCTGTATTTTTACATAATCAAAGCTGGAGAGTTTAATGTGGTGCAGGCCACTCGGTTAGTGGAAGCAGAGGGCATGCCATCCCCAGCTCCGGTTGCAGTGAGTGGATCCAGTGTTGGATTACCCACCTCTGGGATGGTCACTGCTAAGCGAAGCTGAACTCAGGACTGCAGTTTGAGAAAGACAGCGAAGGAGCTTGGCTGCACAGAGGCAAGAACGGGCCACGGATTCTTGCAGCCAAAATGTCATCTGGTTGGGAAAAGCCGCTTGTCAATCTGCAGCTACTAGAGGGGTGGGGGTGGGTGGAAAATGCAGCATCTTAAGTTCAAGATTCAGGGTGAAGGCTGGCTAGACTTAGCAGGGGTCTGCATCTTTAGATGAAATGTGAAAAACACCCAAGCTCAGGGACCAAATGACAGGGAGCGCTGTGCATGCGGCGACGCTAACAGGGACCCAAGGAAAGAAAACACGAGGCGCTGAAGGCGCTCCAGGAGGCCCCCGCCGTTCAGACCCTCCCGGTGGCTCGGGCGCGTCGTCCTAGGGGGCGGCTTCTGTCCTTGGTTTCCCCTTCTTAAAAATCCAGGCGCAGGCAGGCTGAGCTCAGGCGGCTGAGGCACCTCCACGTGGCGGGGGAAGGGGTGACAAAGAGAGGGACGCCCGAGAGATCCCGCTTCGCACAGGCCCGGGTCAGCACCGGGAAGGAGGCCCGCCTAGACCCGAACGGCGCGCCCGGGCAGGGCCCTGGAAGACCTCGCGCCTAGAGGAGCGGCATCCGGAGCGGCGCGGAGGCCTCACAGGAACGCGGGACTGGGCCGGGGGCGGGGCGGGGCCGGGGGCGGGGCGGGGCGGGGCGGGGCCGCGGCGGGCGGGCGCGCGGGCGGCGCGGAGGGAGGGTGTCGCGCCGAGGGAAGCGGCCCGCGGCGGAGGGAGGGGAGGCCGAGTCCTGGAAGCGGAGCTCCGCGCTGGGACTGGTTCCTTCGCAGCCATTTTCTGTCCAACCAAACAGCCGATTGGAGACGGGAGCCAACCAGGGCTGCATTGGAGGTTTGTGTCTCGCTTCGGCCAATGATCGCTCCTAAACCGACTCCACTTTAGCTCGAATGAAATGTCCGTCTCCTCCCGGCGCCGTCCCCGCCGCCAACGCCGCCGCGGCCGGGGGCACTAGCCTCCCGCCCTCCCGCGCGGGCCGAGGCCGGGCCCCGCGCCTGCGAGGCCGCTCCCGCAGCGGGCCGGGCCGGGGAGCGGGCGCGGGGCCGCGGCGCGGCTCTTTGTGCGCCGGGCTGAGGAGCGGCGGGACGCGGGCCAGGCCACCTCACCCTCGCCGCCGTTGAGCTCCGGGCCCGGGGCCGAGGAGGGGCCGCGGGGCTGCGTCGGGGCCCCGCTCTCGACGGCGTCCCGGGCCGGCTCCATTTTGTGCGGGGAGCCGGCCGAGGGGCGGGAGACGCGGCCCGGGCCCTGGCCCCGTAGCCCCGGCGGCGGCGCGAGTCCCCGGGGGCGCCCTCCTCCCGCCCGCGGGGCTGTGGCGGGGCCCGGCGCTTTGTCTGCCCGCACATCCCGGGGGCCGCGCGGCGGGTGGGAGGCAGGCGTTGGGCGCGGGGCCGGGGCGGCCGGGCGAGTCAGGGGATGCGCTCTGGGGGCGGCCTCCTGGCACTCGCAGGGCTGACAGGTCGCCGGGACCAGGCCGTGGGGCCGGGGCCACCCAGGCACCTGCGTGGGGAGGAAGGCATGGCTTTAGCTTCCCCGCAGCCTGGTTTGCGCGTAAAGAATGCAGCCATCTGGCGGTTTGCGGTCCCTGTACTTGCCCCGAAGGTGGGAAGGAAGCCCTTCGGATTGGACTAAGGTTTTAATCATTAGTGGTGGGAGGCGGGAGGATATGCAGGGCCTTAAAGAACGGTAGTCTTAGAGAACAAAGAATTACAGAGCACCCACAAATCGTAATCTCGCCCAAAGCACTCTAACAGGATAATTTAAACAAGGTTAGGTAGCCTGCGACCTTTAAAAAAATGGCATCCCACTAACCCGCATGGACCCCATAGTTGCGTGGTTCGTGCTACAAATCACTGGGGTGGTTTCATCTCTCTTAGTATGGAAACTAATCAGCAACATAAAGTGATGAAAGCAAACGGATCAATATCAGTGGCACTAATCAGTGGGGGGTTTATTTGTAAAGTATTGAAAGTTTAACCAAAATTCCTTAAAAGGCAAATTATTCCTTCCCTGCATTGCTCTTGTATCTTAATTTAAGGATTACTGTATATTGATGCAAAACTCTGGTTGTTGATGCCAAAGAATGGAGGGTGGAGGAAGGGACTACTGCTTTTCTTGGATACAAATTTGCATTTCTTAAAACATTAAACAGATGTATGCATTCCCTTGAGCTTTTACATATATCAACCTGCCCTTAAGAAAATATACACCATATGAGGTGACAGTGTTTTTCTTTAATGTACTGAGTCTAAATATATACTGAATCAACTATTTGGGTGAGTGAGTGTGGTGTGGTATGACTCCCTGCCCACACCCCCCTCTCCCATTCCAAGCAAAATACATAAATATAGCTCCCATGTTTTAAGTGTTCTGAGGGCTTATTTTTTCAAAGACACTCTTTAAAAAATAACATTTCTCGTTACAAGGAAGGACTTTTCTGAGCAGTTTTGGGGTTAGAGGATACTATTAATATTTGAAAAGAAATTATAAATTACTTTTAATATTATAGCAAACGTCAAGCAGTTTTTGCTACCTGGACCTTTTTAGTGGCATTAAAAACTTTCAATTCAGTGGCTACAATTTTTTCTGCTATTTGCTAGATTTCATGCTTGGATGCGTATCAGTATATCTTCTCCCTTTAAAATTAACACTGAAAGGATGTGTTTTTGTTTTGGCATCCTACCCCTCCCCCATTTAATTGTTTCCTTTGAGAAAGAATGGAGCAAATGAGAAATGAAACTTGTAACACAGCAATTGGTACTAATTTGTTCAGCTATTTATGCCTTACAGTGAGACTGAAGTGCTATTTCGATGCAATTTTAGTCAAAAATGGTGGTGCTTCAAAATTATAAATAAGGGTCTTGATTGTGTTGCTTTTTTGATATCTTCTCAGTGCAGAATGTATCTTCATTACAGTATAATCTGAGATTCTTAATTGAAAAGCATTATATTCTCAGATAATTTTTTCCTCCTCTTGAGCTATAGAATGTCTAAATGTTACTCTGAAACATTTAAGAAAACCATCACCAAAAAATTAAGATGATAAGGGGTGTGTTTGCATCTTGAGTGTTAATGTTTTAAGTAATTTAGATGTATAATTTTTGGTCTCTTGCATATTATATAATTTGGTCCCTTTTTGGTGTATTGTAATGAATGTTTATGATGAATATGGCTAAATTCAGGGTTATGTTGGAAAATCCATTTTCTCCTTTCCCCATGGAATTAACTTGTTTTTAAGTTCTCCAAAATAAATCTTTCAAGTCAACAAACATTTATTGGGTGCCTTTTTATACTATTTTATACCATGTACTCCATTGATTAAGAATAGTAGTCAAAATTATACAAGCCCTCTTTAATTTTATGAGAAAAAAAGCCTATAAGTGATACATTTGATGTATTTTTACTATTGATAGATGTTAGGTCCTAATAGATGTTTATCTTTTAGGTTGAAATCACAAAGATTAGACACCTTTTTAGATAGGTGTTCTTCAGCACCACTGACAACACGGTTCTGACAGTATTTCATGACAGTAAGTATATTTTACCATTTTGGTTGTTAATTAGATTTGAATAGTAATTGGCTGGAAATAAAATTGTAACCAATTTATACTGGAGGTGCCTGGTAGAATGAATGCATTTCAAGTCTAGACAGACAGTACCTCTGCTCATTCCTGTTGCTTCCTTATTTTCAGCTTCTTGCATATATTATTTCCCATGGGTCCCTAAGTGCTGTTGAGGCTACAGGGTAGCCTGTCCCAGCTGTAAAGGGGCTGTCTGTTTAGCCAATTAATTGAATACTTAGGGGACAGTTATGCCCAGAATGGAAAATGCTAACTCTTAAGTGCAGTAGATATGGGAAGAAGAGAGGCATGGTGAGCCTGGGTACTTGGGAATGTCACAGAGGGATCCTGCAGACCTTGAACTGAGCCTTGAAATAGAGGGTGGGAGTGGATTGGTGAAGGGTGTCACCAAAAGCAAAAGCCTGATGGCAGGATGGGCAACTTAAGTTTAGGGGATCGGGAGTAGAGGTGCATGGTCCAGGGTAGATCTCAAAGGATAATGTAGGAAAGAGAAAGCACTTGTCCCCTCTGGATATTTAATTCTGGATGTGCTACTATATCTGTAACCTCGGGTGTGTTACAGCTTCTTTGAGCTGTGGTCGCTTCACTCCTAAAATGAAAGAAGTGCACTCAGTGATCCCTAAATAAAGCACATTCTAGCACAAAGATTTTTATTAACCATGAAGATAGAGAAAAGTAGGAAACAAGTTTGGTTAGGTTAAATGTGCGATCTGCTCATGTGAAGTCATGAAAATGAGGTTTGGATTTGACACAGGAAGCCTTTAGGAACCTTTGAGAATAGGTTCAAGAGTATAGAACTGGTGTTGTGGTGAGATTAGTCTTATAACAATATGTTAAGATGGGCTGGGTGGTAATCCAGTGGAAATAGGAAAGGGAAAGCATATCTAGGAGACATTTTTAAAGAGGTAATAGATGAGGTAGAGCTTGAAGGAGATGGAAGAACCTAAGATGATGCTGGTATATTTGGCTGGGCAGAGTGAAGGGCTGGTATTCTTCTTAGTAGAATTACAGTAGTGGAAAGGGAAATCTCCCTCCTTTCCCCGTTGCAGGGAATGGGGCAAGGTGAATTTCATTTCCCAATATCTTAAATTTGCCGTGATGAGATATTAGACATGCCCTACAGGCATGGGTTGCTTGAGTGGCAAGCAGAATATTGGTTGTAGATTTGGCATTTATAAGCATAGAAGTGATATTTAGTGAGTTCATTAAGAAAATAAGGGAAGAAAGAGAAGGATAACCTTGGGTGAAACAATTAGGGGGTGGGGAGGAAAGGATATTGCTTTGGAAATCAGAGTAGGAGAGAATTCCAAGCATAAATGTGTGGCGAGTAGTAGCCAGCACTACAAAGAACAGTCAAGTAGGATGAGGACAAGATCACTGGCAGCTTTTAAGAGTGGTTTCATTCTGGGTTGGGGTTAAAAAGTACATGTTCAGGAGTTTAAATAGGAATGAAGAGGTGTCTTAACAACTGTCAGGGCAAGAATGGTAGCTAGGCAAGGGTATGGGGCAGAATTAAGATTTTATATATCTCTGTGTACTTCTGTATGCTTAATGAGGGAGACTAAGCATGTTTAAGGAAGAGTGAAGGAGCTGGTAAGGAGGATTGAAGATACATTATAGAAGAGGAATCTTTGTATTATTTCTTATCCTCAGATAGATAAAAGGAATGTAACCCAGAAAACAGGTAAAAGGGTAAATTAAGAGAGAGAAGAATCTCTGCCTGGAAGAATAATGAGAACCGTATTTGAGGGGGCAATACTAAGATTACATTTGTTAAGTTCTTACTATGTATCTTGCACTTTGCTAGGTGCTTTTTATACAATAGCTTCCTCATAGCAACATCACTTTAAAAATGGGGAAGCTGAAAACACAAAGAGAGCTCATAAATGGGGAGCCAAGCTTCAAACCCACGAAATCGGTCCTAAGAGCCAGTGCTCCTCACCGTCGTCCAGGGTGCACTTCTTAACCATCTCACAAACACCATCCTGGTTTGAGAAGCTAATTTCAGTGTTTTCAGTGTATAATCAGTAGCCTTAGAATGTAAAAGGGACAAATTAAAGAAGTAGGTGTAAAGACTGTATGAAAAACTACCAGGCAGGAATGCTGTAGAGAGTAGTTGGCATCTGAGGCCCTGGATTTCAGTCCCATTTACTGTGTCACCTCAGGCAAATCATTAGCCTCATGTACCTCAGTTTTCTCACCTGCGTCACAGGCTTGTGAACATTGCATGAGATATTTAGAAAGTGTTCAATAAATGTAAACATTAAAGAGGGCAGTATTTGTTTGTGGAACAAATTATTAGCATAGTTTAAATACGGCTACATCAAAAAAATAAAGATTTATTAGCCCACTACCTGTTTATTTCAAATAATATTTTCAAGAATAATTCTGTCAATTCAACTAAATAATGAGAATAGTCATTAAAATGAATTTATTGGGATTTAACCACTCTTTGTCCATATTTATCAGTTCCTTGAGTCTAACGATTCATCACTGTCCGTGTCCCCTTGTCATTATCCTACATGCTGTGCTCTTCCAGCCTCATTACCTGGATGAAATCCAACACTTTGGCTTTTGTAGTCTCATATCAGGCCTTTCAAGTGTCACACTGGACATACTGGCACCACTGTAAACTCACGGTCATTAGCTTCAGCTAGGCTTACACTGTCCAGCACTCCCCTCCCTTTCCTTTCCCATTCTCTGCGGTGACAGCTGTCTGTCTCTCCAGCTGCAAGAATCCCAGCATTATCCTTGGTCTTCCTGTATCTCTATCAGTCAGTCACCAAGTCACCTACTAAAAAGCTGTCTAGTTGTTCTGCTTCTCTTGATCTCCAGCGCTCTCACCCAGACCTGATGCTAAAATGATCATTATCTTGCTTGAAGTCATGCCCTGACTGCAGCATTGCAGTCCTCACTGGTCTTCTGTGCCTATTTGTGCTCCCCTCCAGGTCGGTTTCTGTACTGAACTGTAGCCAGAGGGATTTTTTTTTTTAATGTGATTTGTGCTCTTCTGCTTAAAACTCTTTGATTTCCTCTTGTCCACCGGACACTGCTTGATCTAGCCCCTCCTTAGCGCCTTCCAATCCACCAGTACTGTATTTCTTGGTTTTCTCTGCCTAGAACATTCGTTTCCCACCTTTCTTTTTGCCTGACTGATTTCTGTTTATCTGTCAGTCTCATTTTCAATGTCATTTCCTAAGATAGCCTTTCTTGACCCCTCAGACTAGTGAGGTCCCTTTTGGAGTAAACTCACATAGCACATAACAAAACATCTTTGTTTTTCTTCGTACTTGGCACTAGCAATTACTTAATTATTTGTAATTATTTTAATAGCTATATATACCACTTACTGAGTATGCCCATTGTACTATGCTGTCTTTACATGGATTAGCTCCTAACCTGTACAGGAGCCTGGGAGGTTAAGTCTTGTTCTCATCCAGTTTGTTCACGGTCTCATGGTAAGTGGCAGGGAATTCAAACTAGGTGATTCGATTCCAGAGCCTGTGTCCTGGAAGGACTAATAGGCTCTGTTCTCTACCCCTTCACCCTGCCTCCCAGGTTATGTAACATTTGTCCTGCAAGCTGAGGACAGAGACCTTGTCTGTTGTTGACAGCTACGTGACCAGCACATAGCATGAACCTGGTAAATACTAAGCGCTCACTCAGTAAATATTTGTTGGCTGGCTTACTGACAATCTACAGTCTGTTTTATAAGTTTTTATAGGATGTTTTAGACCTAGAAAAAACCTTTGGGATGCATCTAGCAAGTTTTTTTCCATCATTCTTATATATAGGCGAATGGCTGGCATATTCTAAGCATCAAAGATTAGGTTGACTTATTGAGTGAAAGGTACTAAGTGCCATAGAGCTTTAAAGAACAGAACATTTGTTTTTGAATTGCAGAAAGGATAAATCAGAAAGATTAAAGGAGGATAGAGAACACTGGGATTAAAGTCTGGGGCAGGATTTTAATGGTAGAAAGACAGAGGAAAGGAAGACAGAAGGCGTGAAATGATAGAAAGCTAAAACTTGCAGAACTGAAGACACATACAGTTAAGCAGATGATGTGCGGCTTCTCTTCAAAGGAGGGAGGATGAGATCGAATGTCTGTGGGGTACACTACGTGCCAAACACTGTCTTTAGCAGCTTTCTAGTCTTTATTTAATTCTGACAACTCTAGGAAATACTTTTATCTTCACTTTTAGAAGACTGAGGTTTAGCGAGGCTAATGCTGTTAGTCCAAATGATAATCATGTTGCTAATTCCAGTGCATGACAAGATAATATGATTTAAACTTTTTTCCTTTAATACTTTTGTTTGTGTTATATTTCTAAATTAATTCATCTCCCAGATCCGCCTGGTTATTTGAACAGTGTCTTGCTCATAGCCAATTTTAAAAGACTTAATGGTATCATGTAAACACTCATTCAGGAAAGAATTTCTGTTATTCTTCCCAACCCACCGCCTGCCCTCCCCACCCCCAACCAAAGTTTGTTTCCAATTGTAGGCTCTGAAACAACCACTTTGGTCCTGTCTCCTGCACCTTGATCTTCCTTAGGTTATTGTAAAAGCTAGTCAACTCACAGGTATCATAATTGATCATTCTTTTATGGCTGTAAAAAAAAATCCATCATGTCTATTAAAGGATACTCTCCTAGTATGTTAGCATTTTAAGATCAAAATAGCATTTGATTTTTGGGCACTGTTTCACATTTATTTGTGTTAGTTTAAGATGGGGAGGGTGGTATTGTTATTTACATTTTATATGGAAATACATTTAATTGGCAGGGATGCTTATTTTCAGGGGATCAGTAGGAGAGTCAGAATCAGGTCACTGACTTTGTTGTTTACTTCTTAGAGGCTACTAAAAGTATCAAATAGGTACCCTATGTTCACAGATTATTAAAGGTCTGTAAATTCTATTTTCTACCCCCTTACAACAACTATATAAATTATAGAAATGTGTCTCTATCTACAGTTATATTAGGCATCACAGTCAACAGATGCATGAAAGAAATGCCGTGTTATTGAAGACCTGGAAACTAGCCCAGTATTTTAATATTAAATAAAAATTCAACAGAGATGGAGAAGACATGTGTTATACAAGGACTAAAATTTTGCAATTAATAACATTAAGTTTATACTGGGTCCTGGGCCTTAATGAAGGGTCAAATTTCTTTGTTCAGCCTGAAAGTATGTATGAATTACACTTGATTTTTGCTATACTTTTTATTCAGATAATGCATTTAACATTTTTTCACTCACAGATATCTTATTTTGAGTAGTAGTATTTGCAAAACAGAAAGCCTTCTAGGATCTGCCATGTTGGTGAAATTGAATGGAGCCAGCTCAGGGCTTATGATTTACTTTTTTCCAGACTTTCCCTCTTGGAATTCTTTTAGCTCTCAGCAAAATTAATTAAGCAGGCTTTTTTTAAAATAGGAATTTTAACTCTTATTCTTGTCTGTGCAGGTAATTTTCCTATCTTTATACATAGATCTTCCTGACCCCTCCTCCTGACCCCACTCTGTCACTGAGGCTGGAGTGCAGTGGTGTGATCACAGCTCACTGCAGCCTCAACCTCCTAGGCTCAAGTGATCTTCCCACCTCAGCCTCTCAAGTAGTTAGGACTACAGGCACATGCCACAACGCCTGGCTAATTTCTTAATTTTTGTTTTTTTTTAGAGACAGGGTCTCACTGTGTTGCCCAGGCTGATCTTGAACTTCTGGGCCCAAGTGATCCTCCCACCTTGGCTTCCCAAAGTTCTGGGATTACAGGCATGAGCCACACCTGGCCCTGATTTGGCAGGGGGAGAGAAAATTAACCTTTGACTAGAATCAGGAGTTTATGGGTTCATTCAAAACATGGGTGTACTTTTGGCTTGCCTGGGTACAGAATTGTGCAGAGAATCCGCATGCTTCTTATACCAAGTAACAGTTTGAACGGAGACATTGTCTATTTTGGAACTTCTATGAGAAAGCAAAGAAAGTTCGCAAGCAGGAGCAAAAGGAAAATCAGGGTTTAGCAGGAGAGCTGGAAGTGATGGATACAGGTGAATTCCAGTTGATGACTTAAGCTGATTTTTTTTTTTAAGAGACAGGTTCTCACTACATTGACCAGGCTGGTCTGGAACTCTTGAGCTCAAGCAGTCCTCCTGCTTCAGCTTCTGAGCAGTTGGGGCTACAGGTACATGACACTGTGTACAGCTTTACTAAGCTGATCATCATTCCAGGGATAAATTAGGTTGTAAGTCAGGGTTGCCTGTGGTACTATATTTGAAGATTATGCACTTAAAAAGAAAGAGGCATATGCTTTAGATTCATTTCCTTGTCGCTATTGGCCTTATGCTTATATCACTTATGGAAGATGGATAGGGAAATCTTGAATCGTGGACAAATTGTGGGAAAGTTTCCAAATCAAGAAATATAGGCTGGTTGCGGTGGCTGATGCCTGTAATCTCAGCATTTTGGGAGGCTGAGGTAGGTGGTTTGTTTGAGCCCAGGAGTTCCAGACCAGCCTGGGCAACATAGCAAAACCCTGTCTCTGCTAAAAATACAAAAAAATTGGCCAGGCATGGTGGTGCATGCCTGTAGTCCAGCTACTCAGGAGGCTGAGGTGGGAGGATTGCTTCAGCCTGGGAGGTGGATTCTGCAGTGAGCTGTGATCACGCCACTGCACTCCAGCCTGGGCCACAGAGTAAGACCCTGTCTCAAAAAAATAATTAATTTTTTAAAAAAGAAATATAAATTCTCTTTTAGTAAGCTTAAGGCTATGAAAAGTATAATTGATGCATCATCCTGTGACAGTTTATAAGTGTTGAATCTGTTACGTTTGTTAGTACTTTGAAAAGTATTGAAAAACTGTTTTTCTCCTCATAGATGGATGGTGACAGTTCTACAACAGATGCTTCTCAACTAGGAATCTCTGCAGACTATATTGGAGGAAGTCATTATGTTATACAGCCTCATGATGGTAAGCAAGCCACAATTAGAACCAAATTCTCAAGTTGAAGCAAGTTAGAAAGTGGACATTTCATTAATATGGTGTTCTAGGCTACTTGTGTCTTTATAGGAAAATTTACAATCTTGTGTTACGGTTCAATGAGAAAGTCTAAAAAGGCGTACCATGCTATTTTTATTAGAAATAGTCTTCAAAAGAATGAGTCCTTGAAAAGACTTTTACTATAAAAATACACCTTGTCTAAAATCTGTACAGTTTCTTTTAAAATTTGTTATCGACTTCCTGTTTAAATGTTAAATAAGAAATTTATAATCAATTGATAGGGTAACTAAAATAATTATTTAGAGGGTGAGTTAAATTTCTAGCTATTATATTTCTTGCACTTATGATTTATTTTTGGTTTTCATTCAATATTAACTTTGAACTATGTCAGGTATTAGAATGGTAGTGTTGGCTCAGTGTGGTGCTCACACCTATAATCCCAGCAGTTTGGGAGGGCAAGGTGGGCAGATCACTTGAGCTCAGGAGTTCGAGACCAGCCTGGGCAACATGGTGAAACCCCACCTCTACAAAAAAATTAAAAAATTAGCTGTGCTTGGTGGCATGTACCTGTAGTCCCAGCTACTTAGGGGGCTGGGGGCTGAGGTGGGAGGATTGCTTGAATCTGGGAGGTAGAGGCTTCAGTGAGCCATGTTTGCACCACTGCACACTCCAGCCTGGGTGACAAAGTGCAAAGTGAGACCCTGTCTCCAAAAAAAAAAAAAAAAAAAAAGGCAGTGTTATGTTGGCCTATCAGAAATAATTTACTTTTGTGGCATTTTGGTTTGTAAAAAAAATTTTTTTTTTTTTTTTATTTTTTATTTTTTTTGAGATGGAGTCTTGCTCTGTCGCCCAGGCTGGAGTGCAGTGGCACAATCTTGGCTCACTGCAACCTCCGCCTCCTGGGTTCAAGCAATTCTCCTGCCTCAGCCTGCCCGTTAGCTGAGATCACAGGCGCCCAGCACCATGCCCAGCTAATTTTTTTTTAGTAGAGACAGGGTTTCGCTGTGTTGGTCAGGCTGGTCTCAAACTCGTGACCTCAGATGATCTGCCTGCTTCAGCCTCCCAAAGTGCTGGGATTATAGTCATGAGCCACCACGCCTGGCCTGATTTGTAAAATTTTTAAAAATTGAGATATATTTTTAGAAGAAACTTGCCAGAGGGATTAATTTCATCCTGAAACGGATATTCAAATAAATTAATTCTGATAACATCATTTTAAACACATAAAAACGTAAATTGAATCAACTTAAGTGCCTTGCCTCCTTACTTAGTACATATGAAGAGTGGGCAGTTTACTTACAGGATACTGCATTTAGTCATAAAAGGATGTTATTGGTACTGCGCAAGCTTCAGTTATAGCTAAATTTATATAATTTGAAAAGTCCCTTTTTGTATGAACAGTTGGATCACTGCTCTAGCTTTGTTCAAAAACTAGTTACATTAGTAAGCCAACTGGATCAGTAATAATCAAGTCCAGTTTTTCCATTCTTTAAAGAATTTTATATAAACTTTATACAGACAAGACAACTTTATATCAACTTTAAAAGTTTTATATAGACTTTTACATAAATGAGTTTATATAAACTTGGGTTTGGAGAA